>NC_000003.12:156129816-156432846 GCF_000001405.40 Homo sapiens
CTCCAAGCCTTAGCAAATGGTCTTGACATGCTGCTTCCCTCCTCGTTTAACTTAGAAACTTGTTCTAAGATTTTCATTCATACCCTGATTTAAAATCTTTTCTGATTAACATGGACCAAACGCCTTGTCTGTCTCACACTTCCTCTCTCCATGCACAGTGGATCCATCTCTTGACTCTGGAATAAAAAGGCCTAGGTTTAAATCCTAGCTCTGTTTCTGGCTGGTTGTGTGGATTTTAGCAAAACACCTCTCCTCTCCAAGCCTTGATTTTGTCATCTATATGGTGGAAATAAAAACATCTGTGTTATCCATCTTCTAGGATTTTAAAGATTAGATCCAAAGTATATGTGAAAATGCTCTGTATGTTATAAACCACTATCTATGTGTTCGCTATTATTTTTATTACCTTCTGCACTGGACATGGGCTCTACGTCAGCTTAGAACATGGCTTAAGAGCATGGTTACCCCAATCTGTTTTTCTAGTAAAAATAGGTGTAGATGTAGCCTTCATTCCTTCATTCCTTGACCTTGAACAAGCCTTCCTGGGTGAGCTGACCAAAGTCTATGACATCTGCCTTCTTTTCCTAATATCAACAACTGTTTATTGAATATTTATTATATAGCTAGCACATTCCTTAGATATTCCATTGATTCCTTCCCAATGATCCATGTGCATGTGATGCCTATTTTTATGATCTTCACTTTGTGGAAGGAAATTGAGCCTTAAAAATGATCCTGCCCAATGTTAGCCAGTTAAGCATGTGATAAAGCCAGTACTTGAATCTGGAGACTCAGGCTGCAGACTGCAGATGCACATCTCAACTCAACAGAATGGCTCCCTGCCCTAGTTTGGGTTGATTATTGATCACTACAAAGATGTCATTTTAGTAATTTCACTTTTCACCTTCACTTTCCACCACACTATAAGGTTCTGTAACTCGGGATGTGGCAGTCATGTCTTCCCCTCCCATTTGAAGTCTTTGCTTCTTGTCCTGCACCTGTCTATCAAAAGGCTGGGAGGCTGGAATGTTGGGAAGTCACTTAGGTGGATAGCAAAGGGTTGTGTCATAGGATGAACTATGGATTTTTATGTTTCCTCAGGCTTTTCTCCCACAGAAACTGTTTCCATCGAAAGAGCTGTGTAAGTGCAGAGGCCTGAGGAGGCACCCAAGTGACATCCCTTATTAGATAAATTTAATTCAATTTCAGAATTTGAGTTTAAGTCAGGCTTTGGCCATCTCCTTCTCATCCTAGCTCTGAGAGCTAGACAGCAATAGCTGCCCAGGTCTTTCAAATTGTAGACTGTGGTTGTCACTGAATGGCATGTGCTAATGTCCTGCCAGGGATTTTTACCATTGTATTGTGTGTTTTTGCTGCATGGGAGGAGGAAACAACACGGTTTTGAGGAGCACTTACTCATATTTCTTTGGAGATGGCAGTTGAAACAACAGCTTTCCCCAACAGCCTCCCCAGGTATGTGAAATGTCGTCAGATGTCAGTTTTAGAGAAAAATCTCCATTCCATGGCAAAATAAATTAGGAGCTTTTTGTGCATTTTTGGTACACACATTGTGACCTAATTTCAAAAAGAAACTTGCCAAATATTTTTTCAGTCTCCAAAAAATTAAACTAGGCTTCCCGCCAGATATCTGGCTCTGGTTCCCAATCCAGGAACGGCTCCCAAATGCTGATTGTGAATAGGCTGTAGGTGAATGCCTTTTACAAAATAAAGTGCATTGTTTTTATTAAAGGTAACCCTAGCTGCAAAATCCTGAAACCTTAATACCTTGAAATCAGAAAGTTTATTTCAAGCTGAGTACAGTGGTGGCTGACAATGGTAGTCCTAGCTACTCAGGAAGCAGATGTGGGAGGATTACTTGAGACCAGGAGTTTGAGACCAGCCTGGACAGCACAGTGAGACCTTGTTTCAAAAAAGAGAAAGTTTGTTTCTTACTTATGCAAGTCCGACCAGGGGTGGGAAGGGTCCAGTCAGGTGGGACTTGGGCTGATGAAAATTCTGTCATCTTCATCTTTTGTTTTCTAAGCTGGGCCATAGCTGAGCATTGACATGGATCAAGAGAGGAGTATGGGAGGAGCAGGTGGAGGCCCCATTTTGTGGGCCAGACCTGTAAGTGGTATCTGCAGGCAGAGGCAACATTGACTGGAATTCAGCCACATGACCACATTCAACTGCAAAGAAGGCTGGGAATTGTAGTTATAAATGTATGCCTTAGAAGGAAGAGAAGTGGGCATGGTGAATCCCAGGTCTGTTTCTGCCACAGAGCTGTGCTTGAAACAGGGTTAGGGAGCTTCTAAGGTAGAGTTTGGCTATTTTCCATAACATGGAGAGACCAAGGTATTCCTTTACTTTCAATGTTATTCCCCTTGTTCAAACTGGACCCCTTGACCTGACCTTTCCTGAGCCACATGGTGGGTCAATCTCTTCTGGCTTCTTTGTTTGGATCTCAACTTTCCTGTTTCACTGAGAAGGCTGAGGACACTTCAGAGACCTGTAGATGGTCATCTGATATCCACCTGGCAGTGGAACACTGATAAAGTAAGCAGCCTTCCTTATGTCAGTCTATGAGCATCAGCTCTCATTTTGAACCTGTCAGAGTGTTTCTCATTGCCTTGAGACTCACTTACGGCTGGATGAGGCTCTTGGCAGCTCATGTGTTATTCCTCCCCCATTCCATTGTGAGATGGAGTTGCTGCAAGGCCATCCCTTTCCATGGTAACAGCCACAGACTCTGGTGCCACAGACATGGGCTGATGTCTCAGGAGGCAGGATCAGGCACATGGAAACAAGGGTCAGGGAGCACTTGTGGAGAGCCAGGAGAGCTCACTAATTCAGTCTGTTATTTCAGAATAGATAAGGTGTGTGTTTTTAAGGGGAGCTTCTACAACATTGTGTTCATTTAAACAGTGTAATCATTACACATGTTTTTCTATAATGTACCTCCAGGATTCATAACAACAGACAAGATAATCACTTTGCTCCCAGAAGCAGGAGACAGTGTGGTTTTGAATGTAATGTTGTTAAATAAAATTGCATATCCTCAATGATATTCTGGCATTCTTCTCTGAGTCACTATCCTCAGTCAAGGTATATATACATTTTTGTGCAGAATTAATGAGGAATTTGGAGAATAATAGGTTAAGAAAATATGGTTTGTATACAAGAGACTTTTTATTACAAATATCTCCAATTTGAAATATTTCCTTAAAAAATCAAAGCCTAAGGTACATTTCGTAGCTTAGTCTTCATATTTAATTTGATTACAGCAATGGACATTAAGTATGAAACAAGCTGTCCAAAGGGCTGTTGAATTATTTAATTACCTCTGGGATTTAGGAGGTGAGAGTCAGCATAAACAATTCCACAAGTGGGATGTGTTAGAAAGATCAGCTCTTTCTGTCTCAAGCCTAGTAATTTGAACGATGTGACTATCCAAACACCAGTTGCTGTTGAACAAAATATTAAATGCTTAAATCTGTTTGCAATATTTTACTTTCCAGATGGTCATTTATCCAAAAGCAGTACTGAATGTGTTTTAAAAGTATTTTCAGTTAAATGAATTTTCAATGAGGTTAACATTCAGAATTAGTTTTTTAAAAAGGAAAAAATATACTTACATTTAAGGACATTCTTTTATTACCATATATGTAACATTGAAATAGTTTCTAACAATCAAACTAGAAAATTAAACAGAATTTATTAAGGAAGTTTGAGCATCTACCATGTTCCAGTTCTGAGGATACAGGGATGCAGAGTCAGGGCTTCTTGCCCTGAATGATCCTGGAGTCTGTTCAGGGAAGACAACACTACAGTCAAGTTTTTTTGGTGTGATATTAGAAGTGTGAAGGAAATGCTATAAAATTCAGGTAAAAGGGTGATTAGTTATGCCGGGAGGCAGGGAGACAGGGAAGAGAAGCATCAGGAAAAAATACACTTAAGATGCACCATTTCAACTAGACTTACACAAGAATGCATGGGGGTTTGTGGGAATGCGAACCAATGAGGAAGCAGGTAAGAAATGGCTGAGGGAAAGAAACATGTAATCGGCAGCTTCAGAACAAATTCGTTGACTTTTGTTTTTTTTTTTAGGCTAACCCACCAAATTGCTATTAACTGGAAAAAAGTTATGAGGATGGGACTGATAACATTTCTAAATGCAGGAAATATTCCCAATTAAGCCTCATTCATCTGACATTGTCAGAGAATGAAAATTTTCACCCAGGTGATTTTTCTAATACCTGAAACTTTCTAATTTAAGTGTCAAGGCTTTATTTTAACTTTCTAAACCTGAAGAAACAACTTGACAACTCTCATTTATCTTAATAAATGTCAGCTATTGTGCTATGTTAAAATATCCTCAGGGGCTATTAAAGCATATGGATCTATCTGCCTTGAAAATTGGAGGCCTCATTTTGCTATTTTATTTTTAAATTTTGGCTTCTGAAATTTTTCTTCCTCTATTATTTTTTCTGTATCCTCACCTTGCTGTAAGCTTTTCTTGCTGCTGTCAGGATGCCTGCCTCTGATAGTTCTTTTAATCTAATTTGCTATCTTTACTTTAGGGAGGGATGGGAAATAAGAAATCCAGTCGTGTTCAAATTATGACCAAGAAAGAATACATGGTTTATGAATTGAGGTACTCAACCAGGAGGTTTGAAATGTAGGCTTTGGGATATCTTATTTGTTCATTTGTTCATTCTTGGTTGTGTTTTATCTGGAAAGGTTTCTAAAAAAGGTGATCTCTACAAATTCAGTTGTTACTCTATTTGAACTAACATTTGAATCTGTTTGGGAAAATGTCAAATGCTGAAATTACTTCAAGTTTATGTTTATCTTGGAATAAACCATAGAGATTTTATAAAAGCAAACCATATAGAACACAATATTTCAAAATGTTGATGGGATGCTTGTAGTCTACATTTTATAAATTTCTCAGCCAAAGAAAACATTCTAGCACAAATAGAGTAAACAAAGTGAAACTATTCATTTGTCTTCTATAGCAGAGACACACTGAGGGCTTTTCAGTGGATTGTTTTTCAACAGTTTTGCCTTGGAACTTTGGTGATTAAACATTTACAATTATTGTACAGTGAAATGGCATTTCAAGAGGCAGGATGGTATATTTGGGAATTCAAAATATATAAACAGATTTAGTTTTCTTTTTTCTTTTTTTTTTCTTCACGGTGGAGTCTCACTCTGCTGCCCAGGCTGGAGTGCAGTGGCATAATCTCACCTGACTGCAACCTCCGCTTCCTGGGTTCAAGTGATTCTCATGCCTCAGCCTCCCGAGTAGCTGGAATTACAGGCTTCTGCCACCACACCCAGCCAATTTTTGTATTTTTAGTAGAGACAGGGTTTCATCATGTTGGCCAGGCTGATCTCAAACTCCTGACCTCAAGCGATCCTCCCAGCTCGGCCTCCCAAAGTGCTGGGTTTACAGGAATGCGCCACTGCACCCAGCCTGGTTTAGCTTTTTTTTCCCCCATTTTTTTTCCCCAGAGGAAAAGCTAATAACTCAGAGAGTATTCAAATCATGCAACTATTAGGCTGCCAGGCAAAGATTTAAGTCCTTGTCCACTAAGCCCATGCTCCTGGAAACTTGCACTTTATTCCAGTCCTTACAATAATGACTGCTTAATAGTGCCAATTTACCTGGATGTCTATTACCTTATTTGTAAAACAAGATAATTAAATCAGTTTATTTTTAAGAGTTCTTCTAGCTCTAGTTAGACTCCTAGATATTTTAGATTAATTGTAAGTGCCTAGAAGATGAAGAGAGAGATTGCTTGATTGGAATGATCCCAGTGAGACTTCTTAGTGCATGATATCACAAAACTGAAAATATAAAATTTTAGGCTTGCTTTTGTAGTTGAGATTTACTTTTCATGGTGCCATTCTGCACCCCAGCCTCCAAGGCCTTGTCATGGACAAGTTCCAGACCCCATAGAAATAACGTGTCAAAGAAGATAGATAAGCCCCATGGCAGAGCATGTGGCACCAGTGTCAAAATATGTGGAGTTCTTTGCAACTTTCAAAACTGCTTTCTGAGTAGGCACTTAAGGAGTGATGGAGGTATTTCTTGCTAGATGAAGAACAAATAAGCATCATTCAGATAATCTCTCATTTCTCTTTAGCAAGGGAGAAAGTCATATTTAAAGCCATCCCCATCCATTTTGTACTCATGCAGCCCATAACATTGAAGTCCCCTGAAAATTATTGCTTGTGAGAAGTCTAAGTCTCCCACGTATAACTGTGTGTTCTGTGCACTGCACAACACTAGGGGGCACAATCCACATGGGTTAAAATTTGGATGGCAGTCCTTGGAGTTGTGCAGTGTATGTGGTAACCCTTAGACACTGACAGCATTGCAGGTATTATAATAATAATCACCATTTATTGAGCCATTTATTCTGTACTAGTTACATCAAATACAATATTTCTTATAATTTTCACAACACCCTATTAGGTAATATGATGAGCTATAGTTTCCGGGGGAAGAAACTGTGACTCAGAAAGTGCCCACTGGTGGGTTGTAGTGGCAAGATTTGAACCCAAGCCTTCCTGACTTCATAGCCTGTGCTCTTTCTACTATACTGTACTCTCTGTGGAAATTCCCCTAAGCCAGGCCAGTGCAGACTGGGATAAAGAAGAAGGTGATCTCAGCACCCTGCAAGCATTACTTCAGTGTTGACTTAACAGCATGAGACCACAATACTATCATGATCTCAAACCTTCCATGGCTCAACATTACTTAAAAAGAGAGCCTAGAGCCTAAATAATGTGACTGAGACCTCATCTCCCATCCTTTCGACGCCGCTCACCTACCTCTCCTCCAAAGTAGTCATTGCTTCTAACTGCCACGTTTTGAGGTATTTCTGGCCACATTGTGCACTTTTGCACATCTGGGCCCCATGGACCATTTCCCTTCGTTTAGCTTTAGACTAAGGCCACATTTTGGCATCTTTTGGGAACTTTTGAATAAAGAGCAAGAGAGTCATGCCCAAAGTAGGTGAGGAGAGTTTTTGCTACAGATGCCAGAGCTCCACTCAAAGATGCTTTCTAGTTGAGGACTGTGGGACCAATGCAGAATAGCAGTTAAATCTCAAGGGCCAGTCTTGCCCACAAACCCTCTATGCCAAGGTAGAGATCTATAGATGTAGTCACCAATAAATACGCTCATTTTTTTCTTTTTTTTTTAAACTTTTATTTTTGGTTTGGGGGTACATGCAAAGATTTGTTACATGGGTAAACTTGTGTCACAGGGGTTTGTTGTACAGGTTATTTCATTATCTAGGTACTAAGTCTAGTACCAAATAGTTATTTTTTCTATCCTCTCCTACTCATTTTTTTCTAAAGCAAGGTTATAGTGCGTATGTATCATACATTGGTGGGGGGGGATTGTTTTTATGCTATAACGCAGGAGTATACAGTAGATAAGCAGTAGGGATAAGGAAAAGGAATCAGGTGAGACTGAAGATGCTACCTTTGGGTCTAGGGAGAAGGAGCTAAGGCTGGCTCAACAGGGGCTCTCCATTAGTCATGTGTTGTACTCCCATGCACTGTAACATGCACCCCCTCCCCTATCCTACCAGGACTGTTGTGTTGTATTCACTGAGAAAATCTCGACTAACAGGAGATGTGAGGGATTGCCTAGAAAAACACCAATGAATGACAGAGACATTTAACATTAGATTTCTTGATGGACTGCAAACTTCCTCTTTTTTTTTTTTTTGAGACAGAGTTTTGCTCTATCACCCAGGCTGGAGTGCACTTGCGCGATCTCACCACAACCCCCGCCCCCACCAGGTTCAAGCAATACTCCTGCCTCAGCCTTCCAAGTAGCTGGGATTACAGGCACCCGCTACCACGTCTGGCTAATTTTTTTTTTTTTTTGTATTTTTAGTAGAGACGAGGTTTCACCATGTTAGCCAGACTGGTCTCGAACTCCTGACCTCAGATGATCCACCTACCTCGGCCTCCCAAAGTGCTGGGATTACAGGCGTGAGCCACTGTGCCCGGCCTGGATTGCAAACTTGTGAAAGAACTCCCTCCACTCCTCCCACCCTTTACCTTTACTGCTGATGTTGTCTCAGGGTATCTTCTCTGATCCTCTGCTCTTTTCCCAGACTGGGTTTAGCCTCAGTGATTGCCTCTATCTTTGCTCATATCACATCACTTCGTAGTCTTTACTGGTTTCTCTCCTCTCCTCCACTGAGAGCTCCTTGATGACAAAGGCAATGTTTTATGCATTGTGTTTTGTTAACACAACACACACATACTATACTTAGCTGTGGTCTTGCCACATATAGCTAGACCCCAAGGTAGCTCTGGCAAGGGTGAAGAGAAGATGGCAGTGACAGGAGGAGCAATCCCTCTAGATGGTTCCCAGTGAGATGAAGGCAGATGTCTCACAGCATCACCTGCAGAGCACTAGTGAGCAAACACGTGAACAAGAGCAGAAAGATGAAGTTCCGGTAAATAATCAGAATAGAAAAATATGCGCTGGACTGTAGTGTGGTGTCCCTTGTCCAAATTGACTTGGTTGGTCCCAATACTTCCCCACCCCGGCAGTGACAGTGCATTCCCACTCCTCTAGCCCCACCAGCTCTGGCCTCAGTTTTTATTTTAGACCTGGATGTTCTTGGATGACTGCGACATGTCCAAGATATACAGTGTTCAACAAATCACCTCGTTAGCCAAGAAAAATTTAGAACTAGGCTATAAAGGTGTTTGCTATATTCCAAGAATAACATAAATCTCACGAGCCTGGTATCTTTTATAACTAGTGAATAATTCATGGACTCCAAGTCTCGCCAGTAACAAAGGAGGAAGGATCATCACCTCTATAGCATGATTAGAGCAATTACTTTTTAAGATACACAGAACATCAGATGTAGACTAGAAGAATCTTAGAGATTACCTAAGTCTGAGCCAGTAGAGAAACTAAGGGGTCAGAAAGGTCAAGACCTGTCCAAGGTCACACTATTGTTTATGAATCCTGAACAGGTGTAGATGAAGTCTGCCCACCACCCAGAGCTGCGTGAGCTTCTATATGTGGCTTCTGTGTCCCAGGCCTCCCGTGCTCCATCAGCAGGACGGGGCAGGCAGCACCTGTCTCATCACATGGCCTTGTTGCTTTTTCCTGCACTCTGCTGACCATGTGATTGCACAGTACTTAAATATCCTAAAAAGAATATGAAAATCATCGTTCCTGAGACACAGAAGGAAAGCAAGAAAGACATTAACTGTCCTTCTCAGCTGTTCAGAGGCATTTCTTACAGTCTTACCACATTGAGCTTAAAATTGATCTTAGTTTGTATTGACAACCAAAGGGATAAATAGTTCTCTTATTAAATATAGTTTCTATCCTCCACCTTTAAACTGGGATCTTTTATGACATTGACCTGCTTTTAGAACTTTATGAAAAGAAACTTCAGTTCCAGACAAATATTGGCTTTCTCATTTCTCTCTCCTTTCCTGGGCCCAGTTCCAAATTTGGAGGACAGAATGAGAGGGACACATGGGAGAGGGCTCATGCCCCATGTTTTAGAAACTGCTTTCCTGGTTCACCTGTGATTCTTCCTTGGCCCTCCGCTGGCACCACTGCCTGAACCTCCAGGTGTTCTCAGCCCTGGAGGAACCACTTTCATGGCTCACATACTCAGATTTAACTGGTGGCTACCATAAGTGATGTCACTGGTGCAACTTTACTTGGGAATGCTAATTTCTCCCTAACTCCATTGTACTGTGTTTTTTTTTTTTTTTTTTTTTTTTTTGTTCCCCCTAGCTTTTCTGGCCTTTTCTTTATAAGCTCTTATTTCTTCTTTCATGCTCAGGGCTTTTGCTGCTAGGGTGAAAATGGAAATAGGTTTATGAGAGAAAAGGTAGCTATTGGGAGTTTAAAATTAAAGCAAGGAAATTGTTAATCTCTATGCAATGTTGATTGTGCACAAAGCATCATTCTGATCATTATAACTGGAGTTTACAAGCTTGTGTCAGATACAGTCCCTTCCCTAAAAGAGCTTATAATCTGGATGGGGAGTTAAGAGGTACACTTGCAAGAGATGTATCTCATACTCTGGAACAGCATATTATGTCTTTGTTTCCCAAAGGAGGTACAAGTACCACTCATACGGCATTAAATAACTGATTCACTTTGTAAATGTAGTGTATTCCTGTTTCAATTTCCTTTCATTTTTTTCTCATTATCTAAAAAGAAGGGAAGAGAAAATCTCAGATTTGTGCTAAATTATCTTTAAAACCTTTCTAATACTTTTAAATCTTTGTCAATAAAAGATAAAAAGAGTTAAGACTCTGATCCCAAGCCTCTGGACACTAAGTATCCAGCTGCAATGTAATAACATTCTTCATTTTTATTGCATTTTTTACAGACTACATTCTATTTTATTACAAGTGATAAGGTTTTTCTGTTTATGGTGGTAGTAAGATAATGTTTTCTGACTAAATGTCTTAGTTCAGGCTGTTACCATAGACTTAATGGCTTAAACAATGCACATTAATTTCTCACAGTTCTGGAGGCTGAAGTCTGAGATCAGGGTGCCAGCAGGGTCAGGTTCTTGGTAAGGGCCCTCTTCCCGGTTGAAGGGCCGCTGCTCTCTCCTTCCAGTGTCCTTACATGGTGAAAAGACAGCAAGCTACCTTTGGCCTCTTCTTATAAGGGCATTAATCCTATTCTGAGGGCTCCAAGATCACAACTCGCTTACCTCCCAAAGGCCCTATATCCTAATATCATCACACTGGGGGTTAAGATTCCCACATATGAATTTTGGGAGGAATGCAAACATTCAGTACATAACACTAAAAAAATTCATTTAGGTAGAAAAAGCAACTTAATTCCAAATAGTAAATAAATAATGGTATAGGATATACAAAAATACGGCAGAAATCACAAGGGGTGTGCAAATGTTTGTGAAACGGTTTAGAAGTGTGAAGTGAGGGCTTTAGGTTTGAATTGCAAGTGGAATTTCAATGAATAATTGTGTACCGGGGCTGGGAAGAATTCCTAGAGGAGGTGAGCTTTAAGGGAGCATGTGCGCGTGTGTGAAGATTCATGTCAGCAGAGATGTAAGATGTGATGGCAGGTGGGAGGTGTGAGTGTGAAGCTGTTAGACCGAATGAACAGTTTATGTCCAGGAGTCACAGTTGGAGGAGAGTCACAGCTGGAATCATGTGGTGGAAAAACCCATATGTGAGGAGTTTCTTTGCTTTTTTTTTTTTAAACTTTCTATTTTGAGATAACTGTTTATTCATATGCAGGTATAAGCAGCAATAGAGAGATTCCATATATCCTTTGCCTAGTTTCCCCAAATGATGGTATCTTGCCTTGCCACAGTTCAATAGCACAATCAGGAAACTGATGATGACACAAGCCCCTGCCCTTATTCAGATTTTTCCAATATTATATGCACTCATTTTTGAGTAATTTATATTTAGTTCCATGCAGTTTGGTTACATGTATTGATTGATGTGACCACTACCATAATCAAGACACAACAGTTCCATTATAAGAATCCCACCTCTACACTTTTATAGCCATAGCCATCTTCTTCCCTTTTGTCTTTTCTAACCCATGACAATTATGAATTTGTTATTCCTCTCTAGCTACAATTTTGCCATTTTGAGAATGTTATATATATGGAATGATACAGATTCCAAAATGCAACCTTTTGGTATTAGCTTTTTTTTTTTCCCACACTCAGCGTAAGCCTCTCGAGATTTATTCAACTGGTTGTTTTGACCAATAGTTCATTCCTTTTACTTGCTGAGTGGTATTTCGTAGTATGAATATGCCACAGTTTAATCATTCACCCATTATGGAATATTTGGGTTGTTTCTAGATTTTGGCTATTATGAATAAAGATGTTATAAACATTTGTGTACAAGTTTTCATGTGAACATAAGTTTTCATTTCTCTGGGATAAATGCCCAACAGTGTGATTGCTGTGTCATATAGTAAGTTTGGAATGTTTAGTCTTATAAGAAACTTTTCTGGAGTGGCTGAACCATTTAACATTCCTACCAGCAATTTATGAGGGATCCAGTTTCTCTGAATCTTTGACAGCATTTAGTGTTATCACCATTTGTATTTTAGCTATTGTGATAGGTGTGTAGTGATCTCTCATTGTGGATTTCATTTGTATTTCCCTAATGGCTAATGATCTTTTGATGCTCTTATGTGCCATCTGTATATCTTCTTCAGTGAAATGTTTGTTCATATCTTTTGCCCGTTTACCAATTAGATTGTTTATGTTTTTATTGTTGAGTTTGGAGAGTTCTTTGTATGTTCTAGATATAAGTCTTTTGTCAGATATGTGGTTTGCAAATATTTTCTCCCAGTCTGTAATTTGCTTTTTAAAATCCCCTTCACGTGGTATTTCATAGAGCAGAAGTTGTTAATGTTGATGAAATCTAATTTATGAGCTTTTCCTTTTATGGATTGTGCTTTTGGTGTCAAGTCTAATAAGTCTTCACTTAACTCTAGGTTCTGAGGATTTTCTCCTGTTTTTACCTACAAGTTTATAGTTTTACATTTTACATTTAAATCCATGATCAATTTTGCGTTGATTTTTGTATAAAGATGAGGTTTAGGTCAATGGTTCATTTATTTTTGTTTGTTGCTGTTCTGCTTTGCCTCGCTTATGGATATCCAGTTGCTCCAGCACCATTTGATGGAAAAGCTATTCTTCCTCCACAGATTTGCTCTTCATATTTGTCAAAAATAATTAGCCATATTTGTGTGAACCCTTTGCCTTTTACAACCACTTGTTGATATTTGTCTATCATTTGACAGCAACATCTGAAAGAGGTTAATGGACCTTTCACCCAAATGAATCATGCCTCTAGTATAAAAAATTATTTGATTACAAAATATTTAATAATTTAGAGAAGTCTCATTACATACTCATGAATCATCCCTAAGGCTTTATGGTCCTTATAAAAACAGATTGGCCCAGATCCCACCAAAATATTTCCTTTTACCTAAATAGAAAGACATGGGAAAAAGTTCCCATATTTTTTTTCCCCAGGGCCAGTACATAGTTGCTTATGTTTGACTCTGAGTACTTTAAAGGGATGAGAAAAGTGATTGGCCACCAAAAGCCTCCTTTATGCACAGGCCTGGGCAGGGACACACAACCAACAGCTCTGTCGGGAACTTAGGAGCCTGCTCGCCTACAAAAATGATAAGAGAGATCTAAAGAAAACAAGCTAAACCTTTTGAGGGACATACTGAAGCCAGATAACCCAAGGTATTCACAGCAAGATACAGTGAGTCTTAAAGTTAAGCACCGTGCAATTAGCTTTGCTTCCTTGGGTTTTTGAAACATGCATCTGTATAAACCTGCCTGTGCAGACATCCCGAGCCCCAAGCTGGGTCTGCCAAAATCCAGTGAATCGGCTCTAAAATGTAGATGGCACCTAGCAGTGACCAAGACTCAGCCTCAGGCGGCCTGCAAACCTGTGAGGCCCAGTGGAGCAGCCGAACAGAAATATGTGGAAAAGTTTCTACGTGTTCATGGAATTTCGTTGCAGGAAACCACCAGAGCAGAGACGGGCATGGCATACAGGTACTGCTGATTGCAAAGTCATCCAACCAGGGCACTGCACTGATGTCAAAGGTTGTTATTAAAGAAATAAGGACTGAAATAGCAAGACAAAACCCTGTAAGAAAAAGAAGGAAAAATGCAGTGAGCCCTCTTCTTGGGTTGCATTCTTGTTTTTTTTTTTTTTTTTTTTTTTTTTTTAGCTTTAAGCGTTCTCTTTTCTCAGAGGGTTACAGAAAAGACAGTCAAGTTCATCTGTGGAAACTCCTAACCATGTGCTCCAGAAGAAGTATCTTTGGCTCTGAGTAGGGAGGTGATTTGGCAGGTCAAAATGAAGAGTGGGGACTCCATTCTTCTTAAGGGAAAGAGAATTTATAAGTTAAGAGTAGAATTTTTTTTTTTAATGCTGCCTGGGATTCAAGACTTATTTTCTTCTAAACTTGAATCATGTGGTCTGTACTAATAGCTAATAAAGTAGTTCAAGTTCTCCTTGAAATGACAGCACTTTATTTATTTATTTATTTATTTATTTATTTATTTATTTTTTAAATCAGTGTCACCCAAGATAAATTACTGGTTGTACACTAAACTTCCAATATCATTATTTATTTTATGAAAGATTAACAAAAAGGAGAAATGTTTTCTTGGTATAGGGTTGGATGTGTAATCTTTATAAGTTGCTCTGTGATGGGAAGAATCTTTCCTATTCAGAGCAATTATTGCTCCTGCACAAGTGCTTCCTTTACGTACGCCTGGAGTTTTAAACAGCCCAGAAGCTGAGTAAAAGCTATTCAGAAGGACAAGGTACTGAAAACTGAAAAAACAATTTAGCAATTGTAAGAACAGTTGTCCTAGCTCATATCAAAACTTCTGCACAGCATAAGATTGTTTTTCATGTACAAGATGTCCCCAGTGATTTCATTTTTCCAAAATCTGAAGGTCTATTTCAGTGTAGTAGCTGCTGCTCTAATTTATCAGCTAATTATATTCATAAAGCAATTTGCAATGATATGGCTCCTCTCTGGAGAGCAAAGTATTTTACACAGACTCTATGTAATAAAAGGGTTGTGCAGAAAAGAAATGAACTCTTCTCAATTTATAAGGAGGATAGGACAGCCTACCACATCCTGCTTTAGAAGGGGAGCTCACCTTTTCATGGTAGCTCATGGAATGAGGAGGGATGGATGAGGAGGAGATGCTGCTGTTTCTTTCTGAATCTGTCACCGGAAGGAGCCTGCTTCTCTGTCCCCCCACGTTTTCTCTCTTCTCCGTGTTTCCTCGACCCTCAGTGGTGGTAGTGATGGTGATGTGAACACAGATCGGGCGAAGGGGAAGATGGACCATTTCACTTTTAAAAAAGTCTGCCTCCATGTCTTTGTCATAGGATGGGTGGTATTACCATGAATTGTTACATAAACCTTTAGAGGGTATGCCTTTCTCTCTCAAAAGTCTAGTTTAAATATCAATTACAGATCTGTGCTGTGTGCCAATGTTCAGATGAAGGTATGTTCTAGGAAAGCATTTTTCAAAGGATTATGAAGTAGAGGAACACGTTCTTCAGACAGGTGAAAGCAAAGCTGCCTCAGCTAAAGGTGGGAGCTTGGAGCCCACCTGCTTGAGGGGAGCAGTCATCCCCCAGCCTCTTCTGAGACACCTATGTGGATTCCATACTCCCCATAGGTTTTGGGCGACTCTTCATGATGCCTTGGTGGGGAAGGCTCTGTTACCTTGGAGATGCCAGATACTGCCTTGGACAAGGGTGTATGCTACCATATCACACCCTAGTAAGAAATGGGACTTAGGAGAATGTTGCCCCTAAATCAGTTTGAGGGGAGAAAAGCACAGTTTAATTGATCATTAACCCTAAGAAATAGCCAAGGCTCTAAATTATGATGAGCTTGTGCTCTGACACATCTTCCTGACACATTTCTCCATTACCCACTCCCCAATGTCCTTAGTGCTCTGTTTATTCTCCCTTTAAGACACTCGCTTACTGCCCTTATTTAAGACATTCTCCTGCAACCATTTGGAAAGGATTTTTAGGAAAGAGAACCAGGGTTCTCTTGGCTCCTCCCCAACTTAGCTTTAGACCTTGATTTCTTATAAACATAGTTGGGGTTAAGAGAGAAGCTGACTTTCATATTCTTACTTCTTTATTATGATTTTTCCCCCTCAGGAAAAAGAGGGTGGGCAGGGGACCATGGCTATGTTAAAAAAACAACCTCTGTTAAGCCTTGTTTTTTCTATTTTCTTTTTTCTTGTAAAGTTGAAAGAAAATGGGCATTGAAGTTAAACAGACCAGAGTTCAAATTCAAGCTCTGCCTGTTTTAGAACTGTGTGACATTGGGCCAGTCATGACATAGAAATGTCTAATACAGTAGGTGCTCACTGGGAATGGAGGTTTTCTTCCCACTTACTCTGTAGTGTCTGTCCATCAGTCTAAGTGGGGGAGGGATTGAAACCCTTTAGGTGAAACATATAAATGGATAAGAGAATATTCTCAAAAGGAAAAAAAAAAGAATAAGACAACCCACAGTAGTTCACAATCTGTGTAGGTTTCCATGCTCAGCTTTAGAATTCTGAGAGGTCTGGAAGAGCCGGGTAAGCTGTTTTCCATTCTGAATTTGGTCAGACGCCATTGCAGACTTTAGCCCAATACCAGCTGCTTGGGTCCCTCGATCATCTGTGAGAGAGCATTATGTTGTGTTTCCATGGAGACTTCGTTTTATTTCTAACTAAGGTTGACCAGGAGGAGAAAAAAAATAAGTAAATATGCAAACACATGCATCAATTGAAAAGAAACTGGAGGACATTGAATGTGGTGTAAAAAGTGCCAAGTTGCTGTGTAGATCCTTCTGTTGGCTTAGAAATCTCAGCAAAAATAGAAGTTTTAAAATTCATTTTATCAGTGACTATAAAATGGTTACCTAAGAGGGTCTTCAGTTTACTACTAAGAGGCTGAAAATTAATTGTCTTTATTACATAGCACTGAACTCTAAGCCAGACAGTAAACACGAGCCTGAGTCAAGGTTAAAATACACTGAGGAGTAGTTTTATGAGAAAAACACCAAAAATATCTAGACTGAGTTAAGATGTAGCAAATACCTAGCTTTGAAGCAATCTTATAATACTAACATTGGCAGGAGAAACTTAAACAGATATAAAATGAAGCTCTAATCCAGGGACAACACTTTTCCTGTAAAAGGCTAGATAGCAAATATTTCATGCTCCAGGTTCGTATCTGCCTCTGTTACATCTACTGACCTCTGCTATGTAGGGTGAATGTGGCTATTGATGATATGCAAATGAGTGGGCACAGCCATGTTCCAATGAAACTTTATTTATGGACACGGAAATTTGAATTTTATAGTTTTTGCATATCACAAATCTTATTTTTTCCTCCAAACCACTAAAAATGTAAAAATCATTCTTAGCTTGTGGGCCATACAAAAACAGGTGGCAGGCTGGGTTTGTTCAGCAGGCCATAGTTTGCTGACCCCTGGTTTAGAAAGCAAGGCCTTCAGTTGCTCAGGTTATGTATTTACTTGTTTGTATTTATTTATTTTTAAACCTTTTTGTTTCCAGAGGTATTTAAGGAACTCAAATGCATATAATTGAGAAAGATAAAAATAAATTACAAAGAAGATAGAAAAAACAGTGCCAAGAAAGACCAAAAGAGCAGGAAGGGAACAGAGAGCCTGGGGTGAGGGACCATGCTGTGTATAAGCCAATGTGTTGCAAGAGTTAGACCTGGATTTGGCTCTGTGCTTTCCAGCAGCATTAAATTGTGAAGAGGGAAACTGAGCCCTTTACAAAGTTACAGGGTCCTTGAGTTAGAGACAAGCCAGTTGCTCCATAATGGCACACCTCTTCCTGATCTGTAAATCAGAGAGAAGTTCCTTTTGAGGTTCTTCTTTGTGTAAGGAATAATATCCTTGCAATATCCTTATAGCAAACACAGCAGCAAGGTTCCTAGAGGATCTTTCCTGTGGAGCCCCTAATATTACTATCATATCAAATAATAACTCAGTAAAGACAAATAGGTGCATAATGGAAAAAAGTGACATTGTTTAAATAGAAACCATATTGGCCACTTTGGGCTATGCTTTAAGAATTTTCCAATAACAAAAACACAGATTTCTTTTTTATTCTTTTTTTTAAGAATGACAGGGCTTCTCCAGGTTCATGGAATGAAGCAATTGTTTCTAGAAAAATAAGTGTTATTTGCCAATCAAGGATAAAATTTTCTAAAGCCTTGAGCTGACGGCAGGGAGAAGGCTATAAAAGAAGAAAGGGAAAAGTAGAGAAACTCTTGGAATTCTTAACTTGAGATGGGCCTTAAGGATAATCTGCTCCAATTTCTGGTCTTACAGCTGAAGAAAATTGAGGCTCAGAGATGTTGAGTGTCTAGCATGAGGTTGCACTTCTAGCTAGCAACAAAACTAGGACTAGAACCCCTGTCTCTTAGTTCTCATTCCAGTGCTTTCTTCAAGCTTTCCATATTTATTCCCAGCTCCCCAACCTCCATCCCACCACATGCCAAGACACACACACACACACACACGCACGCACACGCACACACAAACACACACCGCACCCTGGAGATACTGCAGATCCAGCCATATTCACCGTCCTGCTCTGTCTACTTTTCCAGGCTCCCCGTTATTGTGCTCTGTGACTTGCTTAGTCCTGCTGCTTTGCATGCTTACCCTCCACCTTCTGCCAGAATCATTGAGTCTCTACTCATCATTAGTTTTCCTACCTGGAATATTCTTACACATCCCACTTGCCTAGGTAACTCCAACCCACAGGGTCTCCTTTTGCCCCTACAGCATTGACCACCAGACTTTTCTCTATATAGGATATAGATTGTTAGTTATTTGTGTGTGTGTGTATCTTATTGTCAAAATTGTGCATCATGACCTTGAGGATGAGGACTAAAACTTATATTTTATACTTCTTCAATGCCTTTGCACTTAGAAAGTGCTGGTACATACTTGTTGCTTGATTGAGGTGCATCCATTCAGAAGTTGGGAAAGAGAGAAACCAAAGAGCAAGTAGGAACTTTCCTTTTCCCTGCTAATAGTGCTCTAGCCCCATCTTTTCTCCTGTATCTTAGATACAATATGCTACTTAATCTTGTTAAGCCTCAGCTTCCATATCTGTAAAATGGGCCTAATTTAACTTACTTCACAATGGCATTATAAGAAATCCATAAAGTCACATATGTGAAAGTGCTTGGCTCACTGCCTGCTAGCATGGGAACCTAAGTGCTCCCTTGCTTCAAGCTCCTTTTTAACCAATCCTAGTAATCTATCACTTAGGCATCTTTAGCATTTCCAAAAAGAAGTGTGTGTCTATTTATAAAGGATAGAGGGACAGAAAATAAACACCTAAAATAGAATATTGCACAATTCTGAACATATCACCCTCCTTTCATCACTTGCTTTTTCATTTTCTTTCTTTTTTTTTTTTGCTGTTGCTATTAGGATCTACTCAGAAAGTGTTTGTTTTTCTTTCTTTTTATCTCACACATGGGCTCCTAATCAGCTTGGCCTCAGGAAGTGTGGGAATAAATAACTCTTCAAACGATGTAATACGAAGGTATCTTTTATCAACTGCTGCATTTCCAGTGCCTGGCATTGTGCCTAGAACAAAAATATTTGAGCCAGAATGAAATGAAAAGGACTGAAACTTCCACCAGCTTGCAGTGTCTCTCCCATTAGCTTGCCCCAGTGTCCGAAGATCTCCCTAGACTGGAGACATCAGTTCTCAGAGACTTCTGTTAAAAGGGGAGTGTGCTTGCTGAGTGGTGGCCACGCTAATCTAAGCTACTAGATGGTAGACCAAGAAGGAAACCGGACATAGTCCAAGCCTGACCTAAAATAAGAGAAAACAGGAAGGAAGCTTCCAGGCTAGATCAACAGAAAAGCTCGAGTATCCGAGCATGGTACATTACTACGGACTATCATAGAAGCAGGAGGGATGGAATTGAAAAAAAGGGGAAGGAAAACTAGAGAGAAACCTCACTTAGCTACCAGCTTTTCTCAGAGATGTCAGGGCAGAGAATTTGAAGGCATAAATGAGAGTTTTCATTGATCATTAAACAAAGACTCCAGAGATAAGTAGGAACAATTTTTCACCTGAACCCCTCTCTGTGGGTTCTGTCACAGTGCAAACATGATGTTCTAGCAGAAGGATTTAAAGACAAGCTCTTCCCTCCCTCCTCTCATCCCCTGCTTCCTTATCTACAAAATGAAGCTGAAAAACCCTACTTCAAAGGGTAACGCCATCCTCTCAAAGAGGCATATAGTGGATACCCAGGAAAGACTATCCCTCTTGCCCTTTCTCCTTTTCATAGTATTACAGGGTTGACATATGTGGAAGTTGAAAATTACATTTGTTCCTAAATTGCACTTACTTTCATCCTCCCAGGACCCTCCAAACCCCACCAAAAACACCCTTTCATCATGTGTTCTTGTGACCTGCCCTTTTCATGAGACACTTGGCACACTCAGACCTGCTTGAAAAGTATTAATAGCTAGAGCTGTGACTGTGAAAATCAATAGCCTAGAAAAATGCTACTCATGCAGGGGGTTGTATTAAAAAATGTCCACATGATTTATTTTAGATGACCTAATTTGGTAAGTCTCTGGGCCTGTGCTTATTTGCTGTGAGCTCTCTAGCTGTTTTTCTCCTTGCATCAATATTTCTGGAGGAAAGTAGATGACACCAAGATGGCTCAGGCTCAGGACGTATGTGATTACTTGAAACCTGAATAGGCTGCTGGTGAAGGGCTGTGGAGGCGTAGTGAAAGGGGCTTATTCAAAACAAACAGAACGTGTTATTTCCTATTGAATGGAATAGAAATTCTAAAATAAGTATGTTTTCAAAGTGTCAGTTTAGATAGAAAATGCTTAGAATTTAAGCAAGAGTGAGAGACGAGTGCTGCTTGGGTTTGAAATATTGTTGAGAGGGGCAGATATTCAATCTGTTTTGAAATTTCCACTTGGGGTTTTCCAGGATAAAAGTTGCTTTGTTTATGCAGCATGACGAAAATACTGGAAATTCAGGGCTTGAGAACAATACTGGGTTACAGGGATCCGTGCTTTCTTATATACAAGTTGTTGACAGCGGTTTCGTCTGAAAAAAAGTGAGCATTTTGAAATCTGATTTTCATGACCGAGGAGTAACTGTAGGCCAAAGATGTTTTCACCCAAGAGAAAAACAATTCCTGAATTTCCCTGCAGTGCCTTTGAGTGCCACTGGGATGTGCTATTTCATAAAGAAAAGGAAGCTCTTCTGTTGCCTGAAACGCTGCTAGCAGAAAACTTTATTCAGACAGTCCTAGACTCGAACTTAAATTTGAATCTATGTATTTACCTTGATTATGACAATGGGAAATTTTATATAGTGAGAAAAAAATTAAAAAGGTAAGACCAGCATATTCCTAAGGTTCTGAGAAGCCTAGATTCCATGGCAAGCCTATGTTATTATAACCTAACCCAGTTAGATATTTTATAGAGCAAATTTTCTATGTCTGGGAGTTTTCTAGCGTAGGGGGTTCTGAGCTACACCACAGACCTCTGGGCATGGCTGGTGAAGAAAGGAAAAGTAGACATCTCATCCCCTACCATCTTTCAGAGAATATTCTGTTGGTGTCAGCCCCACCTCAGGTGCAGGCACCTTGTTACACAGTTAAGATGGAGCAGACTGGAACGTGTGTGCTATCTGGACTGCACGGGAGAAGGCCATATCAAAGCCTGTCAATGCTCTCAGAACCATGGTCTTGTGGGCCTGGCTCATCACCAAGTTAGGAGATGGCCCTCCTCTGTACCCACTGTTTGTTTTCACATATCACGTGTCACCTCTCCACACTTAGAGCGAGTGCCTCCCATCCAGTGATTCCTCTTCCTCTCCTTATCTAGTTACCAACTAATTCTCCCTAAGTTTTAAAATATAGATGCTTTTTAATAGAGTGTCTGCAAAATATATCATCCAAAGAAATGAATCCCTAATGATGGGAGTACAGGTTATTTTTAGACAAACTGTCTAGTACTTAAGGCCAGAACTATTTTAAAATTTTTATCTGAAAATAATTTCAAACATAAGGAAAAGTTGCTAAAATAATATAAAGAACACATCTGGGCTATTTATTCCTTAACATATTGTTAACATTTTGCCCCATTTGCTTTAACTTTTGTTCATGCTCTCACATGCTCACTCCTTACAACCCACCTCTCCATTTATTTTTCCAAGCTTTTTAAAACTAAGTTGCACACATCATGGCTTTTTAGTCCTCAGTATCTCTTAATAGTTATGATATTTTCTTATCCCCAATACAATTAACAACTTTGGTAAAATTTACATAAATATGATATTTTAATCTACCATTGTATTCTAATTTTGTCAGCTGACACAATAATGCTCTTTGTGGCATTTTTTTACTCCAGTTGTACAGGATCAGTATTGGATGGCAATATTTTGTTGTCATATCTTTTAGGTCTCCTTCAATCTGGAACAGTTCAGGAGAAATTAATTTTAGTATAGGAAGGAGGTCAAAGGAAAGACTATGACTAATTGCAAGTCCGCCTTGGGTTGGGAGGTGGCGCTGTGGTGCCACACAATTGTTATGCCTGCAGGAAGGTCTCCTGGATATTGTTACCGTGTCCCTGACAACGACTGTGTCTCCCACAGCTACCCAGCGAGGGTTACCACGTTTTCTTCTGGAACTTTAGGCCCAAAGCTGAGGGATCTCATAGGCCTGCTGACCTTATTAGCCTACATAAATCCGGTCCCCTGTGTCCCTGTGCTCAGCACATCCCCTGAGGGTGGGTGTTAGTGGTAGGTGTGTTAAAAGGGAGTCACCAGGCGTTAAGAGGGGTAAGGCCCTCTGAGCACTGATGGACCACAGACACGGTTACCTCAGGATTGTCTAGCCCCTAAGTCAGGTGCCCATAAATGAGCTGGGTTAGGAAACCATCCCAAGAGGCTGAAGTGGCAGCCGAAGGAGAGGCCTGATACCAGCTGGATTCAGAGTGACGGGAGTATGGATTCTGGCCTTAGCTTCTGGTGAACCCACTGTGGGAGGGGTGGGAGCTTTCAGAAAGATGCAGGTTCTCAATGGGCTAGATGGAACATTTTTAGACAATGGATTTTGACCCAATTGTCTTCTGTCATTTTCTCCTTCATGATATTCCTCTTAATTTGCTAAGGCAGATGAGATAGAAGCTCTGACAATTGTAGAGTGTGGGTGTAAAATGTGCAGCTCATTAAGTATCCAAGCTCTCCGTTTAGCATTTGAAGGGTTTGTAACAGGTCAGTGATTCACCCTGCTTTTGGAATTTTACGGCACTCTATAACTCAGTGCATAGTGACAATACATGCCTCTAGAAGCTAGTTACGGTTTCAAAACAGAGCTATGATTACTTCCAGAGATGACCATTGTATAAGATGGGCACCTTTATACGTAACTTCCCAAAAGGTTAACTCTCGTTGTAACTTCTTTGTAACATTCCATGCTAGCACTTTCTTCCTCTACCTCTATTTTTCCTTTTGGCGCACTTATTTGTTTATTTCTGTATTGTCTGTCTCTCTCACTGGAATGTGAATTCCAAAAGGGCAGGGATTTTATCTGTATAGTTAATTACTGCATTCCCAGAATCTGACATCTAGTGTAGAGCTCAATAAATATTTGCTGAATAAATAAATTATTAAGCAGGAGTCTAACAAATAAACCTTCAATGTTCACTGGAGGACAAGCCGCTGGATATCAGTCACAGGGCACCACTTCACCAGGATCCATAGTCTCCCCAGCGCTCACTTCCTAACTTTCTCTCTTTACCAAAAATCCAAGTATCCTTATTTGAGATAGTGATACTTGAGGATGACATTGTTCTCGTAGGAAATAGGTCCTTAAATCTTGGATTTTAAGATGCTTTGAGGTGACCATATCATGCTCATCATGGCATAGCCCACTGTATGTTTGTTTCTTCTGAGATATCCATTTTGTTTAACCTTAATTTGCTCATTTACTTCAATCATTCATTAAGTTTGTGATGATTAATTTTGTGTCAGTTTGACTGGGCCACAGGGTGCCCAGACATTTGGTCAAACACTATTCTGTGTGTGTCTGTGAAGGTGTTTTTGCATGAAATTAACATTGGAATTGGTGGACTGAGTAAAGCAGACTGCCCTCCCCACTGTGGTTGGGCGTCATCCAGTCATTTGAAGTTGAACAAAAACGCTGACCTCTCACAAGTAGGAGGGTATTCCTTCTGCCTGATTGTTGGATCTGAGACATCGGTCTATTTCTGCTTTCAGAGTTGAACTGAAACATCAGCTCTTCTTGAGTCAAGTCTTGAGCCTTCCGGCTTTTGGGTCCAAACTTACACCATTGACCCACCTGAATCTCAGGCCTTCAGATTTGGATCAGAATTACACTATTGGCTCTCTTGCATCTCCAACTTGCCAACTGCTATTCTTGGGAGTTCTCAGCCTCCACAGTTGCATGAGCTAGTTCCTTATAATCAATCAATTAATCAGTCAATCCCTATCTATCCATTTATCTATGAATTTATCCATCTCCTGTTAGTTGTGTTTATCTGGAAAACTCTAAGTAACATAGATTTCTCATTGTACTTTCCTCCAAAAAAGTTCTCCATGTGTTGCTGCCCAGGCCTATTCATAGTGGGGCCTTGAGTTACCTTGACCAGAATGAGACACTCGTTGCTTTCACTCAGTGTGAATTCCTGTTTCCACTTAGAGGTGGTGCTTTCTGAGGGAGGTTTAGCTGATTACAGTCTGACTAAGGTCACCAGAAGTAGTGCAGATAGTAGTGCAGATGTCTAACACACTCATATTACAGAGCCATGGGCCTCTCCTTCTCCACTCCTCTCACCACCAGCTAGCTCTTCTTTCCCTTTCTACCAGTTGTCCCTCAATCCCACTGGCAAGTCCTCTTTAAGTTTACTCTTTTCCTCATTTCGCCTTTCCATCTTATTACAGGAGGGGTCATCATCTCATTGTAGCAGCCAGTTGTCATCCTCCGAACTATGGGGGACAAGTGTGGAGAGCTAGCTTACCTGTTGGGATTCCTAGCTGACTCGTCCTCCTAGATAAATGCGCCAGAGGATTTTCTGTCTATTCAGTAATTGTGGATGAGTGTGGGTTCTGGTTAGACTTCTTGTTCTTGGTATAGATCAGACTTTCCCATCAACTATTTGACCTACAACTGAAACACTCTTTCACTGGTAATTAATAGTTGCAGGCTGGTCCTTGGTGGTATCATCAGATCCATGGGTTTTCTTACTTAAGTCTGCCCTACTCTACCACTTTGGCAAGACCCTGGCCCATTTGACTCAGCAAAGGTAGTCAGTGCTGCTGGGACTGGGCAATGGCAGTGGAGGGGTCATGCGTTTCTACTTCAGAGGGTTGGTTACCTGCAGGAGCCTGGGTGAGACTCATTACAGTGGACAGAATCCAGCTATCTTCTTTCTGCCCCTTCTTCACAGGTACCTCTCCAAGGGCCTTCCATTTCTGACCTAATGTTCACCACTTCTTGGGTTCTGGATCCTGTATGGGTTAAATATTTTCCCTAATATGTCTCATGACTGTCTCATTTAAATTGTTGGATAATCCAAAACATATTCTTATACAAGATGGAAAAACAGGTTCATGCAGCCAAATTTACTAATACAAATTATATGATACATTGGTGACAC
The DNA here is from genome assembly GCF_000001405.40 of Homo sapiens. Taxonomy (NCBI): domain Eukaryota; kingdom Metazoa; phylum Chordata; class Mammalia; order Primates; family Hominidae; genus Homo; species Homo sapiens. The sequence goes on from NC_000003.12 coordinate 156,155,120, forward strand.
TCTTTACAAAGCTATTTTGTATGACCACTAGTCAAGCCTCGCTGTTTTTGGTACACTATCTATTTTTACTGAACCATCTACCTATCCCCCCTGCCCTGCCACCACCCCTCACACAGATTCATCCAACAGCTCTCCATTGAGTGCTCACCTTGAGTTATGCACAATTCCAGGCATTGGAGATACAGCAGTGAACACTTAGGCTAAGTTCTCTGCTTTTTAAAGGATTTAATTCTAGTGGGGACGTGCCAGTTAATGAACAAAAATAAATAAATAAAATTTATAATACTTTAGAAGCATAAATTCTCTGGAGAAACACAAAGCACAGAAGGAGGATGAGTATTTGTGACAGGGAGCAGTTGCCATTTTAAATAACATAGCCAAGGAAGGCCTCACTGAGAAGACAGCATTTGAATAAGTACCTGAAGGAGGTAGAAATGACAATCATTGAAGTTTCCGGGGTAAAGAGTATTATAGACAGAAGGAACAGTATATGCAAAAGCCCAGTGTGAAAGTCTGTAGAAAGAAACAAAAACAGCCAGTGTGTCAAGGGCAGAGTGAATGAATGGTAGAATAGTAAGAAATGATGTCAAGAAGGTAAAGGGGAGAATTGAAAGTTCAGGAGGTCCTCAAGAATGCTCTCAGGTTCAGTGATTCACTAGAAGGACTCACAGAACTCAGCAAAGTCATTATGCTCATGGTCGTGGTTTATTACAGCAAAAAGATACAGATTAAAATTAGCATCAGGAAGAGGTACCTAGGGTTGGGTCCAGGAGAACCAGGAATGGAGCTTCCAATTGTCCTTTCCCACTGGAGTTGTGTGGATAGTGCTTATTTCTCTCAGGAACTGGGAAGCTTACCTGAACCTTGGTGTCCAGAGTTTTTATTTGGGTTTGGCCATGTAGACACGGCTGACTACCTGTGTGTTTGACCTTAGTCTCTGGCCCCTCTGGAGTTCAGGCTGATACAATGTGGCCCAAGACTCCCACCATAAATTAAATACTTAGCCTAGACTATCTCGTAGGGCCTTAGGCCCCCAGATAAACAAAGACATTTTTATTGGGTAGGGCATTCCAAGGGCTTAGAGGTTAACTCCCAGGAGTTGGGGGCAAGGAGCTAGATTTTTCTTTGGGCAAGATTAATTCTTTACTGCACAATAGGCACATTGTACAAAAATGTGTAGGCCATTTTAAAGGTGGTGGCTTCTAGTCTGAGTGAGATGGAAGCTTTTGTGAATACTGATCAAGGGTGTGACATGATTTGAATTATTTTTTAAAAGGATTGTCTGAATGCTATGTTGGAAAATAGGCTGAAAAGTAGAAGTAGGGTTACTGGTTAAGAAGTTACCATAATTGCCCAGGAAGGAGGTAACAGCAGCTTAAACCAGAATGGAAATGGTGAGAAGTAGTTGGATTCTGGAACTGTTATAAAAGTAGCATCAGGAGGATTTGAAAAATAAATGGATATGATATGCAATAAAGGGAATACTTAAAGATGACTTTAAGCTTCTCAGCTCAGGCAATTGGGACCAACAAGTTGCCCTTAAATTAGATGAGAAAGATTTCAGGGGAGTGGATCTGGAGGGAAGAAGAGTAGGAACTTACTTTTTAGACAGGTTGGGTCTAAATGCCTATTAGAGAACAGTGTCAAGTTGATAAAAGTTTGAAGTTCATGGGAGTGGTATGGACTGGAGATTCATGCTCAAAATATAAATATAAATATATAAATCTTGGAGTCATCAGTATATTGCGAGAACATAAAGCCATGAGATAAGCAAGTAAGTGTAGAGAGAGATTATAACAAAAGCCCCAGGACTACAGCCTAGGCTCTCCAATGTGAGGAGGTAGGAGAGATGAAGAGGAACCAGCAATGGAAACTGAGAATGAGTGTGCAGAAAGGCAGGAGAGAGACAAGATAGTGGGGTGTCAGGATCAAACAAAAGAGAGAAAGATCAAGTATGTTCAATACTACTGCTAGGTCAAGTAAGGTGAGGACTGAGAGAGACCATTGGATGTAGGAACATGGAGGCCACTATTTATAAGAGCAGAGAGAAAAACGTATCTTACTTTCTACACAGCACTATGCTTGAAAGGAGAAAGCAAAGACCCATATATGCATGTAGGAACATTTTAAAATTTAATTCTGAACTCCTACTTAACAGAACTCTGACTACCATCCATTGAGCAGCATCTCTGAATTTCCTCCTACTTATGAACATATAGAAAAAAATCATAAGAAATTGGCCCTACCTATGAGCAGAATACAGAAAGGTTTTCCACAAATGATGATACTTATAAAGCTGGATTATTAAAAATAATACTCATAAGTTATCTGTCTCATGAAACAGCATCTCTGCCCCCTGATTGAGAGTAGAAAGACATTGTGCTCTTATTCTATGGTATATTTTATATTATAGTGCTCCCTTTGTTTTGACAACTGGAAATGTCCCTTTATAGGTTATAAAATTGCATTTAAATTAATTTTGTTATATTTTATTCAGAAATTCTATTTGCTTGAGGTGTGTATGCGTATGCATGTGTAGAATGTTCCACATCAATTAAATCTTTTATATTGACCCACAGCTCAATTTTTCAGTCAAAATAACATAGATATTATGCTTAACAACCAAAATGGATACCATTAAATTATAAAAGTCACAACAAAAAGAACAGGATGAAAAACACACAAATATTAGCCGTTGCTATTTTTAGGCATTAGAAAGGTGGATTATTTTTTTTCCTTTCCTCTATTCCAAATGCATGTGTATTACTATAATAAAAGGGCCGCCTGTAATCCCAGCACTTTGGGAGGCCGAGGCAGGGGGATCACGAGGTCAGGAGATTGAGACCATCTTGGCTAACACGGTGAAACCCCGTCTCTACTAAAAATACAAAAAAAATTAGCCGGGTGCGGTGGCTGGTGCCTGTAGTCCCAGCTACTGGGAAGGCTGAGGCAGGAGAATGGCGTGAACCCGGGAGGCGGAGCTTGCAGTGAGGAGAGATAGCGCCACTGCACTCCAGCCTGGGTGACAGAGCGAAACTCTGTCTCAAAAAAAAAAATAAAAAATAAATAAATAAATAAATAAATAAATAAATAAATAAATAAATGGGCCAAAAATGTAATTAAAATAAAATTTAACATTAATTCTATTAGATTTTAAGAATTTAAGATATATGGTTTTGAAATTCTTTTTGAGATAAGGTGAGATAGCTCAGATCTAAAACCAAAACAAGTGTTGGGATTCGTTAGTCATATCTCTACTGAGGTTTACAAATAAATACTCTTACACTGAAATTAACCAGGAGAAAAATTTGGGCTCTCATGTAAACAAGACACTGAAATGCATTCTATCAAAGTGCTTCTATTTTACAGTTAACCTTGGATCATATAGACTATTTTTTATCAGATATAACTTGTTTTTTTTGCAAGTAACAGAAAACCTAACACAAACTGGCTTATATAATAAAGGAAACTTACTGGCTCATCCAACTGAAAAGTCCAGAGGTAGGGAAAAATTTCAGATTTAAGATGCAAACAATGTGTACAGGACTCTGTTTCTTTCTCTCTGCATCTGTGGGCTTTCTTTCTTGATAATGGCTTCATTCTCAGCTCCACATGGTGGGTCTGTGGCAGCTTCAAGCCTTCCTCTCGTCTGCAATGTGGCATGTGACTGACAACTGTCAGGGTTACACCCTACCTCATTCACTCCCAGAAGGAAAAAGCAAAGGCACCTTTCATTTCCCAGAAGCTCTGGCTTATGATTCTTTAGTTTTGATTGGATTCATTGTTTGTCTCTGAACTACTGACCTTATCTGGGAGATGAGAGAAGCTGAATGACTTCTGTAGCTTCTGTGCTCAACCCCTCCTAAGCTGCCTGACTGAGAATGAAGACTCAGAATACTCTTGGTGGGAGAAGAGGGGAGTAGTTTATGGCGAGGCAACCTACATATGTCCGCCCCCCCCTGTAATAATTGAGTCTGGAGGGCACAGATGGAGATGAGCTCATGTGGTGGTAAATTCATGGTAGTGAAGATTCCAGGTGGCCAGTCATCTGGAAATTGGGAATGACACTACTCTATGCTACCTAGTTGTGTGTTGTTTCTATTTCTTGAGCTTTGGGTCTTATTCTTAGCTCTCTTCTTGCTCTAAAACTCTGACTTCTTAGGGGTAGGGGAATATTTTCCTCTATTAGTCTATGTCTCAAGTGGTTTGTGCTGCTTAGTCACATGACTAAAATGAGCAGAAATCTTATCTAACTAAAAGTAAGAAGAGAAACTGGCTTTAAATGATATTTAATTTAGCATGGAAAGTAATGCATTTTTAATAAGGAACACATTAAAAACTCATAAAGTATTTTATTTATAAGGCGGTTAGCCTCCCCTTGCCCATTGTTCCAATAAATACCATTAAGTTCCATCAACTCTTCAGTAAGTACAATTACACAAGTGCCACATTTCATTTTGCATTTGATTATGGCAGTGCCCCCTCCACATATATTCTTCATACGCGAAGACTAAGTGCACAGTATTTTAGAATCTGAGGAGATATTAGGAATAATTTTGCATACCCCATCCCACTAACTAATTTTACAAGTAAGTTTTCTGAGGCTTGAAGAAGTTAAGCAACCTGCTAACAGTCACATAGATGGTTTGCTACCCTAGTTAAGAGTTTAATCAAAGGCTTTTGATCCACCAGTTTTCTCTTTGCACAATAGAATTGTTCAAATCAACAAGATTCACTGAGCACCAGCTGTGCCCTGGGCAATATCACTGAGTTTACAACAGTAAAAGACATAGTTCCTTCTCTAAAGAAATTCTAAGAGCAGTCCAGTAGAAGAAAGAGCCATGACAACCAGGTAGTTAGAGTCTGGCATAATACATATAATACTGCTTTTAAAAACACAGTCATAACATAGTAGAGCAAGTGATGAATGCTCTCTTGATAGTCAGGGATGACTTCTTAGAGGCAGAAAATCATTCACAGGGTTGGATAAGAGTTCAACAAGTGGTCTAAGACTAGAAGAGAATTTGATGTAGAGGAAACAGCATGTTTGAAGGCCCAAGAGCTAGGGAACCAAGGCGATAGTAATAAGCACAAATTTTAGAGACAGGCAGATCTGCACTAAATGCTTGTTTTAAATCTTGCTAGGTGAGTGACTATACAATTTAAGTATCCTTTCTGAACATTGACTTGTTTGCATCAGAAGTAGAAATAACAATACCTATCCCATAGGGTTTGGAGAAGATTAAATAATAGAACAACTATAAAACATGTAATGTAGTAGGAGCTCAGGAGCAGGTAGCAACTCTTCTCCATCTCCTCCTCCTCCTTCTCCTCTTTCTCCTTGCTCTCACCCCACCCCTCAACCCTTTTGGCGAAGAGAGTGTTAGAAGATGAGGTTAAGAGGCAGGGAAGAAAGAGATCAGTGGAGGTCTTAGAAGCTGACCATGAAAAACTGTTGAAGGATTCTTAGGTAAGAAGTGACAAGATCAAACTGCCATCCAAAAAAGGTATTTCTGGAAGATCTGTGCATAGGAAACTGATAGGAAGTGATTTGAATAATATAGGTGAGAGAGCTTGAAGATGAGTAACAGCAGTAGAATGGAAAGGAGAGGAAAGCATGGATCAAGAGACATTGGGGAAGTTAAATTAGCAGGATGTGTTCTGCATAGCTTTGTTCGCTGCATTCTGGCTTTCATTTTCACACGTACATTAAGAGGTTGTCTAGAAGGGAAAATGCTCATTGATCTAATTAGGCCCGGAGGTAGTCATTGTGGCATGAAGGAAGGAGGCAGAAGGGCAGAACTCTGCAGCAGCTGTAGCTGCTTTTGGCTCTTGTGTCTTTAAAATGCTTCTACAGAATCACTTAAATCATCCTCTTATTCTCATTCACATGAAAGGAAATCTCAGAGAGAGCCCTTGAACTAGAAAATCTTTTCTTTCTTCTCTGACTTTAAAGCAACTCCTTAAACCACTCCATTTCTGAGGCAATTATCTCTTCACTACAATTTATTAACTGAGAGTAACCTCAAATCCTTTACTTTTAAGCAGCACAAAACTTTCCTCCAAGGCTGTCTGTGTCTGCCCTTTAAGAGGTATTAAAGGGCCCAGTGGGGGTAGGCCTGGCCCCTGGGGGTGCTCACCAAATCCTGTGGATCAACTGCATCACCTCACTGCCTCGTCATTCACCCATTCACCATGTACTTCCTTTAAAAAACCCTGTGATCTTTACCACATGTTTATTTTTCTTGTTTCACAATGGTTTTAATGACCCCTTTTATTGATGACCTAACTGAAAGATGGAATAATTTGTTGACACACACAAACCACTCCCATCCAGCCCCCAACCCTCCAGAGGACTGATGTCAAGAAGAAGAATGTAGTTACCTGACATTTGTGATAAGATCAGCTGACAGGGAGTTTCCCCTCACTCTTCCTCACTCCATTTCATGCTGATTTTGGATCTAACTAGTAATTCAGTTTCGTCCATATTTTCTTTTTGAATATAGGTAACTGTCTATATATTTTTAAAATATTTTAATTCTACCCACATATGGGTTTCTGCATAATCTGTGAAGGCTGGTCCACATAAGCAAAGTATTGTGACTTTACACTTTACATAAAATAACTGGTTGTTGACTTGTCTACAAAATACTTAAGTATGTGAGCTCAGATGAAAATGAATGAAGAATTATTGATAAGGGATTTTAATTTTTATCCATAATAGTATGTTTACATAATAGTATTATCTACAAAATACCTATGCATGTGAACTCAGATGAAAATGAATGAAGAATTATTGACAAGGCATCTTAATTTTTATCCATAATAGCATGTTTTGCTTATGTTAAAAACAAAACCAAAACCGAAAACTACTCACATAGCATTCTTAAATACGACAGGGTTTTGAATTTTTTGGTCTTGATATTGAAAGCATTCTAAGAATTCACAAGACTTTAGAATAAACATTTAGAACACTGTGCGTGGGATGCCTGATTTTTAGGATTGGGCACATAACAGCCTTTGAAGAACTCACATCTGAAGTGCTTTCATACTTGAAATCATAGAATGGCTTTCTAAACATTGCCTATGGCCAAATTGAATAGAAAGAGTATTTAGGACATATTTATACTGGATTTTTTTTTTTAATTTTTAGCAAGGAAGACAGAGAAAATGGTAGCAATATCACTATACCTGTTTATTTTTGTGCATTATGTGAATCTGATGTTTCTTCCCATTTTAGGTATTTGACCACCTGCTACGTGGAAGATATTATGCTAGACACAAGTTAGGACTAACTAGGTCTCAAAACAGAGCCTTCCATTAATTAGTTGCCACCAGTCTCCTTACTCCTGATGGTCTTGAGAGAACAGTTGTCTTATTTTCATTGTATGTTCAGCTGTATCTTGAGGTTGGAGAGAATCACGGATGTTACTAAGACCTGGAGTCTCTTGCTTAAAAAGGATAAGGTAGTTCCTAACATCTCTCATAGACCTGTGATGTCTGTGAAATTCCTTCAGATAATTTCTGCTGATGACTGAAAGTGAGGCGATTTGCCAGCCAGCATCATGACATCTTCAGTAACTCTTACCTTTGGTTTAAAAGAAAACAAAACACCAAAGAGCTTGACCCTGGGACAGCCTGGGGAGAAATCTGCCCACCCTGCTGGCTCCAAATGCATGAAAACCACTCTTTACCTCCTTCATTTGATTAGCTGCTTCAAATTTACACCAAAGGAAGCAAAAATCCTCATTGACTTGACACTTGTTTTGGACAAAAATAAGATCAGAAAAGCAAGGGAAACCATTTCACAAAGCCAATTATATAATTCACAAAACTTTGGTGCTCTGAAGTCCGTAACTAATTGCAGAGGAATTATAATTAGGTAGCTTAGAAAATTGCTTTTAAAATTCAAGTTTAGGTGTGGTTTACTGAACAGTATTTGAAAGTAAGATTCACACTATGCTATCCTATATGGTAGCCACTAGTCACATGTAGCTAATTTAAATTAACATAACAGTAAATTAAAAATTCAGTTTCGTCAGTGGCATTACCCATATCTCAAGTGCTGAATACCCATATGAGGCTAGTGGCTACTGTGCTGGGCAGTGCAGATATAAAACAGCCTCATCATCCAATAAAAGAGATGGGGATTATAAAATACAACTCAAGGCAAAAATCTCAGATTCAACATCCTTAAGGTTGTCTTTGTTTTATGGAATTTTTTTTAGGTTTTCCAGTGAGCTATGGCACTTAAAAAAATGCCACATAGTCCCCTTACCTTGAGTCATGCCAGATAGTGGGACCTCTGGTTGTTACCCAATGTCAACCTCATGGTGAATGTGTAGGAGTTATGATCAATAAGAATGAGATTACTATCTGGCAGTGCAGTTGAGTTAGTAACTTGTAAATAAAACTCAGTTATGGAAAAGATGTCAGGGCGTACCTCACCTAAAAACATTTTGATGTATGCTTTTCTGTATATTCAGCTATTATTCAAGTTACTGAGAAGCATCTTGGTCTTGGTGATTAAATTTCTGCAATGAGCACATTCCTGGCACCAGCTGAATCTTACGATAAGAGATATATGAATTTTGTCTTTATTCTTGTTGATTCATTTCCAGCCATAACCTTTTGCTGGGTGTAAACACAGATGAAGAAGCACTTTAAGTCAACTTTTATCTTGTTAATTCATTACCCTTTGTGGCAACGGCAAACTTTGTGCAGAATTATAAATCAAGTCCAAATGTTGCACGGATGCCATGGCATGAAGTTTCATTTAGTGTGGATACAACCTTGATGATCTACAAGGTGATTCATTGCTTTTTATCCTGTCTTCCAACTGAGGAGTTGGATGCTGGTGCATACTAATGTGCAAGAGTTAATGCTAGGCATCAAGACTGCAAAGTTTTGCATACTATCCTTCTCAGTTCTAACTGTTTCTTAACCCACTGGCGACAGGGAGTGGTGCCTTTCAGAATCAATTACATAAATACAGTGAATTAATCTGGGTAATATGAAGAATGACTTGGCCTCCCTCCTCCCCTCTGCCTGTTGATGGTTTGCCTAACTTTATGGTTTAGATGTGACTAAATAAGAGAGGCAGAAAATGTAAGGTGAATGCTTGAGAGAATAAGAGAGCATTATACCTTTCAAAGTGCTTTTGCAATATATTATACCCCATTTGATCCTCACATCATTCTGTATACAAGCAGAGAAGGTTTAGATGTTACCAATGAGGCCGCTCTCTTGAGAAGAATTGATCATTTTTCCATCAGTGTCCCATTGGCTTCATTCCTCCCTACATGCCCCTGTTTTTAATTATTTGTGTACATGACCATCTCTTTCACTAGACTTGAAGCTGCCTGCAGGGAGAGACCATGTTCTTACTCATTTTGTTTTCCTGGCAAATAGTGTGATGCCTGGTGCATCAGCTATTTATTTGCCCAGAAGAAAGGCAAATGTAACACAAAAGATCCGTGAAGGAATTATGATGTTTGTTCAGGGAGAAAAACATGCTAGATTTTGTCAGTTTGGGTGTTTTCCCTGTCCAAATTGAAAAAGATGTTGTTTAGCCTGGTCCGGGCCTCGGTACCAGTGATGGAGATCTAGGGCTCAGGACTCTTTTTACAATATGTTTCTCATTAAAACTTTCTCTTCTTTTTATACCACTCTGCTTTATTTTAAGACACTCCATCTCTTTTTGTAGTTAGCCCAGCAAAAGGGAAAATAAATTTTACTTGCATTCAGAATAGAAATGGATTGCAAGTGCTTAAATAGGAAGAATTGAAAAGCTGTACTGCTGTTTACATTTTTGTTACTGGGGATGATGTCTAAAATGCTTTTGATGTTGAAAGAAGATCCTAATGAAAGCAAATAGGCCGGGCGCGGTGGCTCAACGCCTGTAATCCCAGCACTTTGGGAGGCCGAGGCGGGCGGATCACGAGGTCAGGAGATCGAGACCATCCCGGCTAAAACGGTGAAACCCCGTCGCTACTAAAAATACAAAAAATTAGCCGGGCGTAGTGGCGGGCGCCTGTAGTCCCAGCTACTTGGGAGGCTGAGGCAGGAGAATGGCGTGAACCCGGGAGGCGGAGCTTGCAGTGAGCCGAGATCCCGCCACTGCACTCCAGCCTGGGCGACAGAGCGAGACTCCGTCTCAAAAAAAAAAAAAAAAAAAAAAAAAAAAGAAAGCAAATAAGTGAGCAGAGCATTATACTGTAAACTGGACTATAAACAGAAACGGAGTGGTGAGTTTGCTGCTAACTGACGGACCCAGGCCTGTGATATTGTGTGTGGTCAGTGGATGTGCAGTTTGCAGACCTGCACCAAAGGTCTTGCTCTGTGCTCAGTCTGGCAGTTTGAGAGAAGAGGGAGGCAGAGCTTAGGTGAACAAAGCAGAGGAGACTGAAGAAGGGAGCAGTCTCCACAATCAGCATTACTGTGTTTCATGTATTGAGTCAATACCCCTAACTAATAAAAGATAGCATGAAGTTTTACTCCATTGATCAACACCTTAATTTGCTTACAGATCTTTTATATTACATTTGCCTTTCTCTTCTAAGCAAATGATGTTTTGTTATAGTTAGTGTTTTTATATGTATTTATCTTTAACATTATATCTGTATTGCGGCTTTATTCCCTTTTGTTCTTCTGAGCTCTCCTGGTTTTTCTTTTCAATGTAAATAATTAGTTCTCACTTTTCAAATGTAAATTATTAATTCTCACCATTTTGAATCTCCTTGAATTGGGGACTTGTTTACTGTGTTCTCACAAGGGCATCTCTGCCTTCTTGTTGGATCACAGAGTAGTTCCTGGAAGGTGTGTAAGGGATTCTAAGGCTGTGCTCATGTGCAAAAGAAAGCCTTTTGCGATGTTGGGAACTGGGGTGTGTGAATCACCTGATTTCTGGCTGGAGCTTGGGCCCCTCATTTTTTCCATATTCAGATGTTCAGCGAACATTTGTATATTACAAGAGAAAGAGAGAAATGGCCTTACTTAAGGGAAAGTAATATGCCACGATACACAGCAGAAGTAAGGAGAAAGACTAATGTCTCAGATGATATGCTGTGCTTTACTGTTAAGTGTAGTGTTGAAAACAATTATCAGTGTCATGCCATGGGCATGAGGCAGAGATGAGGCAGCACATCTCTCTTTTCTGAAAGTTCCAAGGTCTGTGGAGGCACACACTCAGTTTTTAATACATAAAAAGGGTCTAGAAATCTTATCTTTGAAAAGGAACAGGGGAGCAGAGGATGCATTTGAAAACAAACAGTAATATAAGGAGCTATAAAGAAACTGTGTAGTAGCACTAGAGAGATACTAACAAATTAAGAATGAATGCGCAATCCCAAAACAAATGTAAACATGTTATTTTTATCATTGTGCTAGACAAATTTAAAAAATACATATATACACACACACACACACACACACACAGATAGGCAATATATGGTGTACTTTAAAACAGTCCTTATTCATGAATATCAGCAAGATCCCAGTGCTTCTTTTATGGGTTTACATCTTTTAAAGCATTTCCAGATTTCATTTGCTAGCTGTTTGCAAACATTCTCTTTGCTTTTGTGGTAATTGCACTATTGTACAGACTGTTTCAGCTAAATGTCTAATGGAATTGGTAGAATGTATGGAGTGAATAAATTGGTCAACAATTTTATGATAAGGGATTGTATTCCATTTAAGCATCTCCCCTTCTAATAAAATTCTCCTAGATGATTGAGCTTTTCATGTAACGTTCTGCGAAGGCTTTTTAGGATTTGTAGGAACCGGTTGATGTTTATGGCGGTTTAGTGTGGCAGGACATTGGAAGTCATCCTGGACATGGGCACCTCTTGGTTGTGCTAGACTGTCCCTGAAGGGCAACAAGTCTCCATTCCTGACCAGTGCTGCTCTAGAAGTCCAGCACCCTACTCTGGCTCCAACAAGACAGAGTCCATGGGACCCCAGGGATGTGCCCAGCTATCTGCATCCCCTTTCTGCACCACCATGTCCACATACCCAGAATCCTGGTATTCCCTCACTGAATGACTTACACAGCCTCTTTAGATCTCTTCCTCTAAGAGTGGACAATGCCCCAGACCACAGGTGGCCAAGCTTGAGGGTGTGGATGTGTGGGCTGGCATGTCTATCAGACGGTGGCGTGTGAGACTTTTTGCAAGGGCTGAAGGAGTAGGGAATGGAAAAGGAGGAGATTCCATCTACAGTTATGAGGCATGAGCTGGTCCCCAAGCCACACCCACTACATGACAGTGGCAATACAGTTATTGTTACGATCAAATCACTTCTGGAAATTTCTGAAATAACCTCTGGGAAGCAACAGTGCTACTGTTTTAAGCAAGAACATTGGGTTTCTTTTTTAACCAATAAGCTTTCTCTGAAGATGACCTAAAACAAACCCCAAGGGTGTTTTGTGCTATGACAACATCAATAGAATAAAAATATCATTTTTAAAGGTGCTTACTTTGAAGAAAAACTCATTGACATGTATAAAATATGATGTTTATTGAAAACAAAACAGCCAGTTTCAACAAACTTTTTAACAACAACAACAACAACAACAAAAATAAGTGGAGATTGAGATTGAATTATAAGATTTTTGTAGTATAAGGTGATATGGTGTGGGATATTCAGCCAAGAGTCAGAAAAACTGTGCTTTAGTTCTAGCATTTCCATGGAGCAGCTGAGTTATTTGGGGCACAGCCTCTTAGGATCTCATTTTTGATATCTATTAAATGAGAGGGGTTGGACAGAATGCTCTCTATACTTTCTTATATGTTTGGAAGTCCTGGCTGGGCATGGTGGCTCATGCCTATAATCCTAGCACCTTGGGAGGCTGAGGTGGATGGATTGCTTAAGCTCAGGAGTTAGAGACCAGCCTGGGCAACATGGTGGAACTCTGTCTCCTCAAAAAATACCAAAATTAGCCATCTATGGTGGTGCACACCTGTAGTCCCAGCTACTTAGGAGACTGAGGTGGGAGGATAGCATGGACCCGGGATGCAGAGGTTACAGTGAGCTGAGATCATGCCACTGCACTCCAGCCTGGGTAAGAGAGTGAGATTCTGTCCCACCCCCAACCGCCCCCCAAAAAAGTAAGTCCTGAATGTGTAAAAACCATGTTCTCTATTAGCTATACAGCATATAAGTATCTATCAAACCGAAGATACTATCAATTGTATGGTACACCAGTAATTTGTGTACTGTTAAGAAAGAAACACACTGCCTATTATCATTTAAAGAGACAACAATAAGAATACGGTTTTAAAATTTAAAAAATTTAAAAGGCTGTAGGAAGCATTCCAGTTTAGAAATGTGAAAATATAAAAAATATATCTTAGAGTCTCTAATACATGGTGATTATTATTTTATTCATCTAAATATTTTTCACAGAGTCTTGCACAGTACCTACCATATCTATTAAAAATCTGTGTATTCATTCAACAAGTGAATATAAATTTGATGCTTATTATATGTTAAGCAATACAACATGGATACATCAAAATGTACTGAATAATGGAATTTTTGAAGTATATTTGCTTTTTGTAACATCAACGTGCACATGAAGCTAGTGATGCTGTTGAGAAATCAGCTCAAGAAAACAGCGAGATGTTTTCTTTTTAGGACAGCAGAATTACCAAAAACTTGATCTCTAATGTAGACATTTGCTCCAAAGAAATTTGTACTGAAAAATGGAAGGCAGATAAACAAAAGTTCTTAGATCAGTTTCTTAGTCATCCAGGGACTTCTGTTACTTCTTTCACATTTCTGTAAAAATCTTGTTGAAAGAATCACTTCTTGCCTCCATGACTCTGATGAAGATGTTCTTTCAGCTGTAATTTCTTTTCCAGTAGAAATAAGGCGAGGGATGATTTTCTATGAACACTGATGCTATATCATATGAAATATTTTTATATGATTTATTATTGTAATTTACTGTTAAATTGATTTTTTTACACTTAAGAAATCTTCGTATTATCCACTTGTATCTAATAGTATCCTAAGACATAAATAAGTTCCCAAAAGCAACATTTTTAAAGGAATATTTCCCTGATAAGCTCTCCCTCACAGTTAGAATCTTGAGTGCAACAAATGACGAATAAAGCTCATTTAGTCTCAATATCTTTATCTACGGGGGTTATTATGCTGAAGACCTTAGGAAAATGGCAAAATAATGAGTTGAAATGCTTGAGCTCAATCTATATAATGGAAACCATATGCAATGTTATGTGGTGATTTTAAGCCTAATTATATTCAACAGTGATGTTTGGACCCTCCTCAGGAAGGAACGGGCAAGAAATTTAGTCAGGAATGACTGAGAGAACAGTTTTTGTTCTTGTTCTCTTTGGATTTCCCTTCTTGAGCCGTTCTTGCCTTATGGGCTCTCTGGGTATTTCTATTTGGTCTTCAACATGGTTTGGCTCTTTGTCCCCACCCATATCTCATGTGGAATTGTAGTCCCCACATGTTGAAGGTGGAGCGTGATGGGAGGTGATTGGATCATAGGAGTGGTTTCTAATGGTCAGCACCGTCCCTCTAGTGCTGTCTCGTGATAGAGTCCTCATGGGATCGGACAGTTTGAAAGTATGTGGTGCTTCCCCCACTTGCGCTCTTTCTCTCCTGCTCTGCCATGATAAGATGTGCTTGCTTTCCCTTCGCCTTCGGCCATGATTGTAGGTTTCCTGCAGCCTCCCCAGCCATGCAGAACTGTGAGTCAATTAAACCTCATTTTTAAATAAATTACCCAATTTCAGGTAGTTCTTCATAGCAGTGTGAAAATGGACTAATACAGTCTTCTTTCAGTTTCTGTTCAAAGTTCATTTTCAGTACAGTGCCCTGATCAATCATATTCCCAAAGAGGCCCTTTTTCCCTCTACTGCCCAAGGCTACTCATCTTGAGACTGGCTTTTCTCTGGGCTCAGAAGGCTTCCCAGCTTCCTGTTTCTCTTGGGGCCAAGCACATTGTGTTTTCTGACCAGCTGAATCTCTTCTCCAAATTGGGATGAAGAGAGGAATTAGGATCAATTGAACAATTGGTTCCTATGGGGCCTGTGGGGCCAATCGTCATGGGTTTCCCTTCCCAAGGAATCGTTTTTTTTTTTTTTTTCCTAAGTGCAACATTTCCCTGAAAATGTGGCTTTACCTATTCTTATGGTTTTATGAAGTCATAGAGAAAGCAGCAACTGCAGTTATTGGCATTCCGGCTACTACTGTGGTTGATACCTACAATTTCTGTTGCAAAGTATGCTTGTCCAAGAATACTTAGAACTACATCCAATACAGCTTGGAGGTACAGGTCATTACTTGCAAATTGCCAAGTCCTGTTTAAGCCACAAAATGAAGTGTCATCCTGGCCGTGCTCCAGAAAGGGCAAATATGGGTTTTGGTGTGATAGATACTACCCATCAATCAGCTATTTGTTGTTTGGAAATTGCTGGTGACAATTGGATCCAAACTTTGCCACCTGTTTTGCAGTGCATGGTTCAGCCTGGTTCTACCATTCCCTACAATTCATGGGTTACATATAATAATATTCAGCCTCTCCTTGGTTTCCAACATGCTCCAGTTAGCCATAATGCTCCCAACTTCTGTCTCATGTCATTACTTGGCATGCACACCCCAAACATTGAGTCCTATTGGAACAAATGTAAAGCAAAGTGCAAGACCACAAGAGGAGTTTGTCATGATATGTTGGACTCATATTTGGCCAAATTTATGTGGTGTGATTGATTTGGAAATGTTTTCAATTCCCTTTTGCTGCACATAGCAGAACAATTTCCTGTTAACTAATATGATGTTTTGACTCTTGGTTTTAGTATGTTTTGGTATAAATATCCAAAGACAAATTTTTCAGTTGAATACATCTGAGAAACAAATTGTTCAATTGACCCAGGAATTACGTACACTGCTTTTTGGCGGTGAGTGGGCTTTTACCCAATTATGTATGTCTACCTTTGTTTGAGCTACACAAGGATAAGAATTTATAGTTGATTAAATATGTTGCCTAAGACCATTTCTGTCAACTCTGAGCACCGGCTTATAGTTAGAAACTTCACGCACACATACACACACACACACACACACACACACACACACTGAAATCAGTTCCCATTTATATCATTTTAACCTGTGTCACCCCTTGCAGGAACATCCATTGTAAGAGTAAGAATAGTCTATATTGGTTTCTCTCTTCTATAAATGTCATTGAATAATTGCTTTCCTGAAGAATCCTAATCCATATGACTACATTTTAAACACAAATTTCTCCCCAGTGGTCCTTTGGCAATGGAGAAATTAGCATGAAATATAAAGCAGAGTGCTTGAAAGAATTTCCTTGAGGGAAATTGGGATAGCAGGAGGGAAAGAGATTTATACTTTTCATTTAGTGGCAATATGTACTTTATCCAATTTTATATCATTAGGACCATTAAAAGGCAGGAATGTGAAATATGTCTTCTCTGAAGACAGTTCTTCATATTTATATAACATTTTCTGCTTTAAGAAGCCAATTGCAAGAAAGAGTCCAATGCGAATGTACTGTGCTGTTCAAAGTGTTTATTTCAAGGGCTCTTCATTTCCCCTACGCCCTCCAGAGAGTTAAAACGCTACATGGCCTCTAATCTCTAAGTACATAACCAACTCTCTTCTCTGGACAGTCAGTTTCTGAAAATTTCTTTTGAAATCAGTGACAAAAATGCCTAGCCTATTGGTGGATTCCATTTTGTAAGCTTATTTTTACAAATCACAGACTTCTCTAGTATCTTTGTAATTATTTAATCTGACCAAGTGATTTCTGGGAGTAAAATATATTTGAGGCTGTGTATATCAGCCAAGGGTGTTCTTTAATGAGAAATCTTATCACACACACCTTCTAAATGCATTTCAACTGCACACAGGACTGGGTTTTATATTTCTTGGCATTATGCCAAGAAAAATCTCTAGGAACAAGGTGAGCGTTTGATGCCCAGTGGATTCACACATAAACTTGTCAATTTTCTTCGTATCTGTATTCATCAGAAGTTGTTATTAAACCACATACTATGAGCAAACACACTCTAAGTCCCTCTGGTGGGGGATGTGTGACAGACAGAGGGACAGCAGAGTTTCATAACAGAATTTTGAAGCCTTGCCTTTCTGCATAATTCAAATGGCTTTTTTTTTTTTTTGGAGACAGAGTCTTGCTTTGTTGCCCAGGCTGGAATGCCATGGTGCAATCTGAGCTCACTGCAACCTCTGCCTCTCAGGCTCAAGCAATTCTCGTGCCTCAGCCTCCTGAGTAGCGGGGACTACAGGCATTCACCACCACACCCAGCTAATTTTTGTACTTTTTTTGGAGACAGGGTTTCGCCATGTTGGCCAGGCTGGTCTCAAACTCCTGACCTTAAGCAATCCACCCTCCTCGGCCTTCCAAAATGCTGGGATTACAGGCGCGAGCCACCACATGCGGCTATCAAACGGCATTTTAAAAAAGGGAATGAGGATGGTGACATGATTGGTTACTTATTCCCAGGTCAGTGGTTAGTGGCAAGTGGCCACTGAGAGTAGATAGGGGCCTTTCTAGATAATTGGAGGTAGTCAGCATGAAGTCACAGAGTAGACAAGACAAGGGGATAAAACCGTAGGCTAAAGGACTGAGATAGGTCCTGGAAAGTCCCAGGGGAATATTGCAGGCAGAGAATACTCTCTGAGCTGGGTTTTGCTAGCCATGGAGAGAGCCCAGGGCATCTAATGCCTTTTAAGCTAGAGCAGTTCCAATCTACCCATGTGGCCCCACACAACTTTGCTAACACCTCTGGATGTAAAGGTCCTTCTGTCATCTGGCAGTTTCTTTCAGAAGCTAGTGTGGGTATTACATTCACTTGTGGACCTTAAACATTTTGCTTCTAGGGAAAGACATGTAAGGCTCATTGAAAGCATCTGGCAAGTGTTTAGAAAAGGCTTCTCCTCTGGAGAGAAAGAAAAGCCTGGAAGAAGATCTGAATGTCGGATGCCTCAAGTCACTGCGGTCAACAGGCAGTGTTGCTGTCTAAGAGGGGCAGGGACCCTGGTCACAAGGCCCTGACACAAAATTGGGTAGAAATTGACTCAGCACTTTTCTTCTTAAGAAGCTCAGCCCTGATTTCACTCTCAGGGCAACAGAACCATTATCAAGATGGCCAGTGAGTTAACCAGGGTGTTTCCGAGATGAGGGAGTGAGGGTGTAATAAGACAATGGGAAGAAGAGGGTCTAAAAAAACACACAAAAAATCACCATCTGTAAGTGAAACTCTTCCTAGTTTTAACTACTTAGTTATAAATGTTAAACACACTGGAAATGGGTTATGAATCATCCAGGTAATAAGAGCAATTACTGTCCAGTGGTCAGTAGGAAAGAAAATAGCATAGTTCATCTGGGTTTTACTTCCAGGTCTATCCAATTGTCAGTGGGAGTCTCAGTCAAGCCCCTTAACCTCTCTGGGGACCTCAGTTTCCCCATCTTTAAATGACAGCATTTATTCTAAGTTCTTATCCAGTATTATTAACACTCTATGTAACAAAAAAATGCAACAAATTGTATGCGATGGTTAATTTTATATGTCAACTTGACAGGGCCACAGGGTGCCCAGATGTTTGTTTCAATGTTATTTCTGGGTGTGTCTGTAAGGGTGTTTCCAATGAGATCAGCATTTGTACCAGAGGACTGTGTGAAGCAGATTGCCCTTCCTGATGTGAGTGGCCATCATCCAATCAGTTGAGGACCTGAATAGAACAAAAGATGGAGGAAGGCAGAATTCACTCTCTTTGCCCAATTGATTCAATTGATTGAGCTGGGACGTTGGCCTTCTGCCCTCAGACAGTGACATATACCATTGGCTCTCCTGGTCCTCAGGCCTTCAGACTCGTACTGGAACAACACCACCAACTTTCCTGAGTCTCCAGCTTGCAGACTACCGATTATGGGACTTTTAAGCCTCTATAATCATATGAACAAATTCCTTGTAATGATCTCTTTATGTTTACCTCCTATTAGTTCTGGTTCTCTAGAGAACTCTAATACATTCTACATTTGGGGACAAAGATATTGCTCAAGGCTAGCCTTCTTATCTCCAGTTTTACTCAAAATAATTTTAGGAATTAAATACTTGGTATTTTCTCTCTTTGTTCCCTTCAAGCAATAATTAATTTTTAGTGGTTTGTTCTTGGGTAGGAATTAGAAACATTATGTAGCTGACAGAGGGCTACATGCAGAGCTTATAAGGAGGAGCTGCTTTCTGCAGCCAGTTTCTTGATGAGAATTCAGCAGGAGGAGCTCTTTAGCTGTGTGAACATCCATCAGAAGGGTAGGTAGTTAGCAGGATCTACAGTATTCAGCAAAATAAAATTCTCCCAGCAGAGAATGCCATGCTTCTTTACTCATTAAGGAATGGGTGAGCCCTTCCCTGACACCCTGACTGTTCCAGCCTGTAGTCAAAGTATCAATGGGAAATCAGGGACCCACATACCTACCAAGTCCTTTTTTAGGTCTTTTCTTTAAAGCTGGTTAGTTATCCCATACATCAGTGTGCCCGAGGTCGAGAAGAGCTGGAGGGGCTGATATTTAGCCAATGTGGTCGCTTCCACAGGCCCTCTTATTCTCATAGCAGCTCAGCCTCCCATCAGGAGGCATGGAGCCACCAACGCAGGGGTCTAAAAAGGTACCAGGAAGACTGGGCTTGGGCTGCCAATGAGGGTGCATCTGCCAGTGAGCTTTCACTTTTAGAAGATATGGCAGCTTCTAGCTAACTTTACCAGATGCTAGTTGTTGAACTCTTCCTCAAGTCTACAAGTGGAATTCTTCAGGGAAACATGGTGTTTCTCTGGCTGCCACAATATTTATTTATTTACCTACTCAACTATTTGGTGGAGAACCTCACAGGGCTTAGAGTGGTCTCAGCCAAATTGTCAGCTCATGAGGCTTCTGATCTGTTGCAGTGAGTTTGGATTTTTACCCCTCTGGACTGTCATCAACAGAAAACAGAGGTGCTTTGGGTTTGTTTGCTTTTTATTTTTTAAGGCTTTTAATACAAATGTTTTTAATACAAAATCACTTAGAGAAATACAGAAAGAAAATATCCTACAAGCCAGTTACTAAATAAAAAAAAAATCCCAACCAGCAAATTTGTCACATTGGGCAGGCATTAGAAAACAGGAAAAAAGAAAAAGAAAAAATAAAATACAACGTCCCTGAAGGCCGGGCACGGTGGCTCATGCCTGTAATCCCAGCACTTTGGGAGGCCGAGGCGGGTGGATCACAAGGTCAGGAGATCGAGACCATCCTGGCTAACACAGTGAAACCCTGTCTCTACTGAAAATACAAAAAATTAGCCGAGTGTGCTGGCAGGTGCCTGTAGTCCCAGCTACTCGGAGGCTGAGGCAGGAGAATGGCGTGAACCCGGGAGGCGGAGCTTGCAGTGAGCCGAGATGCGCCACTGCACTCCAGCCTGGGTGATAGAGCGAGACTCTGTCTCAAAAAACAAAACAAAACAGTTCCTGAAATCAGGCAGGTGGATTTTAGAGGCCACGGGGAGCTTGCCTTAGTCATCCTGGTGAAATGGGATAGCAGTGGTTTTTGGAATATGGCCACCACCTCCTCTGTTTCTTGCCAGTAATCGTCATCTGAAGGGAGGGTGCTAGCCTGGGCAATAAATATTTGACGTCACTTATGCAGTCTGAGGTCTCAAAGACAAGTAGCCTTGGAGTCTTCCATTCCATATCCCAACAGTCTCTTGTCACTCGATGCTGAGATAATGAAGGGCTAGTCAGGGTGGAAAGCAACTTCATTGATGGAGCCAGCATGGCCGGGCAGCTCATACAGTATTCTCCTGCTTGTGGTATCCCACACATACACAAACCTGTCGGCTGTGCCAGGTGCTATTTTGCTTCCATCAGGTGACCAAGAACATCTTAGAAGGTTCTTTTCAAAGTTGTGCACATTTCCTTGAACTATGTTTACACACCTCTCTTTGGGGGCAAATGGCCAGACATCCCAGACACGAACTGTATTGTCCATTGCATTGGACAAGAGATAAGAACCTTCAGAACTTAAGGTCAGGCCAGTCACTGAATCTGCATGGCCTGTCATGGTGTAGGTTAGTTTGTTCTGGCACAGGTCCCAGACCTTGATATCATTGTCTATTCCACCAGAAATAATCTGATCACTTGTGTCATTGAAGGTCACAGCTAACACCTGGTACATGTTCTGAAATGTTTAGATGGCTGCTTTCTTCCAGAGTCCCAAAGCTTAACTGTGCCATCGTCACTGCTAGTGCAAACAAGGTGGCTAGATAACAGGAATTCACAAAGGAAGTATGTCCCTTTAGCGTTTTAACCCTCTTGCCCGTTTCACTATCCCACACAGCCACAGTTTTATCTGTGGATGCTGGGAAGAGCATACTGCCATCTGTGTTGTAATGCAGTTCCATCACTGCTCCACTGTGTTCCTTCAGTATGGCAGAATTATCACAGTCACCATAGACATTCCACAACAATATCAGTCGGTCAAATCCTGCAGATGCTAAGGTGGATCGGTTGGGGGTGGAACTTGCAGCAGTATACTTCCCCTTCATGTCCAGAGAGCAGCATGATTGGGGCTTGAAGGGAGGAACACCTCGGAGGTCCTGCTTGCAGCAAAGCTCCTGGCGTCGCCTGCTGCTGCCCGGCTCCAGGGCCCGATCCCGCCACTCCCAACAGCAACTCATGCCGCTGCCGCTTGACTGGGACCAGCGGTAACTCTGGGCCTGTACGCTTCTGCTGTTCTATCATGGCGGCAACCGGATGATGCTTTGGGTTTTTGAGGCCCACCTGCCTCCATTTTTGTGCCACTTCCTCCGTGGAGCTCTCCCATCCCTCAGTGCATAGGGTCCCTGTAGTGCCTCTGTCCCTTCCCCATCCTTCAAATCTGCTTGCAGCTACTCCACAGCTTTTTGAAGGCAATATGATGATGTCAACTTTATTGTATGTGATAATGACTTCTGTTGTTTCTCCAGGGACATCTGCATTTGAATAGTACGAAATCCGTTAACTCACAAAGCAATTTCAGGCAAAAGTTTGGGAGGAAACTGGGGAGTTCTTATAGAGTGGGGCTCATACCACATCTCCCCAATCACGTTATGTGGGGTTCTAACCCTCAGTCACACATGGCCAATCCTGCTCACTATACCCAGACACTTCTTATAATTGCCTGGGAAATAACTAATGCAAATTTGAATTTATGGTATTTTTATTTCTTTATTTCTTTATTTATTTGAGAGGGAGTCTCTCTCTGTCGCCGAGGCTGGAGTGCAGCGGCGCAATCTCGGCTCACAGCAAGCTCCGCCTTCCAGGTTCACACCATTCTCCTGCCTCATACTCCGGAGTAGCTGGGACTACAAGCGCCCGCCACCCCGCCTGGCTAATTTTTTTGTATTTTTAGTAGAGACGGGGTTTCACCGTGTTAGCCAGGATGGTCTCGATCTCCTGACCTCGTGATCCGCCCGCCTTGGCCTCCCAAAGTGCTGGGATTACATGCGTGAGCCACTGCGCCCGGCCGTTTTTAATTTTTTTGAGAATTTGTCAAAAGCCGTGGATCCTCATCTCATTTAAATGTACACAGGCATGCATATCTTCTTTTGCGACAGAGTCTCGCCCTGTCGCCCAGGCTGGAGTGCAATGGCATGATCTTGGCTCACTGCCACCTCCGCCTGCCGGGTTCAAACGATTCTCCTTCAGCCTCCCGAGTAGCTGGGATTATAGGCGCCCGCCATCATGCTCAGCTAATTTTTGTATTTTTAGTAGAGACGGGGTTTCACCATGTTGGTCAGGGTGGTCTCAAACTCCTGACTTCGTGATCCACCCGCCTTGGCCTCCCAAAGCGCTGGGATTACAGGTGTGAGCCACCGCACCCCGCCCATATCCAAATTTTACATACAATTTTAGGAAGGGTCACCAGACTTCCTAGAGCTCATCTTGGGATCCCAGGGTTAAAGAAAGTTTGGTATTTGAAGTAAGGAGACCTGGATTCGAGTTTCCACTGTGATTTTAGGCAAGCTTTCCGTGTTCCTGTGAACCTGCTTTCTTGCCTGTAAAAGGAAAACCATAGACTCTATCAGTGGGTTTCAACTAGATATAAAACTTTAGGAGAATATTGACCCTCACAGTCATTTAGAAACTGGGGTTGAGAACTATCAGGCAAGGAGACCTCTACAATGACCTCTGGCTCCAGCATTCTTTGATTCTGAGGTTTTACTCCAGAAATCTCCACAAAGTTGAGAAGACACTCCTTCTACCCCTAGTGGGGAAAAGAGAAGATGTAGCACGACAGAGATGCCCAGAAGCCTGACTTCACTTTTCTTTCCACTCTGCTCCATTGTTTCATGGAAGAAAATTGAAGAAAGGGAGCAGAGCCCTTCTAGAGTTAATTCTCTTTGCATTAAGAGTCTATTGGATTGGGGAAGGATTTATCTATTCAACCTTGAAAGGATAGAGAATCTAATTTATCTTTATTTTTTGAGAACCTACTTGGCATATGGTAGGTACAGAATGAATGCGTTTTTTTACTTAATAAAATTGTTTCTCAAGATTTATTATTTTTTGGCCGGGCGCGGTGGCTCACGCCTGTAATCCTAGCACTTTGGGAGGCCGAGACGGGCGGATCACGAGGTCAGGAGATCGAGACCATCTTGGCTAACACGGTGAAACCCCGTTTCTACTAAAAATACAAAAAATTAGCCGGGCGTGTTGGCGGGAGCCTGTAGTCCCAGCTACTTGGGAGGCTGAGGCAGGAGAATGGCATGAACCTGGGAGGCGGAGCTTGCAGTGAGCCGAGATCGCGCCACTGCACTCCAACCTGGGAGACACAGCGAGACTCCGTCTCAAAAAAAAAAAAAAAAAAAAAAAAAAATTGATTATTTTTTAACTAAGTAATTGTAATGAGCATGTGCTTCTCCACTCCAGTGATTCTTTGAGAATCACCAATATAATATTATATAAGGTTTATTTTTCCTGAAGTCATTGAAATAGATATGAATTTATTGATGAATTGAAATTCAAGGAATATTTACTAAGCTTTTATTATGTGCTTGACACAGTTGAATTTTCAAAATAGTAAAGATTTAAGAAAAGGGTTTATAGTTCCATGCTAATACTATATATATATGTAAGTACTACTTCTGAAAAATATTATAGTCCATTTATACCTTTCCTTTCCATTCCATTCCAGAAGGGGGGATATAAAATTTTATAAAATTAAAAACAATTTAAAAATATTCTTTATTATTCCCTGGTTTGGAACCCCCCCCCCCACCCCCTCACCCCCTGCGTTCTTCCCCCGCGTTCTTCTGGCTAATTGCTCGTTATTTCACGTGGAAGGACCCAGCCACATACATGTGTTTTGGGGTGGGGAAGCAGCCCATTTTGGACTCCCTCAGAAGGCACCTGTCATGGAGCTGAACTAGCTTCACTAACAGCTTTATCTTCCTGTCTACCTTTGCATGAAATGACTCTGTAAAAGTTCTGGCTGCATGCAATGAGGGGTAACCCCAGGCACCAAAGGCAGCAATAGAATGGACCGAAAGTGATGAGACTACATATTGCTCTGTCAATGCTGTTGCTCAAAACTGTTTTCACTCAGGAAAAGATTGAATTGCTTCAAATACTGAACTTCTCCCTTAGAAAATGTACAATTGACTGAGTATGAGGAAAAAACCACTTTTCTTTCTTGACCATAGTTATGTTTTTAACGTAAATCATCCTAGTGTAAGTAATAATATTAATAAATATGATTTATTGTATATTATCTATGTGGTAGGCTCTGTATTAGTCACTTTAATGCTGACATTGTATCGCTTAACATATATTGAACATTTACTGTTTCAGATACCCAAGTAATTCTCTCAGCAGGCTTATTAGCTTGGTACTATTATTGCCATCATCCTCCTTCTATAATTGAAGAAATGAAGGCTTAGAAGGATTAAATAAGTTGTCAGAGGTCACTCAGCCTATAAATGGTCAAAAGCTGGGATTCCAATCCAGCTTCTCTAATCTTATTTGTAATTCAATCCTCATGCCAATCCTATAAAGTAGTTATGGACATTTCCATTTTACAGATAAGGAAGCAGACTTGGAGAGGTGAAATAATCTGATAATGGTTACATAGGAAGTAAATGGTGGAGCCAAGCATGGAACCAGATTAGTCTGACTCATAAACCAATGTTTGTTTAATTGTGCCATACTGACTAGTTGTGGATTTAAAGAATGTTACCATGTAAAAAGGGAGTTACTTAGCTATTTAAACTTTTAAAAGACTAGACATTTATTTTGGTTTGCCTAACAACTTTCTTTTCTTGGATATTCAGTATCAGGAAAATGCCTGGTACCTGGAGAATACCAAAAACAAAAAAAATTATGACATGTTTATTACTGCTTACAATGATCCATTTTCTACTTTTTTTTTACAGTAATATTTAAGTGAATTATTCTGCAATAAATTTTTTTAATACAATCCAATAACTGCTTTTTGAATACCTACCACATGCAAGGCTCTGAGTTAGATGCAATGATGATGATAGAGATGAGTAAAACATCATCTGTCCTGAAGAACGAGGCGGGATTCATGCCTCACCCAGGAGAGTAGATAGGCAAATAAGCTAAGCAGAGTGTCATGCAGGTCTCAGGGAGGGAGAACAGAAATGTCACATGAAGAAGGTGGAAACAGAGATTGGCCTTGAAGATGTACATTAGTTTGTTTGGGTTGCCACAGCAAAGTACCACAGACTAGGTGACTGAGGAACAGAAATTTATTTTCTCATAGCCCTGGACAGTGGAAGTCTGAGATCAAGGTATGGGCAGGGTAGGGTTCTCCTGAGGCCTCTCTCCTTGGCTTACAGAGAGCTGCCTTCTGGTTGTGTCCTCATATGGCCATCCTTTACTCTGTGTCTGTATTGTAACCTCCTTTTCTTCAAAGGACACCAGCTATCTTAGATTAGAGCACACCCTAATGATCTCATTTTAATTTAATTACCTCTTTAAAGGTCCTATTTCCAAATACAAGCACATTCTGACATACTGAGGATTAGGCCTTCAACATATGGGTTTTGAGAGGAACAAAATCCAGCCCATGACAGATGGGTAAACTATCAAGAGAGGGGAAGTCTAGCAGACGAAACAACACGAGACAGAGGTTAGAAGGGAGCAGCGTGAAATGCATTTGGGGGAGAAATTAAGTAACCCAACATGATGGAAAAAATAATGGCATTTATGAGAGTCCCGAGTGCCAGGGTGAGGAGTTGATGCTTACACTGGTGGGCACTGGAGTGATTTGAAATTCTCTAGCAGTGGAGTAATTTGATAAAGCTCTCCTTGGGGACTGTCAATCAAACAATGATGTGTTGGATTGGCTGGAAAGAATACAGAGAGAAGGTAAGGATGCCCTCTAGGAGGCTTATCTGGGAGTCCAGTCACGAGGAGATGAGGATGTGAATGAGCAGGCCAGTAATGGTGGTAGGTACATGAACACAGTGAATCAGAGGGACTCCATCTTTGAATGACTCCATGGAGGCTTACCTCAATGAACCTGGTGACTAGTTGGCTGTGTGTGGGGAGAAATGGAAGGAGGAGTTAAAAAAGGCTCTAAGGCTTGATGAGTCAGTGGATGGTTTCATCATTATCTGAAAGAGGAAAGGCAGTGAGGTGGGGTAGGGGGAGTAAAGACGTTGAACTCAATTTAGGACATGTCAAGCTTGATGTTCAATAGACAGGAATTTGAAAAGGTGGGTCTAGAATATGGGAGTGACATTGGAGTATATAAAAGATTATTAAGTTATATGAAAAGTTTTACCAGGAAAGAAACTGGAGAGTTATTCATGAAAATGTTAAACTAATTGTATTTGGGAGGCAGACTGCAGTTTATTTGTATTCCTTCTTTTTAGTATTATTCAAAATGTTTATCATGAGCAACTTTAATAACTTTATAATTATATTAGTGTGAGGTATCCATGTTTCTTAAGTCCCTATATAAGATGGGTTTAAAATCCCTGTTCCCTCACTCATCATAAGTCTAATACCTTCTGCAAGATATCTGAGAATTTAGGAGCCTCTCACCCAATTAGTTTGTGGATTGTCTAAAACTCACAGGCCCTGCTCCTATTTTGTATCTCATTTATGCAGATATTGAATCAGAATTTTGCTTATTTTATGAAGAAGAGATCATAAAAAGGCTCATGAAAATCCTTGGCTAATACTAGAATTTATTAAAATTCAGGAGAGATTGTGGGGCTTTACATGCATATGTGCAAATAACCTAACATTGACCTAGGGACATCCTTCTTAAAGAGTCCCTCAGCCATTTCTACCAACTCAGCCTAAGTTTATGCCACTCATCTCTACTTTTCCTCAGGTGGACACTTCTTCTTCACCCTTATTTTCCAATTTCCTTCCATTTTCTTAAGAAAATCAATTTAGCCTTCTTTATATTCTACTCCTTCTTTCCAGGGTTGGTTTTTTTTTCCCCCCCCCGGGTCTTATCTTTTCTACCCAAATGTCCCAACAAGGTATCTTCCTAAAGTAAGACAATTTTTTTTTTTTTTTTTTATTTTGCGGAGTCTCTCTCTGTTGCCCGGGGTTGGAGTGCACTGGTGCCATCTCGGCTCAAGGCAACCTCTGCCTCCCAGGTTCAAGTGATTAGCTTGCCTCAGCCTCCCGAGTAGCTGGGATTACAGGCGCCCGCCACTATGCCCAGCTAATATTTTGTATTTTTATTAGAGACCGGGTTTCACCATGTTGGCCAGGCTGGTCTTGAACTCCTGACCTCATGATTCGCCTGCCTCAGCCTCCCAAAGTGCTGGGATTACAGGAGAGAGCCACTGCGCCCAGCCGACAGTTTCATTCTTAAGAAGAATTTTAGTTCTAGCCTTTAATATATTTTTTACCATACAATAATTGATTTAAAGAGTACTTCAAAAATAACTAAATGTTGGACGTCATGGAGAGAGATGAGACCATCTGGGAAGAGTATACAGAGTGGAAAGAAATGAGGCCTTGAGGAGCGCCCACGACAAGGGGTGGAGTTGGGGCATAGAGAACCCCGGGAGGGAGACAAGGAAACATGAGGTAGGAGGATCAGAAGGGTGCAGAGCCAAATTGAGGGAGGTGAGGGCTTTGAGAAGGGGTGGGAGATAAGTCTCAAGGAACAGGGTTCCGAAGAATAAAAATGGAAACAAAGTCATTGAGGCCACGGGATTCGGTACAGTGGTGCTATTAGGACCCAGACCCAGGATCCCTGTTGGGATTGTCACATTCACTGGAGGACTTGTGACTGCCTGAAAGAATGGGGACACTCCAGAAATCCTACACTAACTGTATAAAACTGGCAGTGCATGGTTTGTGTGCTGTTCAGAGAACCCCTGAACATTGAAGTTGACTTGGCTGAACGTGTGCTCAGCTGTCCCTAGCAGCTCACCTAGTAGCCAGCCTGGCTTTTTGCCCTGCTGTTTGCCCATAGCAGCCTCAGATGCCAGTTTCTCTCACTCATCTCTCCCCAGTTGCAGGGGTTTGTAGTACAGAACCTAGGTCCTTGACTCTGCAATTTCCTGACTCTGTGAACTCAGGCAATCACTGCATCTTCTGGACTCAGTTTCCTTATTTGTTAGTGGTAATAAGCATAATTATACATGCCATCTGGGCCTCCCAGGGTCATTATGAGAGTGGCATGAGAAAAAGTATAAGTATAAATGCTCTGTAAGTGCTATTGACTCAGGTTGCGTGGGCTTGGCCACCACTTACAGAATACGTGATCTTCAACAAGTTATTTAATTTTGGTGACCCTCAGTCCCCTTATTTGTAAAATGGGGATAATAATTATACCTACCTCCTAGGACTGTTGTGAGCTCTAAATAAGTTAGTATACATAACGACCATAGAGCAAATTGTGACGCTCAGTAAATGCTGTTAGCTATTATTATACTATTACTATTATTGTACAAGTGGTGATGTATTTATCTATATACATACAATTTTTTTGTCCCTCATAGGATCCAAGACAGTCCAAAGCTTATACAATGCAGAGAGATGACTTAAATTAGAATTGGGTGAAAGATGGTTATTCCTTCTGTGTTCATGCTCCTGCCTCTATTCCGTAACCACCTTCCATTCTGTTTTCTGCCAGTTTGATTCTGCCCCTGCCAGGCCTGGCTTGGATCCTTTTGTAGCATCTCCAGGCTCCCTGTTGTACCAAAAGGAATCTTATATTCTGTCCAGCTCTGTTTTGGGCCAGAGTGTGATTAGTAAGGAAGTGGAGAGAGACAAATAGAGCTCTCAGGGCTGGGAGGCAGGCTGGGGAGAATCTCTTAAAGAAGGAGACCCTGCAAGGTGTTTGGAGGCTAAAAAGAAGTTGCCAGTGGAGACAGAGGAATGCAATATGCTGGCTAGACAGATAATTGATGGAAAGAGTGCCTGGAACAGCCAAAATGGCATGAGTTCAAGGACACAGGTATCTAAGAACAAAGTTGGCTGGATTTTAAAAACAGTCTTCATAAATCAAGTGAAACAAAGCTGTCTATCTTTGCAACCTAGGACCATCAAAATATCTTTCAGGGTAACTCCTCTTTGCCTTCCTCCACCTGAAGGTAAGTAAGGTCAGTTCTAAGCAAAACTGGGAAGTCTGCCAAAGTGTATCCCCTCCTTCCCCATACCTGTTTCTCCTGTCTCTTGTCCCATACTGGTTGGGCCATTTTCCCTCCCATCCCTGGGCTCCTGTGCTCCACAGGCTCATGTCTAACATGCCAGGCTCCAGATCCAGTCAATACTGATGGAGACCAACTAAGTGGCAGGAATTCTCATGCATATTATTTAACATTACAGTACCTCCATATCTCTGTTCTCATAGAGGAAACAAAAACTCAGAGAGGGTAGGTGTAAAGCTCAAGGCCACACAGAAAGAAAGTGGTGGGATAAAATTAAAACCCAGGATTCCTGAAGACTGGTCTAGAGGCCTTTCCACTATTTCCCACTAAGTCCCTACCTGTTGTCTTCAGTGACCTTCATTGACACTCCACCCACTTTAGCAAAGCTCTTCCCCAGCTCATGTGACCTTCAGTCTTCAGGGCTGAGCATCTTCTATGGTTCCAGGCTCTGATATCCCTTCTTCCACTCACAGCCACCTTTTCTACTAGCAGGCCCAAGCCCATGTCCCTGTTACCTCCATAGCTACCTTCCAGCCTCACCATCTCCAAATTATCAACAATTTCCTGGGCTTCACTTTCTCCCCTAGCCAGCTGGGGAGGCACAACTTTACCTCTATTCTCTTAGAGTTTTTCTGATTAGCCTGAGAATTAAGTTGATGTCAGATAGGAGAAAAACATACAAATGTATTTAATGTCACTTTTATGTGGTATGGAAGATTTCATAAGGAAATGAAGGCCCAAAGACCCAGCCTGAGTTGAATGCTTATATAGTGAATTGGAGAAAGATTAGTAAATTGTGAAAATGTGACAAGGCTAAGGGGCTTGGGCTAGGGCAGTTAATTGGGTAGAGAAGTAACTAGGAAGATAAGGGTTAGTGTAACAAGGTTTGTACAGATTTCCCTCAGCCCCAACTTCCCATCCTCGATGATAGGAGTATTTTTTTTTTCTCGTATAGGGAGGACACCTTTCAGATGGGAATTTCATCTTCTATTTTTAAAAAGAGGAAGAGTGATCTTCTTGTACCTTCTGTTTTTCAAGTACCTCTAATTCAAGATTGTCAATATGCCAGTTGGTGCCTTTTGGGGGCAATGTGTTCTGAACTTCTCTATAACTAAACACATATAGGCCATCCCTGCAACTTCTGTACTGATATCTTCCCCACTTCCTTCCTTTCCTTCCTTTGGCCTTGCAAATCCCAAGTTTGGGAAATCTAAATATTCTCTTCTCTGCATCTACATAGGAGCAGCTACTGAGCATAGTGCAGAAAAATCTCACTTTGCCAATCAATTGGCCACAAGTCTCCAATGACCAGCCTTGCTGGGGGGCTCAATTCAAACGGATGGTCCTTTTCTTGAAGGCTTCAGTTCTGTTTTACTTGCTACTTTAGTGTTTCATCTCTCTTTTCAAGTTCCCTTCTTTTGCCCAACTCCATGACTCCAATCTGAAGAACCTGCCTATTTTTTTTCTGGGGAGAAATTAGAGCCCATCTTTAAAGGATTGCCTTTAAAATTTAGCTTTTTAATCCACAAAATTGTCCGTATTAGTTGTTTCTGTCCTATTCCTTTCCACCTCTGTAGCATCAGTGGTTCCCTTCCTGTTCAAAGCTGACATCTCCCTCCTAGGCTGTGCTGTGGACCACATCTCTCCAGACATGGCAGCCTCTGTTGTCTTCTTTATTCCTTGTTCCTGCCTTCTGTCACTGCCCTCTCAGAATACAAGCCTGTGCAAGTGTTTCCTTTTTACAGACAAAATGAAACTCCTTTCCTTTTGTACTCTCTCCCAGTAGCTGCTGCCTGTCTTTCCTTCCTAGACCTGTCCTACCTGCTTCTGCCTTCTCATTTCTGTTCAACCTCTTACCTCCTTGCACCCTAGCTTTCAGTCTCCATCCCTCTAGGAACACTGCCCTCTACAAGGTGATGTGTGCTTTTACTAATAGCTAAGGGAGAGGTTTCAGGCCTTGCTCTCCTTGTTCTTTGAGCCCTCCCTCCCTTTTATACTCCTCTCCTGACTTTTAGGGCATTGTTTTTCTGACCCTCCTTAGCATCTTTTTTTTTTTTTTCTTTCTGGAGATGGAGTCTCACTCTGTTGCCCAGGCTGGAGTGCAATGGTGTGATCAGAGCTCACTGTAGCCTCTACCTCCCGGGCTCAAGTGATCCTCCCACCTCAGCCTCCCAAGTAGCTGGGACCACAGGTGTGCACCACCACACCTGGCTAATTTCTTTTTATTTTTTGTAGAGACAGGTTCTCCCTATGTTGCCCAGGCTGGTCTAGAATTCCTGGGCTCAAGCCATCCTCCTGCCTTGGCTTCCCAAAGTGTTGGGATTACATGCATGAGCCACCGTGCTGGGACATCTCAGTGTCTTTGACTCTATCTTTGAATGAGTTCTCTTTCATCACTAACCCTCCACCTTGGTATTTCTCAGAGATTCATGCTTGGCTGGCTTTCTTTTCCCTTTATACACTCCCCATGAGTTGACTCACTCACATTCTTGGTAAATGAACTACTGCTTATAACTCTTAGCTCTGAAATCTTTGTCTTTTGTCCATTTGTCTTTTCTGACTGCCACATCCATATTATCATTTTTACATATCTGTGAACTGGATAATTCTGCCTGGATGATTCACAGTCACTTCTATTCAGCATGTCTAAAACATAATTAATATTTCTTTATCTCCCCATTCCATCCTGCTTCTTGAACTCTCCATCCCTATTTTCTGGAAAACAGTATGATGAAGTACACAACCACTCAGATCGGAAACTTGGGCATCCTGCTGGACTCATCCTCAGCCCTGAACTGTGCCCTCTGTGCATCTGGCAAGTCATCAAGTCCTATTGACTCCACTTCCTAATGATCTCTTGCATCCACATTCATCCTCATGACTTCTTACCTTAACAATCGCAAAGCCTGATCTCTCTTATTTCAGTTTTGCCTCATTTTACTCCATCACCCATGGTGAAGCCAGTGATTTCAAATGCCAATCAAATCAGGTCATTTCCCTACTTAAAATCCTCAGTGTCTTCCCTGGCTTACAGCTTCAAATCTGGGTTCGCTAGCACAGTATACATTCCCCTTCATTGGTTTCCCAATTTATAGCTTAATTTCTCATCAATTTCACTCCTTTGTACTTCACAAGCTTATCATGCTGAACTATGTGGCATTTTGGGGACAGAAACATTTGTCTCCAAAATGTACAGGCAATATGGGACCCTTGGTGGGCAGAGCAATACACCATTCATTCTCTTTATAGCTTCATGTCCTTTCACACATTGTTCCCTCAGAGAGCATTCTCACGTTCCCTTGGTGAATTTCTATTAATATTTTGGGCATCTCAAGATTACCTACTTGGATAAGTCTTTTCCCAGCTTCCCTTGGTAAGTTTATATTTTATGGCTTATCTCCCTGTGGGGTTTTTTTTTTTCTGATTATAAATGTCATCACTCTAGAAAATTTTGGAAAATATGGAAAAATAAAAAATAAAAATGGCCTACAATTCATTCCCCCAGAAATTAATTTCTCAGCATTTTAGTGGACCTCCTTTTGGTATATTTACCATAAATATTTACATATATTTAGAAACCAGTATTATACTATATATTGTTCTATAGCCTGCTTTGTTAAAAAAAGCCATGGTAAATATTCTTCAAAGGCTTGACATTTAATTTAAAAAATTGATTCTTCTGATTTCAAAAGAAATGCATGCTCATGTAAATAAAAATGCAAACAGTACAGAAATTTACAATTTAGAAAAGCAAAGTCCTTCATAATCCTGTCATAGGTTTTGAACAGTTTGTTAGCATACGCTTTCAGACTTTCCTATGCTTCTACTAATTTCAATATACATTAAAAATTTATATTGTGGGACAGTATGCTTCATCTATTCTGAAACTTTCTTTTAAAATATACTTAACAACGTATGTTTGAAAATGTAAAAACGAACTTTAATGGTGTCTCAGTTGTAATCATCATTTTGCATTTTTCTCTTCTACTATACCCTGAGGCCTTGGAAGAAAGCTGTTTTCCTGCAAGTGAACTTAATTTACTGTTTTCTGAGTAATTTGGGAGGATATTAGACAGATAGTTGTGATCACTTCTCAGAGAACTCCTTGCCCACTGGAGAAGGGTGAGTCGTGGTGGGCCCTGGGGACTGACCATGCTTTGCCGCTGCTGCTGGAGTTGGCTGACAAGGTCTCTTCTTGGATCTGGAGCCTACCTTGACTCAAGACAGGTTCCTCCAACCACAAGCCCGAGGATGCCCTTCTCCTGCTCTCTAAAAGTGCTGGTGACACTTTGTCCATGTTGAATGGTCTTCTTGTCCTATGACTCCCTTTATTTGACACATTCTCAGCTTCTGTTTCTGACTAGGAGCTGTAAACTTATAATCCCTCTTTTTGGTTAAGAGGAGAATCACTGGAACCCAGCTGATGGGATCACAGGGCTAAGGAGTCCAGAGTTATTTGAATCCCTGTGTAGTCCAGCTAACCTGTTCCATGATGAGAGCTGCCTGCCTAGTCCAGGGAGCCACCCCAAAGACAAAAGCCTTCCTTAATCCCAGAGAGGGTGTGTGAGTAAGCAGCCACCCACTGGCATTGCCAGAAGAAACGATGGATGGTGGGTGAGGAGCTCCGTGTTCCCACAATGGACAAAATGCTGTTATTATGGCCAGTGTGTGCTATATCACATTGCCAAACCCAGTGTTTCATTAAAGGGGTGTTGGGGGACAGGGTGCCAGGGATGGTGCTCATGTATTGATAAATCAAAGTGCTTCTTGCCTTTTCTAATCTTTTGCATCTCCTGTTCTGTTTTCCTACCATTTAAATCTCTAGTGTACCCTAATATGACAGTGTGGTTAAATAAATGTGGCCATGAAATTCAGAGAAAGAAAAGCTTATTCTTTTCAGTAATCGTCAGTTAAAATTTCACAATGATACATGCTTTATACTTTTCAGACACAGGTTAGGAAACATCTATCTCCAAAAGGTACAGGCAATATGGGAGCCTCAGTGGGCAGAGCAAACACATGCTAAGGTCATTTTGTTGGGTCAGGGGTTGAGGGGGGCATTGTCATGGGCTTTTTAACTAAACAAATCGCCAATCAAATATCTTCCAGATTCTGATACCCATGCTGAATTGAAGGGCCTTTTTGACAGGTGTAATGTTTGGCCAAATATTAAACCAAAAGCAATTATTAAAACAATACTTTAAAAATGTTTATTTTAAGAAAATTTGTACAAGTATACAAAAGAAGTTCAACTACAATTAGTTTCTGAGTTATGTTGAGTCATTAATCAAAAGCTTCAGTCCTGAGGAATTCTGCGAAGTTCACCACTGCACTTTGCCTGCATCGCTTTTGTGGTTTTCCCAGACATCTTCCTAAAGCATTTGAAAGTAACTTTCCTTCCGCCTGCTCCCCCAGTGCCCAGGCCTCTTACCTTTGTATAGCTGCAAACGATTTGCAATTGCCAACCTGTGTTTTCCTTACCGCTAGGACCAGTAGACTGTGATTTTTTTTTCTTATTCTGTATTAAACATAAAAAACTTAGCTCTAAATATAATTGCATCCTTCATTTGTAGAAGTTGATATGTTCCTCATGACAGCTCAGAGACATAAGAAGCATCAAAAGTAGAAAAAAAAAGAATCAGTGTAGACCATTTCTAAATATAGTCAGTCACTTATAAAGTACAAGCAAGAAATAAAGTAAATAGCTGGTACCTATTGAACAATTAGGTGTCTTGTAGCTTATTGTGAGATGGAGGACAAATCACTAAACTTCCTTGAGCCTGGTTCCTCATCTGCAAAATGAGAACAGTAATACCGGCCCTGCTGGCTTCATAAGACCCTTGGGAGGGCCAAATAAGGTGATGTCTAGAAAATAGGAAAGCACTTTTAAGATTTGTTTTTTTTTGGAAACAGAGTCTCGCTCTGTCACCCAGG
This sequence comes from Homo sapiens, assembly GCF_000001405.40. NCBI lineage: Eukaryota > Metazoa > Chordata > Mammalia > Primates > Hominidae > Homo > Homo sapiens. The sequence continues at coordinate 156,190,738 of NC_000003.12, forward strand.
CTGGAGAGTGCAGTGGTGTGATGTTGGCTCACTGCAAACTCCACCTCCTAGGTTTAAGAGATTCTCCTGCCTCAGTCTCCCAAGTAGCTGGGATTACAGGTGCTACCACCGCGCCTGGCTAATTTTTATATTTTTAGTAGAGACAGGGTTTAGCCACGTTGGCCAGGCTGGTCTCAAACTCCTGACCTCAGGTGATCCACCCACCTCAGCCTCCCAAAGTGCTGGGATTACAGGCGTGAACTACTGTGTGTTTTTAAATAATAAAAATACAAGACAGAGTGGTAATATAAAGGCATGCCTCCTCCAAAATGCAGGAGCAGAGGCTCATAATTTGAGGATGTTTGTCCTTGCTAGAGATTTGAAGAGATGGATTCACATGTAGAAATAAACAAATATCAACTGGTTAGATCACAGAGGAGAAGCCTCAGAACATCAGATCAAGAACATGTAGAACATGCAGAAAAGGCCTCAAGGCAACAGTTTGCTTTGCCTGTGCAGCAGCCTTACAAGAATTCATGGTTTTCCAGTGTCAGTATCTTAGATTCTGTGACCTGTCACTAGGGAACCTACTCTGCAAGGCTGGCAAGGAAACTAACCTCCCATCCCAGGGCCAATTTGCTTTACAGAACATTAGCACTGTTCTTGCCTTTGGGCTTGAGCATCACTGGAAAATGGCTTCACACACAGGAATGCTTCCTTGTATGGACTTTTAAAATGCTCTTTCATCTTTTGTTCTTCAAACTGGCTATTCCTATCAGTAAAGCCTATATGCAACCCCCATGTTTTTTATGAATCCAATTTAAAGACACACAATACAATTCTTGTAAGTGAGAAAATGTCACAGAGGGGCTCAGTCAGAAGTTGACAAAATGTGCCCGGGTTCTTACAGCTATTGTGGTTTAAGGGCAATACTTAAACCACATAGTATTTTTTTAAAAAATACTTTCAAAAAAATGTCTTCTTTTTCCCATTGATATAATGCTAAATGAAGAGCTGCCAGCTACTGATGACATTTGCTTTTGCCGCATTTTTACCCCTCAATTTGCTTGTTCATTCCCTGCCTCATTTAATGCTATCCCCATGAACAAAGATAGCCAAAGGCACAATCCCAGGTGATGCCCAAGGCAAGCCTCACAAACAAGACTGAATTTGATGTGAAGGAAAAGGACTCTGATTCTCCAAATGTTTTCCTTTACTGTTGGCTAATACCTAAAGTTTTACAGCTAGAACATCCTTTCTTTGGAATGTCCCTCTCTGTTCCTCTTCTCTATTTCCAGGCACCACTGATCTGCTTTTGGTCTCTATAGATTAGATAATTTGAATTTTATAAAACTGAGTTTGAATTTTATAAAACTTTATATAAATGAAATCATACATGTATACTCTTTTTTTGGTCTGGCTTCTTTGATTCAGCTTAATAATTTTGAGACTCATCCATGTTGTCGCCTGTAGCATGAGTTCATTCTTTTTATTGCAGAGTTGTGTCCCATTGTATGGATCTATTGCAATTTATTTATTTACCTTTTGATGATTTTGGGTAGTTTTAAATTGCCATTAACATTCTTGTCTCTTTGAGGATTTTTAAAGAGATCTTGTTACTAGTTTTTGATTTAATTCCAAGAGGATTAGATTTGAATTTTTAAAAGTTTATTGAGACTTTTAAAATATAGCTTAGAATATAATTTATTTTGGTAAATGTTCCTTAAACACTTGAAAATAATGTGTTTTGCTGTTGTTAGGGTTTTTTATAAAGGTCAAACGATAAACTGGTGGATAGTGCTGTTCAAGTCTTTGATATCACTGCTGATTTCTATCTCTTTGTTTAATTAAATATTAAAAGAGGGGTGTTGAGTTCTCCAAATGTGATGATAAATTTGCCTTTTTTTGGCAATTCTATCAGTTTTTGTTTCATGCATTTTTGACGTTCTGTTATTAAGTACATGAATATTTAGGTTCGTTATGTCTTATAAATAAATTGGCCCTTTTATCAATATGAAATGAGCTTCTATAACCCTAGTAATATTATTTGCTTTGAAGTAGGCTTTTTCTAATATTATTATAGCTAATCTGGCTTTCTTTAGATTAGTATTATGATAGTAAATATTTTTCAATCCTTTTAGTTTTGATCTATTTGTGTCTTTATAGCTAAAGTAGCTCTCTTGTAGGTGGGAGATTGAGTCTTGGTTTTTTATCCAATTTGACAATCTCCATACTTTCTAATTGGGTTTAATTAAATGTAAATTAATTACATTTCATTGTTTTTAATGTAATTATTGATATGGTTGGATTTAAATCTACCATTCTTGTATTTGTTTTCTACTTGTCTTATCTATTCTGTGTTCCCTTTTACCTCTTTTTCTGTCTTCTTTATGGATTAATTATATTTTAATGATTTTTTCCTTTTTTAGTTTATTAGTTATAACTCTATTTTGTTATTTTAGTCATTGCTTTAGGGTGTTTAATATATAGATGGTTCTTAACTTATGAAGATTTGACTTATGATTTTTTGATGACACAAAAACAATACAAATTCAGTAGAAACCATACTTTGAGTACCCACCATACAACCATTCTGTTTTTCACTTTCAGCATACAGTATTTAATAGATTATGAGATATTCAATGATTTAATAGATTACAAGATACTTATTATACAATAGGTCTTGTGTTAGATTATTTTGCCCAACTCTAGGCAAATGTAAGGGTTCTGAGCATGTTTAAAGTGGGTGTATTAGTCTGTTTTCACACTGCTATAAAGAACTGCCCGAGGCTGGGTAATTTATAAGGAAAGAGGTTTAATGAGCTCACAGTTCTACATGGTTGGGGAGGCCTCAGGAAGCTTACAATCATGGCAAAAGGGGAAGCAGGTGCATCTTACATGGTGGCAGATGAGAGAGAGTGAAGGGAGAAGAGCCCCTTATAAAACCATCAGATCTCATGAGAACTCAGTCGTCACTATCATGAGAAAACATGGGGGAAACTGCTCCCATGATCCAAACACCTCCTACCAGGTCCCTTCCTCGACATGTGGGGCTTATGGGGATTAAAATTCTAGATGAGATTTGGGTGGGGACACAGCCAAACCATATCAGTGGCTAGTATGATGTTTGCTAGGTTAGGTGTATTAAATGCATTTTCAACCTATGATATTTTTAACTTACAGTGGATTTATTGGGACGTAACTTCATCATAAGTTGAAAAGCATTCATATATCTTTAATTTATTATAGTTAACTTTCAAGTGATAATACACCACATAAAGCAAAAGAATCTTAAAAATATACTTGTATTTCTTACCTCCCATCCTTTTGTACAATTGTTGTCATACATTTTTCTTCTCTGTATATTATAGAACCCATAATATATTGCTATTAGTTTTATGTTAAATATTAAGAAAAAATTTAATATTTACCTATAACAACCCTTATAGTTATTACTTCTCATGCTTGTCATTCTTTTATATAGAACCAGGTTTCCATTTGTTGTTTTTTTTTTGTTACTGAAACGCTTTCTTTAGCATTCTAGTGTTGCAAGTCTGATGATGATGAATTATTTCAGCTCCTTTATAGCTGAAAACTTTTTGATACTCACTTTGTTTTAAAAATAGATTTTCACTTAATATAGAATTACAGATTGAAAAGTTTTTCCTTTTGGTACTTCCACTATTTTCTGGCTTACATTGTTTCCTGTAATAAATCTATTCTCATTCTTATGCTTCTTCCTTTGAATATAATGTGTTTGTTCCCTTTGGCTTCTTTTTAACATTTTCTTTTTGGCACTTATTTCAAGGAATTTGATTATGGTTTGACTTGGTATAGCTTTCTTTAAGTTTCTTACTTTTGGAGTTTATTTATCTTCTTGGATCCAAGGGTTTACAGTTTCCATCAAACTGAAAGTTTTCAGCCATTCCATTATTTTTTCAATTTTTAAAATTCCCACGTCCCCCAGTTTTCAGGGATTTTAATTATACATATATTAAGCTACTTGAATTATCCAACACCTCGCTTATGCTCTGTGCATTCATTTTTAAATCTTTTTAAAAGTTTATTATACTTTAAGTTCTGGGATACGTGTGAAGAATGTGCAGGTTTGTTACATAGGTATACCAGTGCCATGGTGGTTTGTTGCACCCATCAACCCATCATCTAGGTTTTAAGCCCTGGATGCATTACGTATTTGTCCTAATGCTCTCCCTCTCCTTTCCCCCCACCCCCAACAGGCCCGGGTATGTGATGTTCCCCTCCCTGTGTCCATGTGTTCTTATTGTTTAACTCCCACTTGTGAGCGAGAACATGCAATGTTTGGTTTTCTGTTCCTGTGTTAGTTTGCTGAGAATGATGGTTTCCAGCTTCATCCATGTCCCTGCAAAAGATATGACCTTATCCTTTTTTATGGCTGCATAGTATTCCATGGTGTATATGTGCCACATTTTCTTTATCCAGTTTATCATTGATGGACATTTGAGTAGGTTCCAAGTGTTTGCTGTTGTGAATAGTGCTGCAATAAACATATGTGTGCATGTGTCTTTATAGTAGAATGATTTATAATCCTTTGGGTATATACCCAGCAGTGGGAATGCTGGATCAAATGGTATTTCTGGTTCTAGATCCTTGAGGAATCGCCACACTGTCTTCCACAATGGTTGAACTAACTTACACTCCCACCAACAGTGTAAAAGCCTTCCTATTTCTCCACATCCTCTCCAGCATCTGTTGTTTCCTGACTTTTTAATGATTGCCATTCTAAGTGGTGTGAGATGGTATCTCATTGTGGTTTTGATTTGCATTTCTCTAATGACCAGTCATGATGAGCTTTTGTTTCATATGTTTGTTGGCTGCATAAATGTATTCTTTTGAGAAGTGTCTGTTCATATACTTTGCCCACTTTTGGATGGGGTTGTTTGATTTTTTCTTGTAAATTTGTTTAAGTTCTTTGTAGATTCTGGATATTAGCCTTTTGTCAGATGGATAGATTGCAAAATTTTTCTTCCATTCTGTAGATTGCCTGTTCACTCTGATGATAGTTTCTTTTGCTGTGCAGAAACTCTTTAGTTTAATTAGAGGCCATTTGTCAATTTTGGCTTCTGTGGTCACTGCTTTTGGTGTTTTAGTCATAAAGTCTTTGCCCATGGTTATGTTCTGAATGGTACTGCCTGGTTTTCTTCTAGGGTTTTTATGGTTTTAGGTTTTATGCTTAAGTCTTTAATCCATCTGAAGTTAATTTTTGTATAAAGTGTAAGAAAGGAGTCCAGTTTCAGTTTTCTGCATATGGCTAGCCAGTTTTCCGAACACCATTTATTAAATAGGGAATCCTTTCCCCATTTCTTGTTTTTGTCAGGTTTGTCAAAGGTCACATGATTGTAGATGTGTGGTGTAATTTCTGAGGACTTTGTTCTGTTCCACTGGTGTATATATCTGTTTTGGTACCATTACCATGCTGTTTTGGTACCATTACCATGCTGTTTTTGTTACGGTTGCCATGTAGTATAGTTTGAAGTTAGGTAGCATGATGCCTCCAGCTTTGTTCTTTTTGCTTAGGATTGTCTTGGCTATACAGGCTCTTTTTTGGTCTCCTGTGAAATTTAAAGTAGTTTTTTCAAGTTTTGTGAAGAAAGTCCATGGTAGCTTGCTGGAAATAGCATTAAATCTATAAATTACTTTGGGCAGTTTGGCCGTTTTCATGATATTGATTCTTCCTATCCATGAGCATGGAATGTTTTTCCATTTGTTTGTGTCCTCTCTTATTTCCTTGAGTAGTGGTTTATAGTTCTCCTTGAAGAGGCCCTTCATGTCTCTTGTAAGTTGTATTCTTAGGTATTTTATTTTCTTTGTAGCAACTGTGAATGGGAGTTTACTCATGATTTGGCTCTCTGCTTGTCTATCATTGGTGTATAGGAATGCTTGTGATTTTTGCACATTGATTTTGTATCCTGAGACTTTGCTGAAGTTGCTCATCAGCTTAAGGAGTTTTTTGGCTGAGATGATGGGGTTTTCTAAATATACAATCATGTCATCTGCAAACAGAGACTTCCTCTCTTTCTATTTGAATATGCTTTATTTCTTTCCCTTGCCTGATTGCCCTGGCCAGAACTTCCAACACTATGTTGAATAGGAGTGGTGAGAGAGGGCATCCCTGACTTGTGCCAATTTTCAAACGGAATGCTTCCAGTTTTTGCCCATTCAGTATGATACTGGCTGTGTGTTTGTCGTAAATAGCTCTTATTATTTTGAGATACATTCCATCAATACCTAGTTTATTGACAGTTTTTAGCATGAATTGCTGTTGAGTTTTGTTGAAGGCCTTTTCTGCATCTATTGAGATAATCATGTGGTTTTTGTCATTGGCTCTGTTTATGTGATGGATTAAGTTTATTGATTTGTGTATGTTGAACCAGCCTTGCATCCCAGGGATGAAGCTGACTTGATCGTGATGGATAAACTTTTTGATATGCTGCTGGATTCGGTGTGCTAGTATTTTATTGAGGATTTTTGCATTGATGTTCATCAGGGATATTGGCCTGAAATTTTCTTTTTTTGTGTGTGTGTGTCTCTGCCAGGTTTTGGTATCAGGATGATGCTGGCCTCATAAAATGAGTCAGAGAGGAGTTCCTCTTTTTCTGTTGTTTGGAATGGTTTCAGAACGAATGCTACCAGCTCCTCTTTGTACCTCTGGTATAATTTGGCTGTGAATCCATCTGGTCCTGGGCTTTTTTTGGTTGGTAGGCTGTTAATTACTGCCTCAATTTCAGAACTTGTTATTGGTCTATACAGAGATTTGACTTCTTCCTGGTTTAGTCTTGGGAGGGTGTATATATCCAAGAATTTATCAATTTCTTCTAGATTTTCTAGTTTATTTGTTTGTAGTATTCTCTGATGGTAGTTGGTATTTCTGTGGGACCAGTGGTGATATCCCCTTTATCATTTTTTATTGTGTTTATTTGATTCTTCTCTCTTTTCTTCTTTATTAGTCTGGCTAGTGGTCTATTTTGTTAATCTTTTCAAAAAACCAGCTCCTATATTCATTGATTTTTGAAGGGATTTTCATGTCTCTATCTCCTTTAGTTCTGCTCTGACCTTAGTTATTTCTTGTCTTCTGCTAGCTTTTGAATTCTCTCTTGCTTTTCTAGTTCTTTTAATTGCGATGTTAGGGTGTTGATTTTAGATCTTTCTCGCTTTCTGATCTGGGCATTTAGTGCTATATATTTCCGTCTTAACACTGCTTAACTGTGTCCCAGAGATTCTGGTACATTGTGTCTTTGTTCTCATTGGTTTCAAAGAACTTATTTATTTCTGCCTTGATTTTGTTATTTACCCAGTAGTCATTCAGGAGCAGGTTGTTCGGTTTCCATGTAGTTGCATGGTTTTGAGTGATTTTCTTAATCCTGGGCTCTAATTTGATTGCACTGTGGTCTGAGATACTGTTTGTTATGATTTTTATTCTTTTGCATTTGCTGAGGAATGTTTTACTTCCAATTATGTGGTCAATTTTAGAATAAGTGCTGTGTGGTGCTGAGAAGAATGTATATTCTGTTGCTTTGGGGTGGAGAGTTCTGTAGATGTCTATTAGGTCTGCTTGGTTCAGAGCTGAGTTCAAGTCCTGAATATCCTTGTTAATTTTCTGTCCCATTGATCTGTCCAATATTGACAGTGGGGTGTTAAAGTCTCCCACTATTATTGTGTGGGAGTCTAAGTCTCTTTGTAGCTCTCTAAGAACTTGTTTTATGAATCTGGGTGTTCCTGTATTGGGTGCATGTATATTTAGGGTAGTTAGCTCTTCTTGTTGAATTGATCCCTTTACCATTATGTAATGCCCTTCTTGGTCTTTTTGGATCTTTGCTGGTTCAAAATCTGTTTTATCAGAGACTACGATTGCAAACCCTGCTTTTTTTTTTTTTTTTTTTTGCTTTCCATTTGCTTGGTAAATATTCCTGCATCCCTTTATTTTGAGCCTATGTGTGTCTTTGCACATGAGATGGGTCTCCTGAATACGGCACACCAATGGGTCTTGACTCTATCCAATTTGCCAGTCTGTGTCTTTTAATTGGGGCCTTTAGCCTATTTACATTTAAGGTTAATATTGTTATGTGTGAATTTGATCCTGTCGTTATGATGCTAGCTGGTTATTTTGCATATTAATTGATGCAGTTTCTTCATATTGTCATTGGTCTTTATATTTTGATTTTTTTTTTTTTTTTTTTTTTTTTTTTTTAGTGGCTGCTACCAGTTTTTCCTTTTCATATTTAGTGCTTCCTTCAGGAGCTCTTGTAAGGCAGGCCTGGTGGTGGCAATATCCCTCAGCATTTGCTTGTCTGTAAAGGATTTTATTTCTCCTTCACTTATGAAGCTTAGTTTGGCTGGATATGAAATTCTGGGTTGAAAGTTCTTTTCTTTAAGAATGTTAAATATTGGACCCCACTCTCTTCTGAGTTGTAGAGCTTCTGCAGAGATATCTGCTATTCATCTGATGGGCTTCCCTTTGTAGGTAACCTGATCTTTCTGTCTGGCTGCTCTTAATGTTTTCTCTTCATTTCAACCTTGGAGAATCTGACAATTATGTGTCTTGGGGTTGCTTTTCTCGAGGAGTGTCTTAGTGGTGTTCTCTGTATTTCCTGAATTTGAATGTTGGTCACCTTGCTAGGCTGGAGAAGTTCTCCTGCATAATATCCTGAAGAGTGTTTTCCAACTTGGTTCCATTCTCCTTATCACTTTCAGGTACACCAGTCAATTGTAGCTTTGGTCTTTTCACATAGTCCTATATTTCTTGGAGGCTTTGTTCATTCCTTTTCATTCTTTTTTCTCTAATCTTGTATTCACATTTTATTTCATTAAGTTGATCTTCAGTCTCTGATATCCTTTCTTCCACTTAATCGATTTGGTTATTGATACTTGTGTATGCTTCACGAAGTTCTTGTGCTGTGTTTTTCAGCTCCATCAGGTCATTTATGTTCTTTTCTAAACCAGTTATTCTAGTTAGCAATTCTTGTAACCCTGTATCAAAGTTCTTAGCTTCCTTGTATTGGGTTAGAACATGCTCCTTTAGCTCAGAGGAGTTTGTTATTACCCACCTTCTGAAGCCTGCTTCTGTCAATTCATCAAACTCATTATCCATCCAGTTTTGTGCCCTTGCTGGAGAGAAGTTGTGATCCTTTGGAGGAGAAGAGGCATTGTGGTTTTTGAAATTTTCATCACTTTTGCACTGTTTTTTTCCTCAACTTCCTGGATTTATCTACCTTTGATCTTTGATGCTGATGGCCTTTGGATGGGGTTTTTGAGTGGGCATCATTTTTGTTGATGCTGATGTTATTGCTTTCTGTTTGTTAGTTTTCCTTCTAACAGTCAAGACCCTCTGCTGCAGGTCTGCTGGAATTTGCTGGAGTTCCACTCCAGACCCTGTTTGCCTGGGTATCACCAGTGGAGGCTGCAGAACACCAAAGATTGCTGCCTGTTCCTTCCTCTGGAAGCTTCATCCCAGAGGGGAGCCTGCCTGATGCCAGCCAGAGCTCTCCTGTATGAGGTGTCTGTTGACATCTGCTAGGAGGTGTCTCCCAGTTAGGAGGCATGGGTTTCATGGACCCATTTGATGAGGCAGTCTGTGCCTTAGCAGAGCTCGAGCGCTGTGCTGGGAGATCCACTGCTCTCTTCAGAACTGGCAGGCAAGAAGCTTTGTCTGCTGAAGCTGCGCCCATAGGCACCCCTTCCTTTAGGTGCTCTGTCCCAGGGAGATAAAGTTTTATCTCTAAGCCCCTGACTGGGGCTGGTGCCTTTCTTTCAGAGATGGCCTTCCCAGTGAGAAGGAATCTAGAGAGGCAGCCTGGCTACAGCCACTTTACTGCACTGTGGTGAATTCCGCAGAAATTCCCAAGGGCTTAACACTGTGAGGGGAAAACCGCCTACTGAAGCCTCAGTAATGGCAGATGCCCCTCCCCTCACCAAGCTCGATCATCCCAGGTCAACTTCAGACTGCTGTGCTGGCAGTGAGAATTTCAAGCCAGTTGTCCTTAGCTTGCTGCACGATGTGGGAATGGGACCCGCTGAATGAGACCACTTGGCTCCCTGGCTTCAGCCCCTTTTCCAGCGGAGTGAATGGTTCTGTTTTGCTATGGTTCCAGGTGCCACTGGGGAACCAACCAAACATACAAACAAACAAACTCCTGCAGCTTCCTCAGTGTCTGCCCAAACAGCCAACCAGTTTTGTGCTTGAAACCCAGGGCCCTGGTGTTAGGCACACGAGGGAATGTCCTTGGGTGGTCTGAGGCTTGCAAAAACCATGGGAGAAGCATAGTATCTGGGCCAGATAGCACAGTCTCTCACGGCATCCCTTGTCTGGGAGAGAGAGGCTTCCTAGCTCCTTGCACTTCCCAGGTGAGGCGATGCCCCACCCTGCTTCTGCTCACCCTCCATGGGCTGCACCCACTATCTAACCAGTCCCAATGAGATGAACCAAGTACCTTAGTTGGAAATGCAGAAATCACCCGCCTTCTGCATTGGTCTTGCTGGGAGCTGCAGACCTGGGCTGTTCCTATTCGGCCATCTTGCCAGATCCCCTGTGCATTAATTTTTTATTAATAAATATAATTTTAGAACAGCTTCAGATTAATAGCAAAATTCAGCAGAAACCACAGAAAGTTCCCATATACCCTATCCTCCCCACCCCAACAATCTCTTTCACTATCCACATCCCACACACAACAGTTAATTTGTTACAATCAGTGAATCCACACCAACACATCATTATCACTCAAAGTTCATAGTTTAGGGTGAGTGGGTCCACTGTAGCATAGTCAGGGTGAGTGGGTCTGCTGTTTTCCTTGCCTAGTTCTGCTCCAGCAGCAGTGTCAGCGCAGGGGCGGGGGACTAGCAGGGGCAGGGCTGGCAGGCTCCATGTCCACCAATGCTCTGATGACAATGACATTGCGGCAGGGGAGGGGAAGTGCAGTGCACTCATGCCGGCAGCAGTGGCATGGTAGGCTGCATGCATACACTCATGCTGGTGGAGAAGGGAAGGCAAGGATCCATACACACATGAGAGGTGGCCGTTGGTGAGTGCAGGTATGTAAAGTGGCATGTGGGAGGCTGCGGTGTGGGGAGGGCTCAGGCAGGCTAGTGCATGTCCATGAGGGCTGCTTTGCTGGAGCATTCTGCTGGTCAGGTGCATTTGCCAGCACAGGAGCTATGATCTAGGCCCCCAGGAGGTATCTGGGTGCTTTATTGTAAGCAGGCACAATTGGGCTGGGGCTCCCACAGAGGCGAGCAGACCAAGGGGTTCTCAGGTCAGACAGGGCTCATCTCATTGGCAAGACTGCCCTGCAGAGTTCAGGTACAATAGTTTCTCTGGGGCTAAAGTCTCCTGTGGGAGCAAGTTGAGCCTGTGGGGATGGCTGTCCCTGGCCATGCTCTGCTACAGATGCTTCCACACCAAACCCTCTAGGCTCAACACTGGCTGGAGTTCTGCTCCTACCACTTCTCTAAGCAGCTCTCCCTGCCAACTCAAGTGTCTGTCATGGTTGAGGAGTCTCCTCCTGCTGGGATTCCAGAGGCCTGTGGTGAGAGTGGGTTGCTTCTTGCCTCTTCAACTTACCCATTCACCCCTTCCACAGAAGTCACTGGGGGCCAGGAACAAGTCTTGGGTGTAGCCCTCTGCAGTGTTCTCGGCTTCCTCCTCCTTCAGCCCAGCAACTGTGTCTTCCCTCCATCCACTCTCAACGCCTTTTCTCTAACGATCTGCTAGGAGTGCACCAGTCTTCCTAATGTCCCTGTCCCTCAGTGGGAGATGTTCTTTCTGGCTGTGTCTAGTCAGCCATCTTGGAGCAGGAATCCCTGGCATTTCTTTTCAGTTCTTTCTTAGAATTTCCGTCTCTCTGCTTACCCTACCTATCTGTTCTTGCATGTTGTCTACTTTGTCCACTCAGTGCCCTTAGTATATTAATCATAGTTTTATTTATAATGTCAACAGTTTTTTGGTCATAGATATTGTCTGTCATGTTAAGGTAATATTGTTTATTCCTACTGTGCCAGTGGTATTATTTTTTAAATTGGAAATCAATGTTGAATTCTGAAAAAAAATTCTGAATAAATAATATCTCACTTATTTAGATTACTACTAATAACAGATTTTTTAAAGTTGGAGTAAAAACCTCCTTACATTACTGAAATAAACTCTACTTGGTCACTGTGTAGTAGTCTTTTACTTGCTATAAGTTTTAATTTGCAAAAATTGTATTTGTAGTTTTTACCGCTAGGGTTATAGTGAGATAATTTTTTAAAGTTTTTAGATTATCTTTGACAAGTTTTGGTATTAGTGGTGTGATATTTTAACATACACACAAAAGATGATCTTTTCATCTTTTGTATGCACAGTTGGTAAACTATGGTATGACCCACATGACAAATTATTCCCATCATTTGCTTTTACAAATAAAATTTCACTGGGAGATATTCATGACCATCCATTAATGTATTGCCTGTGGCTGCTTTCCCACTGCAGTGGCAGGGTTGAGTAGTTGCAATAGAGATTGTATGGTACACAAGGCTGAAAATATTTATTCTCTGGTCCTATAAAAGTTTGCTGATCTCTGATTTAGCATAATTTAGATAGCATAGAAATGCTTTCTGTCTCTTGATGATCTAGAGGAGCTCACTCCTGAAACAAAAGCATGGGCTCTAGAGTAAGATAGCATTGGGTTTAAAACTCAGCTCCAGCCCACATTATTAATGATGTGATGCTGGGCAACATACTTAACCTTCCTATGGACCGTTTTCCCCAACTATAAAATGTGAATAGTAATAAAAATAATAATACTTGCTTAAAATAATACTATAAAGAATGAAATACGTTAACACATGTTCAAAATACTTGTCAGAATGCTAGGAATGCATACATTCTTAAATACAAGTTATTGTTATGTTTCTCTTGGGAGAGTTTTTTGATACTGCCGTCAAATCATGTTTGTTTTCTGCAGTACCCAAAGGCTATTTGCTGCCAAAGATATATTCTTAAATTAAGTAAATTAGTTTTTTATCTGAAAGTATTTTTTCCAATCCAGATTCTTTCTATCAAATATATGTTTTTCAAATCTTACAGAAATAATATTTTCTAAAGTTTACTCTGTCTTTTCAGCAAGTCTCTTTTATAGTTTTGTATTCTTTCTTGCTTTGATTCTTCAGATCTTCTTCTAAACTTCTGTGATTACTCATATATTCAGTGATTGTTTTTCATTTGTGCATCAGGGGGAATCATCTTTTGCTCATTGCTGGGACTGCAGATAGGTCCAGATCATACTTATTTGGGTCTTTCTCCAATATTTCAGGTCTGGGCACAGGGTGAAAAGAAGAGCTTAGAGTAGAAACCAAGATGTCAGTGGGAGTAGGAAGACAGCTATTGTTTATTTAAGCTGTAAGGCTGAAAGCTTCACTTGTCCAAAAAAGTTTATTTTCTATGACGATTACATTCATAAGTTAGCTGAGCACTTTCCAACCACTATATTTACTGAATTATTAGGAGCCATGCACTCCCAGGTGGGGCGGGACTGAGATTTGCCCTCCTACTCATCGCTGCATGGCCTTCTCTTGTCTCCAGCTCCTGTCACTTGTAGAGGTTTGGCTCAGGGTCTCATTCACTAACTTCCCAGGTGGGAAATTACTTTTTAGGTTATGACTCAGGGTTTGGTAGGCTCCTTTTAAAATCTAGTCTTACATGTATTTTATCTTATAGGCATTTTCAAAGTTACCAGCATATAGAAGAGACACTTCCCTCTGTTTAGAACTGACATAAATTCTCTATCTCTATCCATTTGAATAGAAATAAGGGGCAAGCTGGCCGGCCATGGTGGCTCACACCTGTAATCTCAGCACTTTGGGAGGCCGAGGCGGGTGGATCACTTGAGGCCAGGAATTTGAGACCAGCCTGGCTAACATGGTGAATCCCCATCTCTACTAAAAATAACAAAACATTAACTGGATGTGGTGGCACATGCCTGTAGTCCCAGCTACTCAGGAGGCTGAGGCACGAGAATCGTTGGAACCCAGGAGCCGGAGGTTGCAATGAACCGGATTGTGCCACTGCACTCCAGTCTGGGCGACAGAGTGAGACTCTGTCTCAACAACAACAATAACAACAACAACAAAAATAAATAAATAAAAATAAGGGGCAAGCTAAGTTGGGCAGCTAGGATGATGGACTCGAATCAGATGTCAATTGATTTTCTTATTTTTTTAAAAATTGTGGTATTCAAACACAAGAGAAAACATTTCTATCAAATAGCCAACATGTACAACACAAAAATTATATATCTCTTAAATACCTTGGCAATTGATAATTATATTAAGTGAGTTTTGTAAATTACTTGAAAAGATAATTGTAAGAAGACTTCTTTTCTTTGCCAACTCTGGGGTAAAGAAGGGATTCTTAGAAAGAACATTTTCACGGAGAAGGCAAAATTCCAAGTTTCCTTTCTCAAGCTTAATTTTCATAGATTGAGCTATATTGGTTCTATATCTGTGTCCATAAGTCAGTTATTCAGATAATGAAAAAAACATTTAAACATCCACCTTGGTATGAATTTTTGGTTTCCGTGTTTTAATTTAAGCCAAAATATTTTTTGGTTTGAATTTATTATTTCAATAAATAATAGTGAAATTATTTCACTATTCCACTTTGCTTTGCATGTGTGAATTAAGCCAGTGGAAGCTTCAGGTGTAATAGAATTTGATGGCGTTAATAAATATAAAAGTGAATTTGCACAAAAAATATGAGATGAACAGTAGGAACACCTGGCATGGGACAGAACATCCTTGTTAGTATGCAGGTAAATTCAGTTACTTTCATTTTCTTTTCTCCCCTATACATTGGTTGTCAGGTCCGATCGATCATCAAGTCCAGTTGTTTCTAACACCTAGCTCTCTCCCTAAACTACCCGCTCCTTCCTCTGCACTGAGACATAATCTCTTGCCCCCAAATTCAGTGGCCTCTGAAGAGGTGCTTTTAGACTCTGCCCTCCTCTAATCCCCATTGTCTGTCCTACATTGACTTCTAAAATATGGATCTGGCCTTGTCAATACCCTGACTAGATGCTTTAATGCCTTTAAGGATAAGAACTGAAATCTTTACCATTGCAAAAAGTGGTCTCAATCATCTGTGCAATCTGAGACTTTCCCCAGGCCCTTCAGTCCAGGCACATGGATAGTCCTGTTGTTCCTAGAAGACGTCATGCTCTTTTATGCCTCTGTGCACTTGTACATGCTGTTTTGTTTGCCGGGATCACCTTTGCCCCTTTACTACATTACTGTGCACTGTCCTATCATATTCTACCTTCAAGAATCAGGTAAAACATCACCAAGCCCATTTGGGGAGTTTGCACTCCCCAGTTTTTGGCCTCTGGAGCATTTGCACGTATCTTTATTTGATGATGGTTCCCTAGCATTCATTCCCTCTTTCTTTGACCAGTGGTTCTCAGATCCCTGGGGATCTGTCTCTCCTCCATTGTCAGGTTATGGGGATTGGCTTGACCTCACACTCAACCCAAATGATGGCTCTCACTGACTTAAGAATATTTCACTTTCCTGGCTCCAGTGACTGGCTCAAGGGTGATCTGAGCCAGTCCAATTAGCATGAACCCAAAACCATACTGTGGTTGTGACACACAGACATCACTTCTCTTCTGGGTTTGGTGGTATGAGGCTTAGATTCCTATGACCATCCCCCTGCAACAAGGAGAACCTTCCTGAGGCTATAAACAAGCACTTTAAGGAGGAAGAGTTGAGAGAAGGAGCCTAGAAACATCAGTGAACCCCCAAATCAGGGCAAGGCTAAAGCTAGTTCTGCCTTCTAAACTACTCTTCATGAGCCAAAAACAAATAAAAGTTAACTAACTGAAACTGACTAACCACCATTTTTTGGATAACCCAGCATAGGTAAAGTTTGTTTATTTACATTTATCTTTGCATTTCAACATATAACAGCCACCTGGGGACATCATAGTTATTCAGTAAGCGTTTATGAAAAGATGGGAAGGAAGGAGACTTGTAGTTTTTCCTAAGTATTTTCTGCTTGGCTATGTAAGTAGCAAAACTTTGCTCTGATATTTTTAGATTTCAATCCTTTTGTATTTTATTTCTTGGAAAAAATATGGAAAAAATGTTTCAGTAAAAGCAAAGGACTTACACAAGAAAAAATCAGGAATTTCTGTTTCTCATTTATTTTTACCAAGGAGCCTATCAGAGAATTTGCAGGACGTGACATTGTCTGTCCCTGGAAGGCACTAGAAATTGAGGGACTGTAAATTTGCAGCTGTTGAAATAAAGTGTTAGATTTTGGTTTTTAAATAATACTCTATTTTGTGCCAATTATCTTCTTTCTCCAGATGCACTCTCTTTGCTTCTCTACCCTGCTCTGCAACCCAGAAGGCAGACCTGCATGGCCTACATCAATAAGAGGCCTTATCATTTGGTTTGGCCAATGGGAATCCCCAGCAGGTGGCAGGGTGGGAGTAGTGGGTAGGAGTAGTGGGTAGGAGAAGAAGAAAATGTGGTTGGGGTATTTATGTCCCCATTGGGTATTTATACTCTCCTTGCAGGGGATCATCTAAGGCTGACTCTGTCTCTTGACCAGAGGTAGTTTAGTCCTTGATAATGGGCTCTAGGCAGCCTACTCTTTATGACTCTGTCTACCTTGGTTCTAGCAAATATTCCCTCCTCTCTTTTGCAACTCACCCTAGGTTACTGCAGCAACCCTTACAATTCTTCTACACCTTTGCAAATAAACTCATTTGAACTGCCTAATTTGAGTGTGCCATCTGTTTTCTGGTGGGAACCCAAGTGATACATGTATATTTCAGAAATAAAAAAATTAAACAGGAACAATACAAATCTAATCCACTTTTATGCCGCTACATGAAATATTATCTTTTAAGATTGGTGGAAGAATAGAATCCATGTTAGCTGTGCCCATAGAAAAATGACTAAAAAGACAAATCAGAGAGGAGAAATGCTTAGAGGGCTTCCTTGGTTGTATTCAAGCAGGTCTTCCCGTTGCACAACCTCAGGGGTGTCATTCACAGGATAATTCAGGCTAACTTTAGGAAATTTTGACAACCAGAACTATTTCTGTTTAATATATAGAGAATGAGAGGAAATCAAGTACCTTTATTTGGGTGAAATGAGGTTAAAACTGGTACTAACAAGAGCCACAAAGAGAAAAAGAAATCTCCAAACAACTCAGCTTCTTTTGGCCTTGGGTTTTGCTCCTTTAGTGTAAAACTTCTGAAATAATACAGACCAAGAGTGGTGATTCAAAGTAAGAAACTTTGGTTTAGAGGTTTGTTCAGGTCAGAATACATGATATATTTTTTTTTCTAGCACCAATTGGCAGAACTACCAGATTCCTAAGGCTTGTGCTATATCCTTGTCTAATTCTTTAGTCATGACTGGGACCAAAGTTTGGGAACTTCCTGCATCCTAGTTTGGGAAAGGGTGGATCATCATGATTTCCCATTCCTGAAGGTTGCCGCTGCTCCTACTTGATCTTTGCAACAGTTGTGTTCTCTGAGAAGTGTTTCTAACTTCTCTCCCAATGTCTACCCTTCTTTTTGATGCTCCTCCTTTTTCACGGCCATGCTTCCCATCTTGCGAACAGGGCTGTGCCTCTATCTCAGCTTGGCTTTCTCTGAAGTGCAGCTGTAGCAGTGTGGAGTTAAAAATAACGACATCTTGTGAGACTAGGAAGGAGGATGAGAGTGGGGAGCAGGAAGCATGTTCATTAATGGCTTTTAAATTTCCAAATGACCCCTCTGAGTCACTAACAGACTTGGCTAAGAACATCTCTGACAACTTGGAGGGGGAAAGAGGTGTTTCTGTGTTGTACTCTGAGTGTGTTATGAGGGTTTATGTTAACAAGGAGGGAAAAAAATACTTGCCCATACTGACAATGAGCTGAATTTCATGCTGTGAGAAACCAGAACAAACTGTTAATTCTGGTGTAAGTCAGCTGTCCAAGAATCCTGCATCCTGACTGCTTGCCCTGGTATCACAATGTTCACTAATTAGCCAGCATTCTTACTATGTGGGCACATGTTCTATACACAGGGCAAGCCAAAGGTTCTATAGTGAAACCTCACTCATTCATACCTATTGGAAGTGGCCATCAGGCTTAATGAGAAATCTCAGTTATGGGATAGTTATTTCAGGTGTATAGTTCTCAAGAATACATAATAATATAAATGCATAACGTAAGAAATGCAAAGACAGGTATTTTTCCAGCCCCGCTTTAATGGATAAAAATCCAGGGTTATTCATGTATTTAGTGTTAAAAGAGGCGTAAGATACTATGTTTTTTAAACTTAATTTTTTAAAGACACAGTCAAGTGGAGAAGTAAATTTGTATACAATCACATTTAGAGATGATGAGTTCCATAATCAGAGTGTGTATGGTATTAATGGTGCAGAGAAGACACAGTTTGGCTTGGTGGAAAGAGGGGCAAGAGCCAGGGAATGCTTCTGGAAGGGACGTGGGAGTTGAGCTGGAGTTGGATTAGGGTGGGTACTCTAGGCAGAGCAAATAGCATGTGCAAAGGTACTATGGCAGGGAAACAGACTGTACTTATGTTAACTGGTATTTTGTTTGCAGTTTATTCAAAATAATGGAGAATGCTCTCCTTTAGGGGAAAAGGTCATGAAAGGGCTCCTGCCTATGTACAATGCTTACCTTAATTAATAAGCCAACACTCACGTCAATGAACTTTAGTCTAAAAGCATAATGCTTTGAAGAAAAGAAAATTTCCAAATATTTCCTGAACATTAAAGACAGGTGTTATGGCTTTGATAGTTTAGACAAAATATAGACTGCATGCATTTCAGTTCATGTTGATACAGATACTTTCAGGAATCTGAAAATATCTGTACTTTCAGGTCACAGATGTGAACAGAACACAAGATGTCTGGAAAATTCCACCATAGCACAGAGGCATAAGGAAGTATGTTGTGTGGGGGCTGACAAACATGCTCAATATTGGTGTGTCTGCAAGTCTACTAAATTTATTTCAAAGAGTTTATTCTCTTATCAAGGTTAAATGCCTTCAGCATCTTGTTCAAACTGTTTATTGCATAGCAAACATTTCTCCAGAATGGCAGAAAGATAAGGGCTTGGAGCAGTGACGGAAATCAAATGAGCTAATTTCAAACCAGTGCACTTGCATTCCGCATTAGACATTAGAGACAATTTCTTGAAAAAAAGATCTTTAAACTGTTAGCTTGATATTAATTTAAAACTACTAAATCATCAATACATTGTGCCAGTTTCCCTGCTTCCCTGCAGGACATCTACAATGATCTGCACTCCTCATGGCTGCTCACTAAGCAAACTGTCAGACTGCACTGGGTTATTGAATTGGAGTGGAAGAAGCACAGGCTGAGACTGTCGGTGAGCTGAGGGTTGCTGCTCAGGAAGGCATGGGCAGCTCGCTGACCAGGAATGCCTCTGCCTCCCCTTGCTTTGTTTGAGAACTTGGCCCTGCTCTATGGAGCAGGGCCTCCATTTTACTTGGGGTACATTTCACTTTTTCTGAAGTGTTGTGTAAAGAACAGAATTTAGGCTAGATATGAATGTATACAGATCTCATTCTTAGTTTTCACACTATCCTGGGTTATAATTCTGGATTGTATCTGTAGTACAGAAAATTTGGGTGATTTCCTATGCATTCTGTTTATGCTTTCTGGAGGTCAGAGGGCTCCAGCAGATAGAGGTTATTTCCTCAGCCTGTACTAGAGAGAGCCAGTCATCATGATATTTACAAAACACTCGCATCATCCATTCATCTCTGCATGCAAAAGATAATTATTGATCACCATGATGTGCCTGACACCATGCTGAGAGCAGCCATGCTAGCTAAAATGGCACCTCACCCATCACCAAACCGGGTCCAGAGATGGTCCTAAAATTCAGGAGCAAGTGGCAGCACTGACACTAGAAGCTGTGTCTTTTGATCCCAGACCCTGGGCTTTCTCTGCTCCCCACAGGGTTCCCTGGGAGTGGGCTGGGACTGTACCTGGCAGGCACCTGCATCTGGAAGCCATGCTTCAGTGTCTCTTGGCTGGGTATTGCCCTTCTGGAAAAATCCCTTCCACTTTCAAAGTTATTTTATTATTTACTTGCTCAAAGAGGACATGGGGTAAACAAATTCGTGGGTGGGTGCCTCATAGTATGATTTTCCACAGGGTTTGGTCCAGGAAGCAGAGTTGGCCAAATGCAATGTGGAGGTTTCAAAGATTTTTTAAAAGAGAGAAAAATTCCTTTGTGAATGATAATGAAATCCAAGCTGTCAGGCTGTGTTTGGTGTCAAACAGAGATTTGAGATGGTCCTCAGTATGAGTGTGGGCAGTGAAAAAAGGGGTGCAGTGGAGTGTCCTCTCATCCATGCTGAGAGAATATTGAAGAGGAGTCAGAAATGAGAATCAAATTATCATGACTGAAAATTTTCATACCTTATTCTGGGGAACTATATATCAAAGGGGGAGAACAAAAAAAGTCACAAAATGCATTACTAATTAGAAATTGTCTTCAAGGTTTGCTTACTGCCTGATGCATTCCAGCAAATTATTACTTTTGAACTTGTTAAATAATTATCTGCAATGGTTAATATTTGTAATATGCAAACATGCATTAGTTTTAGATATATGGCCAATGCAATGGGTTGGATTTCTGGGTAATCATCAGTTGCTTCGTCTGGATATTATCAAAACAGGTAGATGCCTTTCAGCCCTAATATAATTGACTAAATTCTAAAATCAATCTCTCAGCTTAATAACCCCAGGTCCTATGCCAATGCCCACACACAGGATGATCAATTAAGCACTATTGTGGAAAAGGCATTCAAAGGGCAGTTTGTTCCTTGCTATCATATTATGCCCCATGAAGATGGAAATAGATGATTCAGTAACGGAAAACTCAGCCAATTTACTTACCCATGGCCAAGAGACTGGCTTACTTTGACACTTCTCATAATTCTGTGGTGATTACTCAAAGGAAATGAATGACTCCAGGAAACTGAGGGATATGTCTATCTATGTGACAGTCCAGGTGGTGTCTGAACTTGTGGCAGGTTGCCCAACAGAATTTCTTATCTGAGATGTGGAAAGCCCAGCAAGAGCTGTTCACAGGAAGAGGCTCTGAGGAGGAGCTAGAATTGGAGGAAGAGTTTGGGCTCTCAAGTCAAAACCGGAAGGGAAACAGGGCCAGAAGGGGTGATGCTGGCTAATGTGGCTGCACAGAGAGTTTTGTCCTCCAGATTTCAGGTATCTGATGATACTGATGAGCTCTTTACTGGGGTGCAAGGAAGCCTTGTAAGGGAACTTCATGATCCCCCACCATGTTAGTTCAGTGAATCAAGCATCTTCCTGGTTCCCAGTTTTAGTGATAGTTCATCCTGTAGATGCAGCTATAGGAGGTGGAGTGATAGAAAGAACAGAGGCTGTGTGCAGACCAGGGAAGAGGCAGTACATTCTTCACCTGGAACACTCAAGTCCAAGCAGAGAAAAATTTTCTAACCTTTCCCAGGGGTATTTTCAGTTTATTGATCTCTCTAGAAAACTTGAAAATCCTCAAAGGAATAAAGTGTTAGTGATGGTTTCAGATACTATGAAAGATGATGGGGTAGATTTCTTTTATGAATAAAAAAATGCTGTTTTTCCTTCAGTCATTCCACAATCAAGAGCTAATTATGAAATCCCTACTATGTGCAGGCTGTGGGCCAGGCTTTAGAGATAGCTACAATGGAGCAGAAACAGATTGGTTGGAGGTGCTCCTGGATGTTACTGGCTATGTGGGGGATGCGAAGGGAGACAAGCAGACAAATGATTGTAAACTCACACCCACTACCAGGTGGCAAAGGATGACACTTCTGACTCCTAGAGTTTATTGCAGAGGTCTGACCTAAGCAGCTAAGACCTCCAGAAATTGATGATTGGGTTAAAATCAGAAGGGTAGGCACAGAGGGGAGGCGAGCACTTCAGGCAGAGGAACTGCAAGGAAGCACTTCTGGGATGGGAGGAGCTTGAGGAAGGCAAAGCTCTGAAAGTGTGTCACATGGAAAGGGCAAGAGGGAAGGTGGTGAGAAGTGCTGCTGGAGCATAAATCCTGGGACCTTGTAGATAGTGCAAAATTGTGACCGTGTCAGCTAGATAGTGCAAAATTGTGACTGTGTCAACAGAGTAAGTGGGGAAGCCGTGGAAGGCTTTTAAGGCAATGAGGAGTGATGTTTCAAAATAAAGACACTCTGACCACTATTTGGAGAATAGATTTGGTGGGACGAGTGGAAGCAGGGAGATCTGGGCCAGATGGAACAGCTCGCTTAGTAACTAACACCAGTAGGATCTGGTGATGGGCTGAGTATGGGGTAAGGAGGAAGGTGCTGTCCTCCTGTGTCTGTTAGAAGTGCCAGTATTCTCTTAGTTACCCAAATAAAACAATGTGGAGTCCTATCAGTCTCTTTCACTTTTTTTTTTTTTTGTCTTTTGAGACAGAGTCTCGTTCTGTTACCCAAGCTGAAATGCAGTGGTGGGGTCATGGCTCACTGCAGCCTCAAATTTTTGGGCTCAAGCAATTCTCTCCCTCAGCCTCTGGAGTAGCTGGAACTAAAGGCATGCATCACTATGCCTGGCTAATTTTTCTTTTGTAGAGACAGGGTCTCACTATGTTGACCAGGCTGGTCTTGAACTTCTGAGCTCAAGTGATCTTTCTGCCTTAGCCTGCCAAAGTGCTCAGATTACAGGAATGAGCCACCTTGCTCAGCCTTTTTCCCTTTCTTAAGCTCCATCTCTAATAAGTTGCAAGATTCTGCCAAGGCCACGACACACCCACATTGCTAAAGTAGCTTCTGGGGAAAATGAGTGATGCTCTGCTGTCCTCCATGCAGGGTGGGGATTGTTGGGGAAACTCTTGTCAGCCTTGTCATCTGCCTTTGTTTTGGAGACTCTGGTCATATGTAATAAGCAGTATCCCTTATCTGTTTCTACCTGTGACATAAGAAATTTGTATTTGGTCTTTGCCCCCAGTTCCTGACACAGAGGTCCTAAAACCCTTGGAATTTCTGGAGTGACAGGAGTGTCTTTTGCTCTAGTGAGGCAAGTCTTTAGAGTTCCTGAGTAGCTTCAGGATGGGAAGGCTAAGCCATGATTAGAAGCTTGGGACTTTCAGGCCCATCCACTGTCTACCAGGGAGGGGAGAGGGGCTGGAGATTGGATTGATAATCAATCTTGCCTACGTGATGAAGCCTCCTTAAAAATCCCTAAATGAAGTGGAGAGCTTCTGAGTTGGTAAACATATCCATGTGCCAGAAGGTAGTGTGCCCCAACTCCACGGGGACAGATACCCCTGTGCTTGGGACCCTTCTAGACCTTGCCCTATGTACCTCTTTCTCTGGCATTTTATTTGTATCCTTTAATAAACTGGTAAAGTAAGTAAATTTCTTTTTTAGTTTTATGAAATGTTACAGCGAATTATTGAATCTGAGGAGGGGGTTGTGGGAACCCCCAATTTGTACCCAACTTGGATGGAAGTGTGAGTAGTCTGGGGAACTGCTACTTATGATTGGCATCTGAAGTTGGGGGCAGTCTTGTGGGACTGAGCCCTTAATCTGGGGGTCTATGCTAATTGCAGGCACTTAGTATCATCTGGTTGGCATCCACAGAGAACTGGAGAACTGCCTGGTGTGGAAAACCCACACGTTCGGTATTAGAATTGTTGTGTGAGTAGAGAATACTGAGTGTTTTCTTTTGCCACCCAAGACAAAAATGGAAAGACTCATAAAAAATCAGTCCCCAAACTTCCTGTTATTGCTTTCCTTTTTGGAAGATGGAGAGATTTTGTCAGCTGAGAGCAGATAGTTACCTGACTGCAGTGATCTCAAGGTAGGGCATTCAGCTAAATGATTCCAAGGCCATCTACAGGCTGGAAAGGATCAGGAAACCACCCGACCGTATTCTTGAATGGTAACAGAATGAAATGATTTAACAAGTTTTCACAGCTCAATTGAAGCCAAAACTAATTTCTCAAAACTTCTGATCTAGTCATGTCTTCCCAGTGAGTGTAATAAAGGTTGAAACATTCATTCTTGTCACGAGGGGATAATGGGATTGATGTGTTTGCACGAAACACATCAGGCTGTCGCCCGCCACAAGCAGGATCTTCACACACTGGTCTTTCAGGGTGTACAGCCTTCCTTGGAAATGTCTATTCCTTATCCACCTCTAGTATTATTCTTTCTTTAAACCTATTACCTATGAGTTAATTGTTAAACAGATAATCATAATTATTATAAGAGTAACTAAATTGTAATTGTTCTCATTTCTGAGTGCCTACTTCATGACAGGCTAAGTAAGTTTTCTACATTATTTTATTTAATTTTTATAACAATTCTGAGAAGTAGGGACTATTAGCTCATTTGTTTGAGATGAGAAAAGAGAAGCTATGGAAGTTAGGTAACTTGCAGAATGTATTCAGATATTAATGGCAGAGGTGGGAGTCAAACAAAACCTACGCTCTTGAGCAAGGCATAAGTCATGGAGAGTTACCTGTGGCCCGCAAGCATCACTCAATTCAATTGACATGTAATGACCTCCTAGTATGTGTGCAGTATAAGAGACGTGAGATGGATAAATTTAGTTTCTTCTTGTAGGCCTTAAAATCTGTTGGGGAATTAAACCTATACATCCAGTTAATAGAACAAGATAAGTTTTATTTCGTCCTAAAGTAGAGGTCAGGCAGAGGTTATGAAAGTGCTGAGGTGGTGGAGGTAAATTTTGACTTGGGGGTTGGTGGTACATGAAGGCACTAGGGAAAGCTTAGGAGAGGTAGTGTCCTTTCACTTCCATCTTGAAAGATCAGCAAGCATTTGGCAGTTGGTGGAGACAGACAGGGAATTCCACATAGATGCAGCAGCTTGACTGAAGACCCTGAGGTGAGAAAATGCACAGCGTGTTCAGGGAACATCCACCACTGCAGTGGCATCACAGGCTACCTGGGGAGGAAGAAAGGGAAGGATCAGAGAGAGGCTGAACTGAGGTAAGAATGGCCTCCACTGCTGCCTACAGGATTCATATAGAATGGGTGGCCGTGGAAGATTTTTCGAGGAGAGAGATGACATAATTCCTTTCATTATGTGGGAGAGTAAAGCACTCAGGGTTTGTTAGCTGGTGCTCAGTGTGGTATTAGATTGATTTTTATGAAATTGCTGACATAGGACCATTTTCAAAATACAAAAATCACAATTTCATATGGTTCAACATAACACAGTTCAAGATTTTGCTTTGCTTCTGGAAAAGCCTTTGGATATAGTGGGTAGCTACAAATTTGGGGTCTCCTGGCCCTCGCAGATCCTCAGAAGCACTGTTGAGGTCTGCTGACTTTTATTATTTTAACTTAGGCAATACGTTAATGAAATAGAATCTTACTTATTTCAAGCTGGAATTTGATTAACTAAGGATGGTAACCTTAGCTACTTCATGCTGATCCAAGCCCTTGATTAGTTGTAGATGAAATCATTATTTCTAGTATTTATAGGGAGGAGGTAGATGGGAAATGAAGATTTAAAAGGTCTCTGATGGTAAGAACTACTGGCTGCTGCAGATTGCTGCTGAAAGCTGGCATGAACATAGGCATGCCATGTTTCCAGGCAACCTTGGGTGGTCCTGGGCTTGCAATTACATTCCGTCATTCTTCAAATGTTTTCTGAGTGCCTAAATGTTTTGTGAACAGTTCTAGGCACTGAAGAGATGGTTGGAAATAAGCTAGATAACTTGTTTATCTGGTCCTTAGGTTTTCCGCCCAAACTAGAATGAATAACATTTGACAAAACTGTTGTTAAGAAAGACTGTCTAGTACTAACCCTGTGCATGAATGAGGCAGAGTAGACTCTGGGGGAAGATAGGGTGGGATGGGGGCAAGAGGAACATTCAGTAGTCCCTACTTAGTGCCAGACACTGGGCTTTTAACTCATTTTCTCCTTTAAATTCCCCTACTTTTGGACAATTAGGTAGTTTTATCCCTGCTTGACAGATGAGGAAATTGACTCTCAAAGAAATTGAGAAAATTGCTGCCAGTTGCCCAGCATGAGGGTGGTGGAGCAGAGTTTAAGCCCACATCTGTTTGTCCAGCACCTGAGTTCTTTCCATCAGCATCCCCAGTATGAAGTGATTTTAGGTTTTACATGACTGACCTGGAGGAACAAATGCTTATTTGTTCAGAGGCTTATTTTCTTTTCAACTAGAGTTGAACCGTACAAGTGTAATCAGGTCCATTTGTTGACAATGGCAAGGCAGGCTGTAGAGATGAAATTAGAGTGTCAAGGCCAGGTGACTGATGTTTGCCAAAGGCATGAAAACAGCATTTTACACCCAAGGTAATGATGCCGCAGATTCCTACACGTCAAACAGACTCCACTGCTATGTTTAGAGAAAGTACAATAATATTGTTCAGAGTCAGCAAAGATAATGTGCATCTGGTTCCAGTTCTGATGAATCTGTAAAAATTGCAATCCAGATGTTGTGCTATTAATTTGGGTGACATGATTATTATTACTTTGGCCTCTCTTTTCCAAATATGTTAACAACAGCAACAACAACAAAAAAGTTAATATGATTTAAAGTTTCATGTCACATTATGTTTTGAGACATGCAATCAGGAAACTAGAGTGATATACGAAAAAAAATCATTTCCCTAGTTTTAAAAATGACTTTCTTAAGACCTGAGTAAAAAGAGGCTGTCCTGATGAGCTCATTCACTCTCAGAGATTTTTGTTCTTTTGAAGTCATTGCGTTTCCACTATGGTTTAGTATGAACAAAGAAAATCAGGAACTCTTTTCTTACTTGAGTTCCAGGGATGTAGAGACTATAGAGCTTATTTTCTTCTTGTCATTTTAAAAATGTAAAGTCTTGGAGCTGCTTTGGCATTTATTATTGATATAGAAAGAGTGCTCATTATTTAACATGCCTGTGCCTCCCTCCAGGGGATGGCAAATACCTGTTATGGTGTCTCTGGAAACAAGCTGGTCATAATGTCCCATTTACAACAGGGAGTTGTGTACCTCCAGTTACCTGGAACAGGTAACGCCAGTATCAGGAATTGAAAATCTCCAGTCTAGGGATTAAGATGGCAAATAGGAGGCAGGACTAGCTTGTAGCTCCCACTCTGATGGACTGAGTGATATGTGGAGACTCACATCATAAACTTGCTCCAAGAACTACCGCAGGAACATACCAGAAAAGCAGAGGGAATCCACAGACGCTCTGAAAGAACAGAATCACTGCTGCAGGCTCCCTGAAATGTGGAAAAACTGTGAGTCAGCTTGCTTTCTTCACAGGGAGGCTCGTGGTCTGGGGCAAGTTCTCAGCCCTGGTCACCAGCTGCCAGACTCGGTGCTGTTGTGGGGACATGGTGGGAATGAGACCGGCCTTTAGGACTGTGGGCTGTGTGAGAGCGGGGTGAGGCCAGTGACTGCTGGCTTTTCCCCACTTCCCTGGTGACCCGTATGACTCAGCAGAGGCAGCCATAATCCCCCTGCGAATATAACTCCACTGGACTGGGAACCACATTGCCATCCCCCACAGCAGCCACAGCAAGCCCTGCCAAAGGAGAGGCTGAGCCCAGACATGCCTATCCCAGCCCCTAACTGGTGGTCTTTCTCTACCTGCCCTGGCAGCTGAAGACAAAGGTTATAATCTCTTGGTAGCTCTATAGCCCTGCCCACTGCCTGAGAAACCTGAATACTTAACCAGTTGTCCCTAGGGCAAATTTGCATCATCCCTATAGGACTGCAGCTGATGTACTCTTAAAAGCGTCACCTCCTGTCTGGAGGCCAACGAAAACAAAACCAGCACACTAAACAAATACACAACCAAGGACCCTTACAGAGTCCACTTCACTTCCCTGCTACCTCCACTGAAGCAGGTGCTGGTATCCATGGCTGCAAGACCTGAAGACAGATCACATCACAGGACTCTTTGCAGACACTCCGCAGTACCAGCCTGGAGTCCCATAGCTCTGCAGGGTGGCTAGACCCAGAACAGCAAAAAAAAAAAAAAAAATAATAATAAAATAAAATAAAAATAAATAAATAAATAAATATAAAAAAAATAAAATAAAAATCACTGCAGTTTGGCTCTCAGGAAGCCTCATTCCTAGGGGAAGGGGGAGAACACCACATCAAGGGAGCACTCTGTGGGACAAAAGAACCTGAACAGCAGCCCTTGATCTCAGGTCTTCCCTCTTACAGTCTACCCAAATGAGAAGGAATCAGAAAAACAGTTCTGGTAATATGACAAAACAAGGATATTTACACCCTGAAGAGATCATACCAGCTCACCAGCAATGGATCCAAACCAAGAAAAAAATCTCTTAATTGCCAGAAAAAGGATTCAGAAGGTCAATTATTAGGCTAACCAAGGAGGCATCAGACAAAGGTGAAGTCCAACTTAAAAAAAATCAAAAACATGATACAGGGTATGAAATGAAACTTCTTCAGTGAAATAGAGAACATAAATAAAATAGAATCACAACTTCTGGAAATCAAGGACACATTCAGAGAAATGCAAAATGCCCTGGAAAGTCTCAGCAATAGAATCAAACAAGCAGAAGAAAGAACTTCAGAGCTTGAAGACTAGGTTTTTGAATTAACCTAATCCGTCAAAGACAAAGAAAAAAGAATTTAAAAAATGAACAAAACCTCCGAGAAATTTGGACTATGTTAAATGTCCAAACCTAAGAATAATTGGTGTTCCCGAGGAAGAAGAGGAATCTAAAAGTTTGGAAAACATATTTGAGGGAATAATTGAGGAAAACTTTCCAGCCTTGCTAGAGATCTAGACATGCAAATACAAGAAGCTCAAAGAACATGTGGGAAATTAATCACAAAAATGTCATCACCTGGGCACATAGTCCTCAGGTTATCTAAAGTCAAAAGCGAAGGAAGGAATCTTTTTATTATTATTATTATTATTATTATTATTATTATTATTATACTTTAAGTTCTAGGGTACATGTGAACAACGTGCAGGTTTGTTATATAGGTAAACCTGTGCCATGGTGGTTTGCTGTACCCATCAACTCGTCATTTACATTAGGTATTTCTCCTAATGCTATCCCTCCCCCAGCCCCTAACCCCCTGACAGGCCCCAGTGTGTGATGTTCCCAGCCCTGTGTCCATGTGTTCTCATTGTTTGACTCCCACCTGTGAGTGAGAACATGCGGTGTTTGCTTTTCTGTGCTTGTGATAGTTTGCTTGGAATGATGGTTTCCAGCTTCATCCATGTCCCTGCAAAGGACATGAACTCATCCTTTTTTATGGCTGCATAGTATTCTATGGTGTATATGTGCCACATTTTCTTTATCCAGTCTATAATTGTTGGACATTTGGGTTGGTTCCAAGTCTTTGCTATTGTGAATAGTGCCGTAATAAATATACGTGTGCATGTGTCCATATAGTAGCATGATTTATAATCATTTGGGTATATGCACAGTAATGGGATCACTGGGTCAAATGGTATTTCTAGTTCTAGATCCTTGAGGAATCGCCACACTGTCTTCCACAATGGTTGAACTAACTTACACTCCCACCAACAGTGTAAAAGCATTCCTATTTCTCCACATCCTCTCCAGCTTCTGTTGTTTCCTGACTTTTTAATGATTGCCATTCTAACTGGCATGAGATGGCATCTCATTGTGGTTTTGATTTGCATTTCTCTGATGACCAGTGATGATGAGCATTTTTTCGTGTGTCTGTTGGCTGCATAAATGTCTTCTTTTGAGAAGTGTCTGTTCATATCCTTTGCCCACTTTTTGATGGAGTTTTGATTTTTTCTTGTAAATTTGTTTAAGTTCTTTGTAGATTCTGGATATTAGCTCTTTGTCAGATGGGTATATTGCAAAGAGTTTCTCCCATTCTGTAGGTTGCGTGTTTACTCTGATGACAGTTTCTTTTGCTGTGCAGAAGCTCTTTAGTTTAATTAGATCCCATTTGTCTATTTTGGCTTTTATTGCCATTGCTTTTGATGTTTTAGTCATGAAGTCTTTGCCCATGCCTATGTCCTGAATGGTATTGCCTAGGTTTTCTTCTAGGGTTTTTATGGTGTGAGGTCTTACATTTAAGTCTTTAATCTGTCTTGACTTAATTTTTGTATAAGGTGTAAGGAAGGGATCCAGTTTCAGCTTTCTACATATGGATAGCCAGTTTCCCCAGCACCATTTATTAAATAGGGAATCCTTTCCCCATTGCTTGTTTTTGTCAGTTTTGTCAAAGATCAGATGGTTGTAGATGTGTGGTGTTATTTCTGTGGCCTCTGTTCTGTTCCATTGGTCTATATCTCTGTTTTGGTACCAGTACCATGCTGTTTTGGTTACTGTAGCCTTGTAGTATAGTTTGAAGTCAGGTAGCATGATACCTCCAGCTTTGTTCTTTTTGCTTAGGATTGTCTTGGCTATGTGGGCTCACTTTTGGTTCCATATGAACTTTAAAGTAGTTTTTTCCAATTTTGTGAAGAAAGTCAGTGGTAGCTTGATGGGGATAGCATTGAATCTAAATTAATAAATTACCTTAGGCAGTATGGCCATTTTCACGATATTGAAGGAAAGAATCTTAAGAGCTGTGAGGCAAAAGCATCAGGTAACCTATAAAGGAAAACCTATCAGATTAACAGATTTCTCAGCAGAAACCATAGAAGGGATTGGGGTCCTATCTTTAGCCCCCTTCATCAAAATAATTATCAGTCAAGAATTTTGTGGCCGGGCATGGTGGAGACTCACGCCTGTAATCCCAGCACTTTGAGGGCTGAGGCGGGTGGATCACCTGAGGTCAGGAGTTTGAGACCAGCCTGGTCAACATGGTGAAACCCTGTCTGTACTAAAAATACAAAAATTAGCCGGACATGGTGGTGGGCGCCTGTAATCACAGCTACTTGGGAGGCTGAGGTGGGAGAATTGCTTGAATCTGGGAGGCAGAGGTTGCAGTGAGCTGAGATCATGACATTACACTCCAGCCTGGGCGAAAAGAGCAAAACTCCATCCCCCCCCGCCAAAAAAAAAGTTTTGTGTCCAGCAAAACTACGCTTCATAAATGAAGGAAAGACACAATCTTTTCCAGACAAGCAAACACTGACAGAATTTTCCATTACCAAGCCAGCACTGTAAGAACTGCTAGACGGAGCACTAAATCTTGAGACAAATCCTCAAAATATACCAGAATAGCATCTCCTTAAAGCATAAATCTCACAGGACCTATATAACAATAACACAATTAAAAAACAAAACAAAACAAGGTATTCAGGCAACAAAAAGCATGATGAATAGAATAGTACCTCACATTTCAATATCAACATTGAATGTAAATGGCCTAAAATGCTCCGCTTAAAAGATACAGAATGGCAGAATGGATAAGAATTCACCAACCAATTCTGCTACCTTCAGTAGACTCACCTAACATATGAGGACTCACGTAAACTTAAGGTAAAGGGGGGCGGGAAGAAGATATTCCCTGCAAATGGACACTAAAAGTGAGCAGAAGTAGCTATTCTTCTACCAGACAAAACAAACTTTAAAGCAACATCAGTTAAAAAAGACAAAGAACACTATATAATGATAAAAGAACTAGTCCAACAAGAAAATATCACAATTCTAAATATACATGCATCTAACACTGGAGCTCCCAAATTTATAAAACAATTACTACTATACCTAAGAAATGAGCTAGACAGCAACACCATAATAGTGGGGGACTCTAACACTCCACTGACAGCACTAGACAGGTCATCAAGACAGAAAGTCAACAGAGAAACAATGGACTTAAACTATACCCTACAGCAAATTGACTCAACAGATATATTTATAGAACATTCTACCCAACAACTGTAGAATATACATTCTATTCATCAGCACATGGAACATTCTCCAAGATAGATAATATGATAGGCCACAAAACAAGTCTCAGCAAATTTAAGAAAATCTAAATTTCATCAAGTACTCTCTCAGACTACAGTGGAATAAAATTGGAAATCAACTCCAAAAGGAACCTTCAAAACCATGCAAATATATGGAAATTAAATAACCTGATCCTGAATGATTGTTGGGTCAACAATGAAATCAAGATGGGAATTAAAAAAGTCTTTGAACTGAATGATAATAGTGACAAAACCTATCAAAACCTCTGGGATATAGCAAAAGCAGTGCTAAGAGGAAAGTTCATAGCATTAAATGCCTACATCAACAAGTCTAAAAGAGCACAATTAGACAATCTGTGTCCGGAATTGGTGGGTTCTTGGTCTCACTGACTTCAAGAATGAAGCCACGGACCCTCACAGTGAGTGTTACAGTTCTTAAAGGCAGTGTGTCCGGAGTTTGTTCCTTCTGCTGTTCAGATGTGTTCAGAGTTTCTTCCTTCTGGTGGGTTTGTGGTCTCACTGGCTTCAGCAGTGAAGCTGCAGACCTTTGCGGTGAGTGTTACAGCTCATAAAGGCAGTGTGGACCCAAAGAGAGAGCAGCAGCAAGATTTATTGCAAAGAGTGAAAGAACAAAGCTTCCACAGTGTGGAAGGGGACCCAAGCAGGTTGCCATTGCTGGCTTGGGCAGCCTGGTTTTATTCTCTTATCTGGCCCTACCCACATCCTGCTGATTGGTCCATTTTACAGAGAGCCGATTAGTCTGTTTTACAGAGAGCTGATTGGTCCATTTTGACAGGGTGCTGATTGGTGCATTTACAATCCCTGAGCTAGACACAAAAGTGCTCCAAGTCCCCACTAGATTAGCTAGACACAGAGTACTCATTGGTGTATTTACAAACCTTGAGCTAGACACAGGGTGCTGATTGGTGCATTTACAAACCTTGAGCTAGATACAGAGTGCTGATTGGTGTATTTACAATCCCTTAGCTAGACATAAAGGTTCTCCAAGTTCCCACCAGATCAGCTAGACACAGAGCGCTGATTGGTGCATCCACAGACCCTGAGCTAGACACAGGGTGCTGATTGGTGTGTTTACAAACCTTGAGCTAGATACAGGGTGCTGATTGGTGTATTCACAATCCCCTAGCTAGACATAAAGGTTCTCCAAGTCCCCACCAGACTCAGGAGCCCAGCTGGCTTCACCCAGTGTATCCCGCACTGGGGCACAGGTGAAGCTGCCTGCCAGTCCTGCGCCATGTGCCCGCACTCCTCAGCCCTTGGGTGGTTGATGGGACCGGGCTCCGTGGAGCAGGGGGCAGCGCTCATCAGGGAGGCTCAGGCCGCGCAGGAGCCCACTGCAGTTGGTTGGGGGGGATGTGAGACTCAGGCATGGCGGGCTGCATGTCCTGAGCCCTGCCCCGTGGGGAGGCAGCTAAGGCCAGGTGAGAAATCAAGCTCAGTGCCGGTGGGCCAGCACTGCTGGGGGACCCGGCACACCCTCCACAGCTGCTGGCCTGGGTGCTAAGCCTCTCACTGCCTGGGGTCAGCGGGGCCAGCCAGCCGGCCGCTCTGAGTGCGGGCCCACTGAGCCCACGCCCACCCGGAACTCGTGCTGGCCCGCAAGCACCGCACGCAGCCCCGGTTTCCACCCGTGCCTCTCCCACCACACCTCCCTGCAAGCTGAGGGAGCCGGCTCCGGCCTTGGCCAGCCCAGAAAGAGGCTCCCACAGTGCAGCGGCGGGCTGAAGGGCTCTTCAAGCACGGCCAGAGTGGGCGCCAAGGCCGAGGAGGCGCCAAGAGCAAGCGAGGGCTGCGAGGGCTGCCAGCATGCTGTCACCTCTCAAATCTAAGTTCTTACCTCACAGAGCTGGAGAAACAAGGACAATTCAAACCCAAACCCAGCAGAAGAAAAGAAATAATGATAATCAGAGCAGAACTAAATGAAATTGAAACAAACAACAATGTAAATACAAAAGATAAATGAAACAGAAAGCTGATTCTTTGAAAAGATAAATAAAATTGATAGACCATTAGAGAGATTAACCGAGAAGAGAGAAGATCCAAATGAGCTCCATTAGAAATGAAATGGGGTATATTACAACTCATACCATATAAATACAAAACATTATTCAAGGCTGCTATGAACACCTTTACATGCATAAACTAGAAAACCTAGAGGAGATGGAGAAATTCCTGGAGAAATAACCTCCTGGATTAAATGAGGAAGATATAAAATCTCTGAACATAACAATAACACACAGTGAGATTGAAATGGTAATTTAACAATTGTCAACAAAAAAAAGTTCAGGACCAGACCGATTCACAGCTGAATTGTATCAGACATTCAAAGAAGAATTGGTACCAATCCTATTGACACTATTCCAAAAGATAGAGAAAGAGGAAATCCTCCCTAAATCATTCTAGGAAGCCAGAATCACCCTAATACCAAAACCAGGGAAAGACATAACAAAAAAAGAAAACTACAGACCAATATCCCTGATGAACACAGATGCAAAATCCTCAAAGAAAATGCTAGGGAACCAAGTCCAACAACATATCAAAAAGTTAATTTACCATGATCAAGTGGTTTCAAACCAGGGATGCAGGGATGGTTTAACATACACAAGTAAATAAATGTGAAACACCACACAAACAAAATTAAAAACAAAAATCACATGACCTTCTCAATAGATGCAGAAAAAGCATTTGACAAAAATCCAACATTGCTTTATGATTAAAATCCTCAGCAAAATCGGCATAGAAGGGACAAACGTTAAGG
This sequence comes from Homo sapiens, assembly GCF_000001405.40. Taxonomy (NCBI): domain Eukaryota; kingdom Metazoa; phylum Chordata; class Mammalia; order Primates; family Hominidae; genus Homo; species Homo sapiens. The sequence continues at coordinate 156,225,426 of NC_000003.12, forward strand.
TAATAAAAGCCATCTATGACAAACCCACAGCCAATATTATACTGAACAGGGAAAATTTTAAAGCATTCCCCCTGAGAACTGGAACAAGACAAGGATGCCCACTTTCACCACTTCTACTCAACATAGTACTGGTAGTCCTAGCCAGAGCAATCAGACAAGAGAAAGAAATAAAGGGCATCCAAATTGGTAAAGAGGAGGTCAAACTGTCACTGTTTGCTGATGGTATGATTGTATACCTAGAAAAACCTAAAGACTCATCCAAAAAGCTCCTAGAACTGGTAAATGTATTCAGCAAAGTTTCAGAATACAAAATTAATGCACACAAATCAGTAGCTCTGCTGTATACCAACAGCGACCAAGCTGAGAATCAAATCAAGAACTCAACTCCTTTCACGATAGCTGCAAAAAATAATAATAATAAAATACATAGGAATATACCTAACCAAGGACTTGAAAGACGTCTACAAGGAAAATTACAAAACACTGCTGAAAGAAAACATAGATGACATACAAATGGAAACACATCCCATGCTCATGGATTCAATATTGTGAAAATGACCATACTGCCAAAAGCAATCTATAAATTCATTGCAATTCCCATCAAAACACCACCATCATTTCTCATAGAACTAGAAAAAAATCCTAAAATTCATATGGAACCAAAAAAGAGCCCACAGAGCCAAAGCAAGACTAAGCAAAAGGAACAAAACTAGAGGCATCACATTACCTGACTTCAAACTATACTGTAAGGCCACAGTCACCAAAACAGCATTATACTGGTATAAAAATTGGCACATAGACCAGTGGAACAGAATAGAGAACCCAGAAATTAAGCCAGATACAGTCAACTGATCTTGACAAAGCAAATAAAAACATAAAGTGGAGAAAGGATACCCTACTCAACAAACGGTGCTGGGATAATTGGCTAGCTACATGTAGAAGAATGAAACTAGATATCTATCTCTCACCTCATACAAAAATCAACTCAAGATGGATCAAAGACTTAAATTTAAGATCTGAAACCATAAAAATTCTAGAAGATAACATCAAAAAACCCTTCTAGACATTGGCTTAGACAAGACGTCATGACCAAGAACCCAAAAGCAAATGCACCAAAAACAAAGAGAAATAGATGGGACTTAATTAAACTAAAAAGCTCCTGCACAGCAAAAGAAATAATCAGCAGGGTTAACAGACAAAAATCTCAGAAATCACCGCTAAAGAACTTATTCATGTAACCAAGTACCACCTGTTCCCCAAAAACCTATTGAAATCAAGAAAAAGAAAAAAGAAAAGCTCATCTGCAAAGCTTGTGAACAACTTTCCATGTTTTGGCGGGGATCCTTTTATTCCAGTTTCAGGAAACACCCCACAGCCAAGCCCAGCACTCCTCCTCTCTCTTATGTAAGCGATAAGCACCATTAATAGTCCTGTCAGTCTTGATTAATTCTGTGTACAATGATCAAGAGAGTATTTTGACTTTGGGGCAAATCAAACCATGGTGGACTATGACACAGACATAAGGGATAAACATTTACTAAAAGTAAAAAACACACAGCCTGGAGCTTGTAAGGATTCCATAGAAATAAAAGCATATGAAGAATGAATTCCAACTATAGATTTTTTACAAAGCTACATGATGATTAAGTGCTTTTGGGTTATTCTATTCTATAATATTTAATGGTTTCTAAATCTAACTACTTCTTCGTCACAATGTTGTTTTTAAAAAGTTATCCATTAGGTCTTTGTGTGAACAAATGTAGGCCATTACTCCACTGATCAGTAACTAATGCAAGGAAAAAGTTCTTTTTTATACTTTTACAACGTGAACTCCTTTTGATAGTACTGAAACGACTGGCCATTTGCAAGAATGAAACTAATTTAAAAAGCAAAGACAAAGGACATTGTTCTCAAAGGTATTTAATAGGCCCTGAAAGTTTGACTTAGAAAAAAAAGTGTTTGAAATCACAATCAATGTTGCAATAAAGTGGGACGATTCCAAGCAGCTAAAAAAGACTTTCTCTCCGATTTCAGTGAGAATTGTCTTTTCTCATGATAGTCTGAATCTAGTGTGTGTGTACTATTTTTATATGCAAATTAGTATACGATTCTCTTGTTTGATTCAACAATAGGTGATGTAGGTAAGTCGACATTATTATATTTCAAGAAAGAAGGCAAATGAGACCCAGAGAAGTTAGGAAATTTGTTCCTGGTCATGCAGTTAGTAAACAGGGATGCTTAAACCTAAACCCCAGTCACTCACCAAATGATTCTCCTCTTCATGTAACAGGCTCAAGGCCCCCACTAGCAGGCACAGTGGTAAGTTCTCACCCTAAACTCCGGAAACGCCCTTTTAGGGCACCATCCCGGTTCAGAGCTGTTTAGGCAAACTGTGCTTAAGGAGGGACCTCCTCGTACACAGCTGTTCTGCTTAGACATGGATTTTCCTCCTCCAGCCCTTTCTGCCATGTCATCAATACAAGGTCAGAAAGAGACACTGAGTCAGCAATGAATATGGGAATTATCTGCACATTTAGCAGTGGAATCCTAGAGGCACGGGAAGAGAGAGCAGGTAAGTGGTAGGATCCAGTTTTAAACTTACCTTCTTGTTGCATACATTGAAAGTAAACATCAGAAACGTCTTCCACCTTAAAATTTTGCACAATAATTTATTGTACCAAATTGGTTCAATTCCATTCCTCTGTTCATTCATTCCATTCCACACATCTTTATTGAGCACCTCCCCTTGGCAGTAACTGTGTCGGTGGGAAGTCAGATGCTGTCCTTGCCCTCAGATAGTGCACAGTCTTCAGATGAAGGGGAGAGGAGAAAAGAAGCAAGTGCTGGTTAGGAGGTGGGATGAAAGCTTAGATTTTGTGATTCACAAAAAGCCATACACTTCTTGTCTGCAGCCCTACCGTGTGCTTTGAACATAGGAGCAGCAGTTGATGGTTTTGCCTCCATTTGACTGTTACAGATCCCAGCCCCTGTGTTGTTTCCTCAAGCATTTCTGGAAGTCCCTGAAATGCATCTCATGTGTGGTCGAAAGCAAGCCTGGTCAGCCTTCACACAGCGTCTGCTGTTTCTTCCTTCTCACTAGCCTGCCTCTTCGGGGTTCTATCATGTTCCACTAGAGACCGCTGCAGGTGTGCTAGAGCTTGGAGGTGGGAAGTGGGGAGGGCACCTCTCCTTCTCATGTTGCCTTCCACTGAAAGGCTCCAAAGGTTTACAGAGTCTTAAGTGAAATAGCTTGTTCAGGTTGAGTTCCAGGCTTTTCTTACCCTTGACCTAGGTTGGAGTCAATGGGGGATAGATCAGAGAAAAACCTCAGTGACAGCCACTATGTGATTCTCAGGATTGCTCTCCTCTTCTGACCACCCTATTTCTCCTTCCACAGACAGTTTTCTGTCTATGGCCACATGGCCCTTTGTAGGCTGGTTATTTCCCACTGTCAAGATTCTGGGCAAGCCCGCCTCTGAGTTCCATGGCATACCTGAACCCCAGCGGAGACTAGGGTTTACACAGAGAGAAGGTGTTGTTCTAGTGTGGAGTTTGGGGAGAGGGCACTAGACATACCCCAGAGGCATCATTCCCCTCTTCCTTGTGTGTAAAGGGGAGCCTCTGAGGGGTCTCAGCCCTGAACACAGTCTTTTTGAGGGAGAGGTTTGAAACTCTGTTTTAAAAAGAACAAGACTATTTTTCTTTCTATGGTGTATTAGTTCATTCTCACACTACTATAAAGAAATACCTGAGACTGAGTAATTTGTAAAGAAAAGAGGTTTAATTGGCTCGTGGTTCTGCAGGCTGTACAGGAAGCATGGCTGGGGAGGCCTTGGGAAACTTATAATTATGGTGGAAGGCACAGCTTACATGGCCAGAGCAGGAGGAAGAGAGTGGGGAGAGGTGCTACACACCTCACAGATCTGTGAGAATTCACTTATAGTCAAGAGACCAGCAAAGGAGAATCTGTCCCCTTGATCCAATATCCTCCCACCAGGCCCCTCCTCCAACCTTGGGGATTATTACAATTCGACATGAGATTTGGGCAGGGACACAAATTTAAACCATATTATGTGGTTACAGATAAAAGATGGAACACAATTATGTTGGATGCATTAGTGGAAAGGACAACACTTATTCATCCTGAAGTGTAATCAATGGAGGAGTAAGATGATATAGAGTCATTTCCTAAGCTGGTAAGAAGATGGGCTCAGAAAAGCAGGAGGGACTAGAGGTCTTAAATGAGGGGTATAGAGAGGGGTACAGAGAAGAGAGACAATGGATTAACACAGAAATGTATCGAAGACCTTCCAGTTTTGACTGTGCTAATTCCTTGCTTCCTCTCCAGTTGGGTGTTGGTAAATAGCAGCTGTGCCTAGAGGTACTTGTTTGGGTAGCAAGATATTGCCAACCCTGCAATTATAATTTAAAAAGTTTTTTTTTTTAAGAGAAGACCACATTCCTATGTAGGAAGAGCCTATGTCTCAAACTGTGATAGTTGGCATAGTATGGGAAAACATTTAGTTAGACATCTAACACATACTTATTGATTGTTTCATTATGTTTCAGGCCTGGTGCTGAATGTTCTACTTGTAAAGATAAGCTCACAGGCTTATTCTTTATTATATAAGCTTGACATCCAAAGAGCATGAGGCAAAACAATACTTAGAATTGTTATCATCCAGTTTTAAGTTTCTTAATGGCTGCACCATTTTATCATATTTGTGGCCTTGTGTTCATTTATCTATTCATTTAACAATACAGTCATGTACCACATAATGACATTTCAGGCAATGACAGACCACATATATGATCATGGTCTCATAAGACTATATTTGTGCTGTACCTTTTTATGTTTAGATACACAAATACTTACCATTGTGTTACAATTGCCTATGGTATTCAGTAGAGTAACATGCTGCACAGCTTTGTAGTCTAGGAGCCATGAGATGTACCATATAGCCTAGGTGTGTAGTGGGCTATGCCATTTAGGTCTGTGTAAGTGCAATCTATGATGTTTACACAATGACATGACAAATTGCCTAATGATACATTTCTCAGAATGTATCTCTGTTGCTAAGCAACATATGGCTGCATTTATTCAGAGATAGATTGTTGTGTGTAATATACAGTGACACTGGGTATAAAACAATTAATAAAGACAAGGAGCTTGACTTGTGGAATTTACATGAGAGAGAGAGAGAGAAAACAAAGATGTCAACATCCAAATAAATATACACACACAGCTTGTGCTATGAAGTAAACACGAGGGATGATGAGATAAAGAATAGGAATGCAGGGAGTGGTTTTTCTTAATAAGAAGTCAGAACCTCTCTGATCTAAGTAGTAGACACAGGATATGTTTATTTGTGAGAATTACATATGATTGTGTATCTTCTGTGTGTATATATCAGTAAAAAGGTTTATTTACTTTTACAAAAAGTTTGCATTACAATTGTATGCACACACTTTAGAGAGTCAACACATCCTGAGGATCTGTTGGGAGAAACAGCCTTCAGCCTCCCTCTTTTCCCTCTTCTGGAGAAAACTGCCTTTTACTCTTAGATGGATCTGTTTGTAACTTCTGTGTTGATGATTTGGGGTATGATAGCTTTCTCTCCTCCTCTTGCTCTGGTGCACAGGTGTACCCTTTCCATCCTCCTCTTACAGATTTATCTTCAGTTTGATTACAGCAATATTCAAGACTTGCATCATTTTGACCACAGTTGAGCTGGGATTATTTGTAATCACATATGATTACTTTTCTTTTCCTGTAACATTAATGAGGACTAAGCTCTGATTTTTTATTTTGCCCAAACTTCTATCTAAGGGGTCTGGGGAGTCATGTCCTACAAACCATAAATTCTCATCAGATGGGTTTTATTTGACTCTGTATATCATGACTTACTTTCCAATCTGACTCTGGCATAACAAGGAAGAAAATAAAAAATGTTTTACCCCAAAATATATTTCCTTGCCATGCCTTGAAATTGCCCTACAAAATCTCTTGTGGGAAAAATCCACATTCTATAGAGAATCCCCTTTCTTCCCTCCCCTCCCCTCCCCTCCCCTCCCTCCCTCCCTCCCTCCCTTCCTCCCTTTCTCCCTTCTTCCCTTCTTCCCTCCTTCCTTCCTTCCTTCCTAGCTCCAGGAGATAATCAACTAAGAGCTAGGCACCCTTTTAGGTCTTATAAGAAACATTTTACAACCCGCTCTCTCTCTGAAGTCCGCTACCTAAGCAATTCCTCTGCACAATAAAACTTGGTCTTCACAATCCTTTGCCTTAACCAGAACATTCCTTTCCATTAATCCCAGGTCTTCAGATAAACTCAACCAATTGCCAACCAGAAAATGTTTAAATTTACCTGTAGCCTGGAAGCCGCCACTTTGAGTTGTCCTGCCTTTCTGAAACAAATCAATGTATTTCTTAAATGTATTTGATTGATGTCTCATGCCTTCCTAAAATGTATAAAACCAAGCTGTACCCCAACAACCTTGGGCACATGTTCTCAGGCTGAGGGCTGTGTCATGGGCCATGGTCATTCATATTTGGCTCAGAATAAATCTCTTCTCATATTTTACAGAGTTTGACTCTTCGTCAACATTAATAATTATATTGTTTTTGAATCTAATGTTATTTTCCCATGTATGTATCCCTTATTCAACATCAAACACTTCTTCAGCTAAATATTTAAATAGCATCTAAATAATATTACTTAGAAAGTAATAGTAAGCATTAGCCACCTGAAAAAAGGAAGTTAGATTAATAATTTGCCTCCTAACCCCTCCCTTCATACAAACTCTCATCCCCATTGGTTAAGTAGAAATGTAGATTTGTTTTACATGGGTGGTGATCATATGAAAATAAAGTTAAAATGTAGATCAAACTATACTGAATTCTGATAAATATTAATTTGCCCTTCAACAAAGAAATACCAGATACTTACTTACACTTCTGTTTTGGATTTCAAAGTCCAGGGAGCTAGACCTTTAGACAGGCTCTTATTTGCTTCTGTCCTGATGCTTTCGCACAGGCAGGCCAATTAGTTTCTTGTTTCTTGATCTATAAGAATAAACACAATTTCCCAGCTAAACTACAGGCTTGGCCAAGAGGGCAAGGATATGGCCAGAACTTTTACTACTGATCAATGCACAGAAGCCCACGCCAGATGAAGGCATAGAATTACTCTTCCTATCTTTGTGGATGTCCACAAGGCAGAAATGCAAAGGTGGTTTTTCACTCCAAAGTGAGACAATAATATTTTCCCCAAGTGTATAGGAATTTTAATCTGGGACTATGATTTTTAAAATAAAATGTATTATTAAGGTTTTATAAACTATTTGGAAAGAATGAAGGGCTGGTAGTAATACAGAAATACTAAAATGCCTTAGTCACCATTCTAAAAATAAAATTGGAATATAAAAGTATTCAATTTTCAGAAAAACACAGAAATAGTAGAGAAAGTTTTCTTTCATTTTTTTTCGCTTCCTTTCTGAATTCCTTTCCTTGAGCTAAGAGGCCGTGTGGATTATGATACCTTGGATTATTATACCTGTGGATTATTATACCTCTTCTAGAGGATGGTCCATGCCTGGCAGAAGTATGAAATCTCAAGGTCCAACTCTTAGATTCTTTCAAAAAATAATAGTTCTGCACTGAAATCTGCCAGGTACTGTTTTAGACACTTTTGGGGCACAAAGGGGAATGAATAAAACAGATAAGTGTCTTTGCTCCTGTGGAGCTTATGTGAGTAGCCGAGAGTACAGAAAATAATAATCATTGTCATTATAACAATTTAAATATGTAACATATTAGATACTGGTAAGTGCCAAGAAGAAGAAAAATAAAACCAGAATGGAGGATATGGGAGAACAGGGGGCTGCAAGTGTAAATAGGGCTGTCAAGGAAGGTCTCGCTGAGAAGATGCTGTCTAAATAAAGACCCAAAGGAGATAGGAAACAAGCCACACAGAGGTCTTTGGAAACAGGAGTGTGTCCAATGAACTGAAGGACCAGCAATGAGGTGGGTGAGGCTGGAGGGAGAGGGCAGGAAGTAAGAAACAACACGAATGGAGTGATAGAGGCCAGGTTGAGTAGAGCCTTGGAGGCCATTCTAAGGCTTTTGCTTTCTTTCATAGTGAGATGAGAAGGCCTGAGTAGAGTGTTTTAGCATACAGGGCTAAGGTTTGGATGAGGACCAGCAAGGGCAAAAGCAGAAAGGCCTGTTAGAAAGCTCCTGCTGCCATTCAGATGGAGAATGAGGTGGCCCAGGCAGGGGAAGTATAGTGGAGACAGTGAGGAGTGGTCAGGCTCTGGATCTCTCTTCAGTAAAGAGCTGGGAAGACTTGCTAATAGATTGAATCTGAGGAATGAACAAAAAAGAGGTGTCAAGGATGGCTGCAGCGTTTGGAACCTAACATGCTGGAAGAGTGGCACTGCCTTTTCTTGAGGAAAGAAGACTGTGGGAAAAGAGTTAGAGTAGGAGCAGGAACTTAGTTTGGACTTGTAAAAGTGGAAATGACCATTATACACCCAAGCAGAGACATCACATAAGCTGTTGGGTATGTGATTCTAGAGTTTACGAGAGACACCTGGGCTAGAGATGGAAATGAGGGAGGCATCAGCTCATACATGATTCTGACAATCCTGAGGCTGGGTGGATCACTGAGAGTGAGCGTGGACACAGAAGAGAAGAATTCCAAGAATTCCCCAGGGGCTGGGGTTGGGGAGAGGAGGAGGCACCAGCATTGAACAGTGAGAGGAACAGACAGTGAGGAAGGAGGAAAACCAGGAGAGGGAGTGTCCTGGAAACCAGATGAGGACCATGCTTGAAGGAGGAGAGCATGATCAACTCTGGCAAATGTGTCTGTGTGCCTATGGGAAAGACCCTGTAGAGAAAGGAAACTTGATACTGTAAGAAGGAGAAGAGAGAACTGCTGCAGCAATTTCCACAAGTACCCCAGAGACTTTAGGAGCCAGAACATAAGCAGAAGGCTTAACCCTACCTAGATGCAGGACAGTTCATCCATAGGAATAGGTGAAAGGAAGAGGAAATGGGCACCCATTTCTACGTAGGATGAGAAGAAGCTTCCTATGCCTTCTATTTCTTAGCAAAATAGGAAGTGAGGTCAACGCTGGGAGTGGGGATGGGTTGGGGGGGTGTCCTGAGTGTTTGAAGATGGAAGACAAGGTGTGAAGAATGGGAAGATGAAAGGACTAGGGAAGCAGAGTATGATTTCTGGGTACCACTAAGGGCTCCTAAAGATTAATGTCATGAATTTAAAGTGAGGCTGATCAGTATGGCTGTGTGGTTTGCTCTAGTTGCATTTAGCTACACAGGTCCATGTACAGAGCAGGCTGAGTTAGATGTATACAGAGTTAATGTTTCTCCCTGAAAATAGACTCCTGATATCTTCACTCACATCAGAGGTCAACGTATACCAGAGTTTGCTATTATAAGAAATGTGACCATAACTATCTCTGATCTCTTTCTTTTCATGTATATTAGCACTGTTAAATGTGAATTTTCTAGTTTTAAATTTCTTCATGTGAATACTCACCACAAAAGCCATGAGTAAGAGCAGCATGCTTACATTCAGATATAGCTGTGGTGAGGGAACTGGGCTCCCTCGCTAGCTAAGTGTTTCACTCTGACCCACCAGCCTTGAGTGCAAGATTCAAAGTCATGTCTCAGAAAATTTTATTTGCTGGTAGAAAGGACAACTGCTGAATTCGTACACATCAGTCTCTCTACTCTCGTTCAAGCTTGCCATTTACCTTCTTTGATCAAGCTGATCCACTTGTGTGCCACTTGGCCTACACAACAAAAGACTGAGGACCCAGCAGCCTTGCTTCATTCATATCTGGCATCACAACCATGGTTCTTCCTTCATGTCACCTATTTTGTGTCCTACGTCTTTCATTCTCAAATCTTGCCCTTCATCTTTATCTCCTGGCTATAGTCTCATGTTGCTCGACTAAGCAGCACCTGACAAGGTGCCATAAACTTGACTTTCCTTTTCAGTAATGGATTACTCTTTCCCTCCCAACTCAGTCCACATTCAGCTTCCCTGGGTGACAGTGTTACCCAGTGCAGTTCAAGCCTTGAGGTTGGTGGCCCACGTGGCTGACCCAAATGTTTGGCCTTTTTGACAAGTCTTCCTGGAGCCTGTGAAAAGAAATCATCATGGTGGATACCTACCATGGCATACATTAAAGAAATATTAGCGTAAATTCTTTTACTTCTTACTTTTGAAAGAAAGGTTCCTGTGAGGTGCAGATTACCATTAGCTTGGTGGCATAAGGCAGAGGAGATGGGGTGGGTGGCTGTTCTGGATCAGTGTTTCTGGAGGGACAATCCTTGAATTCTCTGCAAGATAACTGCTTGGGTTGCTCATCAAAAATAGAAATTCCTGGGTCCTTCCCCAAACTACAGAATCAGAGTCTCTGAAGGTGGGGGCTATGATGTTGCTTATTTGATTAGTACCCAAAAGGTACATATAGTCTAAAGTTTTAGGGCTACCAGTATAGAGCAATTGCTCCCAAACCTGGTGGTTCCTAAACCACCTACTGGAGATGGTGAAAGTGCAGATTCAAAGACTTCATCCCAGATATATTAAATCAGACTCTGGTGTGGCCTGGGATTCTGAATTTAAAAAATATAATAACAATAACAATAATCACAATAATAATTATAACGATTCTGATGATCAGCCAGGTTGGAAATGTAAAGCATCCCTTATGCCAAACTCTTTTCAGCTCATTTGAAAAAGATTCTTTGTGCTGGAAAACTCTCTCACTTCATAAGAGAGCAGCAGCTCTGGATGCTGACTGCCGTTCAGCTCCTGCAAAGTTGCACCTCTGGGATACATGGCTAAACTGAGGGCTTGCCAGCTTTGCTCTTTTAAAGCTAGGTCTCCCAAACCTAGTCGCATCACCTGGGGGAGATTTGCAAGAACATGGATTCTGAAGCTCAACCCACACTTATTGAATCATGGTCTCTAGGAGTGGTGTCCAGAATCCCTATTTTGAGAAGCATTCAGATGATAATTAAGATGAGACAAATTTGGGAGCCATAAGTCTATGACCGTGGAGGGAACTGCCAACCTAACAGCCATTTGGGGGTGCTGCAGCAGCTGAACGGTTGATGAAAACATAAGCATGCTCTCAAACTACTGATTACATCAACTTGATACTTTGCACTGCCTCTTACCTAAAAACTCAGTGAACATATTCTGCAGACTTCTTCTTTTCTTGCCTTATCTCCTAGCCTCCTTCTGTTTGTCTACCAATGCTGCCACTGCCTGCCCTCTGGCATGGCTACTTCCAGTACTCTGTCACCATGGTGTCTGGTTGCTGGCAGAGACCTGCCTGAAACTAGAATTGTTTATTTGCCAGAATTATATACCCAGTCTAAGGCTGTAGGATTCTAGCTTTTATAGTTAGGCATGCATGACTTCTTAGTTGTTTTCAACACACTAAATTTAATAAATATAACAAAAGTCTTGCAAATAGGATCTAGTAAAAGGCTGAGTTAAAAGAATGTTTTTACAGAATTGCAGTGTTATTGCTCTTGAGTGTAGGCGATGAACTGGGGTTAGAGACTGGGGCTAGGCTCTTTGTAAGGACGGATGCATGTAGACAACTGTTTGTCCTCAGTACACACAATGTTTGAACAGGAAGGTTAGAAAAGAGTAGCTTGAAAGGAGTTTATTGGTTTTAGCCCCTCATATAAATCATTTTCTTTGAATTACTTCTAAATAATGTACTTTCATAGATGATAGCATGAAATTTTCAGTCCAGTGTGTCTAGAATTATCTCAGATTTTGAATTTTAAAAGTCTAAATGAAGTTTACTAAATGGATAAAATTGCCATTTTTTTCTTTGAATGTGTATTTTATTTTTCTTAAGAAAGTAAACAGGGTTTTTCAGAATAGTTGCGTTTTAATTACATCAGTAGCTTAATGTTAATTGAAGAAATATTAGAAATTACAAGAAATGGAAAAACGAGAATTAAAGTTGCCTTTTTTTTTTGTTTTGGGAAATGACTGTTGACATTTTGGGGAATAGCCCTCTTGCTTTTGAATTCAACACCCCCACCTCGCTCAACTATACGTATTGTTTTGTAACTTGTAAACACAATGATTTGGGGGATTGGAAGTTTTTTGCATCTAGCTCTACTGTGTCTATTTTCTCTTCCACCTCAGGGCCTTTGCACATGTGCTTTCCTTTGCCTGAAATGCTTTACCTACCTCCTCCAAGTGGCTGTTTTCTTAACATTTGTGCTTCAGGTTAGAGGTCACATCCTCAAGGAGGCCTTTCCTGACCCCTCAATCTAAAGCTTCACCCCATTTTCAAATCATTCCTGATCTTCTTTTTTACCTCCGATGTGACTTTCTTAATAGTTTGGTTTATTTGTTTCCTGTCTGTCTTCTCCACCACAGTGCAGGTGCCATCAGAACCAGGGCCGTTTCTGTCCTATTCTGCCCTATTCTGTCCTTTCTGTACACTCATTTCCTAGAACAGTGCTAGCCCAGAGTAGGGGTTGGATAGACATTTGTAGAATAGATAAGGAAATGACTGACAGACTGACTACTGAGAGGATGAATGAGACCGTTGGCCTGGGAGGGTGGAAGTCAGAGCCACAGCTGAGAAGGTGAGCTGAGAGTCCATGGCTGGCCAAACAGACAAAGCAGGATGTTTAAAAATGGGTTGCCGGCCGGGCGTGGTGGCTCACGCCTGTAATCCCAGCATTTTGGGAGGCCGAGGCGGCGGATCACGAGGTCAGGAGATCGAGAGCATCCTGGCAAACACGGTGAAACCCTGTCTCTACTAAAAATACAAAAAATTAGCTGGCCATGGTGGTGGGCGCCTGTAGTCCCAGCTCCTCGGGAGGCTGAGGCAGGAGAATGGCGTGAACCCGGGAGGCGGAACTTGCAGTGAGCCGAGATCACGCCACTGCACTCTGGCCTGGGTGAAAGAGCGAGACTTGGTCTCAAAAAAAAAAAAAAAAAAAAAGGGTTCCCTTTTAACAAGCCCAGAGAGATCTTAAAGGCACTGTTTGGACCCTAACAAATGGCAAATAGCAAAACCTGAAAAATGTTTCTTTAATCTCAGATCCAAAATGAGAGTTTGATAGAATTCAAATGATTCTACAATTAGCTCAGAGCTTTTAGATTCATAGCCTCTTTGTTTTTAGTTAGTTTGCCTTTTTCAGTTTAATTGTTTAGACTGAAAGTTTGTAATTTCTTACCAGTTTTGAGTAGTTGACTCTAGAATAACATGAGTAATTTTTCTAAATAGCATTGCTTGTTGTGTCATTGATTCACCTCACTGGCACATCCTTGTCTCTGATCTAAAATTGTGAAAAATGAACAATATGTTGAGATATGAAATTATGCATGAATCTTCAAGCTGTAAACCAGCTAGCTGACAGTGAGGTTATTACTGTGAGAAATGTCTACAACAATACTTCGCTTTCATGTCACATAAGTCCTTGACTTGAGGCTGCTAGGAAATTAATTAATTAAAGAAACTTAAGTTTCCTTAAGTTTCGACACCTTTGGGGAAAAAAGAGCAGATCGTTACCTTTACTCAGAGATAAGACAATTGAGAAACAAGTATTTTAATCAGAAGTGTTGGTGTGAAAAACCATAATAAATTTGAAGAATTTTATTTAATATTCAGATCTCTCTTGAAGGTACACACTATTTTACATGTGGAATACATAATAAATTTGTCATTCTGACAAACTTTTGATAGAATTCAAATATGGAATACATGATAAGTTTGTCATAATAAAATTTGTCTTTCTGCTTCTTTCTTGGGTATTTTGTGGTCATTGGGCAGCACACTGTTTCTTTTTATTGCCTTTCCTTTCATGTTAAATGTAAAGATAGAAAAATGAACTCAAAGGTAGTAGTTTGTATTTCTCTATGCTTGTTAAGGAAATCTATTAGTAGTTCACAGGAGCTTCTTAGCAGATAGGCAGTGAGTCAGTCCTTAGCAAATTGTAGAAGAGGTCAACCTTTCCCCATTCCTCTTCCCACTAAAGCTGCTTTTCTCTTCCCTTCACCTAGGTCTCCTTCTCCAGCCACTACTCTGTGGTGGTTGCAACCTCATCCATGTTGAAAAGCCCATTCTGACCTGTGGCTTTCAGCGCTGGGGCCTCTGGGAATGTCCAACCAGTAGCACCTGCAGTCCTTGGAGAGCCGACACTCACCACACTGTCTACAGCACCCTTTTGCACTTGCTCTTAATTATATCCTACCATTTATTCCATTCGACGTATTTATCATAATTTGTATCTTGATTTCTAAAATTTGTTCATGTAATATCAGTCCTTGGGAAAGGATGTAAGTTTCATAAAAGAAAACTCCATCTTCTTCATCTTTCATGTCTCCTGTACCCCAAATCCATGAAGACTTGAGTCTCTTCCCCTCACGGAGAGTATTTGCTTAGAAAAGGGATTAAAAACACCTGTGATGGGTTGAGGTGGAAAGAGCTTCACAAGCTAGAGATACTTTTAAACTTGAAAGCTACAGGAAATACATCATGTTAGGGAGATTAAAAAAAAGAAGAATGAGAAACACATACACACTAATGAGGTCATTTACAACTTAAGTGACTAATGGAAGACGTATTTCATTGTCCAAAAATATTTCCTACAATAGACACGTTTTATGACTTCATGGTTCTCGAAAATAAATTTTCCTAGCTTTGGATTTAACATAAGCCTTGGGGTTAAGGAGTTACAGTCCAGCTGAGGAAAGACAGCTTAAAACATAATAACACATTTTGACATTTCTAAGCGATATGGCCTCCTTTGTCTTTCTCCTTTTTAAATTTTCTTGCCCTCTTCCTCTCTGATTTTTCCTTCCTTCATTCCTTTCTTTCTATTTTTTCCTTCTTTTCTTCCCTCAATTAAATTAAATCAAAATAGTACATACTAGTAGTAATGCTATTAAAATAGTAATACTATTAAAATGACGTAAAGAGTTTATATATGAAAATACACAATTCCTGGTCCCAACATGTTCGTTCTCCTGACTCCCTCTCCACAGAGACAACCACTTTTGACGCTTTAACCTGTTCCTTCTAGCATTTTATGCTTTCAAATAATATGTGAATACTGCTCTCCTTTGATTCATCAATTTAGACATAATGTATTGAGTTTCTAATATAGCAGATGAGGATTTAACTCCCTTATATTACCATCCTATCCGCTTCTCCTCACTTATTCTCCTGGTTTAATTATGCTCCAAATTTTGGTTAAGTATATACTCAACGTTAACATTACTATGCCTATCCAAGTTTTATTCACAGCTGAAAACTGTAATATCTGGGTTTCCAAGGATCAGGCCCTGAGACAAGGATTCAAGCACAAGCAGTTCATTTGGGAGGCACAGGAAACACCAGTAGGGGAGGAAGGAAGTGATAAGCGGAAGAAAAGGCAGTAATCGAGGGTGCGTTATCAAGAAGTAACCACTATGGGTAATTGGAGCTTAATTCTGTGAGGGAAACTCTGGGAACTGGTGTAAAACTCATAATTCAGTGCCATCCCACCTGAAAGGTGAGGGAGCTGGGGTATTTGTATACCAGTTTCTATCAGCCACTTACTGAAGGCTGCTCCCAAGGGTTGTTAGTTCCCCAATACTTCCAGCCTGCCATGTGCAGGCAGCGTGGCCTTCTGAAGCTTTTGTGAAAGTCTTCTGCAAAGAGATGCCAATGCTGACAGTTGAAAGTTAGCCAAGAAGACAAACTTATAATGCATCATGATTATGTTTTCCTTCTTTTTGTTTCTTTCCTGAAATTAATAACTGCCTTTTAAACTTTCCTTAGTGTTCTTGATACTTATTGCAAATCTTCCCATACCTCCTAATAGTTTCTCAACACAATGTTTTATAAAGTTAATCATATCAGGTAATTTGCCAGCTCTAATTTCTTTTTCTTAGAGCCATCCTTGGAGGCCTCCATTATGCTCTATGGACTGTATGCACTCAAGGTCTTCTACACAGATGACACCCTAGGACAGCTGTGCTGTCATCTCAGGAATATTCTTTGCCTTCTGAGTTGGATTCCTTTGTTTCCTGGTCTGAGTGTTTCTCTTTCTTGGTTGACTTCTGGTTGGACCACATCATTCTGAGTATAATCAGACTCAGTTCAGTGGTAGAGGGTCTGTCTCTTGGGTAATGCTGCTCCCCCTGGGGCTGCGTGCTTCTGTGGTGCTGCTCTTCTAGCATTTCCCTTCCCTAGCACCTGGGAGAGTTCCTTCAGGACTCTATTGTTTTGAAGCTCCTCTGTTTTTTTAAATTTATTTTTTATTATTATTTTTATTCGTGTTTTCCTTTTTCTTGGTTTGTTTCTTCATTTTAATGGAATAAACTTTCCAGTGTCTAAGAAAAGGTGACTGGGAAATAAATTTTTAAAAACCTTGTGTGTCTGAAAATGTCTTTATTTTCCCCTTGAACTGATTGGCTGGATCAAGTTATATGTTGGAAATAATTTACCACTTCAGAATTTTGAAAATCTTTCTTTTCTATCTTCCAGTGTTGCCATTAAGAAATATGAAGCAATTCGGACATCAACACCCTCCTATTTGGCCTGTTGTTGTTGTTTTTAAATCTCTGGAAGCTTATCGAATCTCTTTTTGGCTCTACTATTCTGAAACGTTATCGTGAAATCACTTAGTGTGGGCTGATTTTTGTCCATTGTGCAGTGTGCTCTGTGGGGCAGGCCCTTTCAATCTGTAAACTCTCATGTCCTCATTCCTGGGAAATGTTCCTAAATTATTTTGTTTTATTATTATTATTTGCTACATTTTCTCCATTCTCTTGCTGGTGCTTCTGTTATTCTTTATTTTAATTTTTTAATTTTTTATTTCCCTAAGTTTTGGGGGAACAGGTGATATTTGGTTACATGAGTAAGTTCTTTAGTGGTGATTTGTGAGACTTTGGGGTACCTGTCTCTCCAGCAGTACACACTGAACCCAATTCGTAGTCTTTTATCCCCCACCCGCTTCCCACATGCTTCTGTTATTCTGATAATGAACTTTCTGCCCTGCTTCTCTAGTTGTCGTATATCCTCTCTCTTGCTTTGTATCTCTCTCTTTTATACACTTTTTTTTTCTGAAAAATTTCTTCCACTTTATTCTTTAATTCTTCTATTGAGCTTTTCATTTTGGATAGCATGCTTAAATTTCTAAAACCTTCTTTTGGTTTTCTGAATGTTTATTCTTCTAAAGCATCTTGTCAGTAATATTTCAAAGATGCAATATTTTTCTCTTAACTCTAAATAAACCAGTGATTCCAGTTGTTATCATTGTGTCATATTTTCTTCTCTGTGAACAGTCTCTATTTTTTCAAGTTTTTTTTTTTTTTCTGTTTTGATACTGGCTTTTGTGTTTTGACATTTTTCATGTTCAAGACTTTCCCCAGATGTCTGATCATCCTTGATGGTGTGCTTATTTATTATTTATTTTTTATTTTATTTTATTTTATTTTTGAGATGGAGTCTTGCTCTGTCACCCAAGCTGGAGTGCAATGGCACAATCTCAGCTCACTGCAACCTCTGCCTCCTGGGTTCAAGTGATTCTCCTCCCTCAGCCTCCTGAGTAGCTGAGATTACAGGCATGTGCCACCACACCTGGCCAATTTTTGTATTTTTAGGAGAGACAGGGTTTCACCATGTTGGTCAGGCTGGTCTTGAACTCCTGACATTGTGATCCACCCGCCTCGGCCTCCCAAAGTGCTGGGATTACAGGCGTGAGCCACCGCACCTGGCCGATGGTGTGCTTATTTTTTTAAATTTTTTATTTTTCAGACAAAATCTCCCTCTGTCGCCCAGGCTGGAGTGCAGTGGCACAATCTCGGCTCACTGCAACCCCCACCTCCTGGGTTCAAGCAATTCTCCTGCCTCAGCCTCCTGAATAGCTGGGATTACAGGCCTGCGCCACCATGCCCGGCTAATTTCTTTTTGTATTTTAGTAGAGACAGGGTTTCTCCATGTTGGTCAGGCTTATCTTGAACTCCTGACCTCAGGTGATCCGCTTGCCTTGGCCTCCCAAAGTGCTGGGATTATAGGCATGAGCCACCACGCCTGGCTGGTGTGCTTATTTTCAAGGGTGAGAAACTAAAACTTTGATGGAAGCCCTAAACATAGGAGTAGAGCTTGTTGACATTGAACTTTGTTGACAGGTGAGCTATCTGAGTCTTTTGTAGGGAAACTCCTAAAGCTGGGTTGTGTTTTATCACCTTAGCACTACTACTTCTATTTAAGATTAGGAATTGTCCTTTCCAGAACTCCATTTTCTCTGTGATTAGATTTGGCTAAGAGAAAAACTTGTACAGAATTTGGAAAGCAGAGGTAAAGCAGGAGCCATTACTTTCAGAAGGTCACAGTAATCAGGGAATGTGCCATCTAGATGCAGAGATGCCTAGTAGGCTGTAGCCTCCCCTCCCAACTACTGACCCCACAGGCCAAGAGTGACTCCAAGCCACCAAATGCTTGACTGCAATTTCTACAGAGGCTGTAGCTTCCATGGACCTGCCATAACCTCCTCACCCACTATTCCACTTGGGTGGCCAAACATCCAGTCTTTCTGAACATTTCCCACATACTCCATCCACACCCATGCTTTAAGTTGTTGTAGGTGTTTCCTAGAGCTGCTGTAACAAATGACAACAAATTTAGTGGCTTAAAACAACACAAATTTATTCTCTTACAGTTCTGGAGCTCAGTAGTCTAAAACCGAAGTGTCTCCTGGGAGCTTCAGGAGAGAAATCCACTTCCTTACTTTTTCCAGATTCTAAGGTCACGTCCATTTCTTTGGTCTGGCTCCTTCTTTTATCTTCAAAGTGCATCACTCCAACCTCCAGTTCTGTCTTCACCTCTCCTTTTCTCACTTTCTTCCTCTTGTCTCTGTTTTATAAAGGCTGTTGTGATAACATTGGGTCCACCTAGCTAATCTGGGATTATCTCCCCATCTCAAGATCCTTAACATAATTACACCACCAAAGTCCCTTTTTGCCATGTAAAGCAACATATTCATAAGTTCTGGGGAGCAGGATGTGGATTTCTTTGGGGGTCACTGTTCTGACTGCCACAGTAGGTAATGACTTCCTTGGATCCTCTGAGTCTTCTCTTCCAGATTCCTACTTCCTCAGCTCTTCCCACACTTGTGCAAGCTCTAATTCCTAGAGTAAGCCGCTTACTCCCCTAATACACTTTTAGTGGCTCTGATTTTCTGACTTAACCCTGATAGATACACCCCCAATGTCAATATCTCTATGTATTTCCTCTTTCAGATTTTACCAGAGTTATTCTAGTTTCCAGCCTAGAGGATAAAGACTTGGCTGC
Organism: Homo sapiens; assembly: GCF_000001405.40. NCBI lineage: Eukaryota > Metazoa > Chordata > Mammalia > Primates > Hominidae > Homo > Homo sapiens. Next base: position 156,244,782 of record NC_000003.12, read on the forward strand.
CAAGGGTCTGAGGGCCAAGATAATGAAAATAGTAGAGGGGTCTTTGTTGGTCATATCAATTCATTGACTTTATTTTGCTATTTTCAGTTTGGTTCTACCTCATTTGCCTGCTGTAGGAGTCCCCAGGACAGATATCCTTTGCATTATCGCCTCTAGAGAGCATCGCTCCAACCTCTGGCCACGTACAGAAGAAGGAGCAGAATCTCAAGGTCAGGCAAAGGGGAGAAGCTCTAGGGATTTCACTGTTTCTAAAAGGGTCATTATCAGATTCTGCTTTTATTTACCATCACCTCTTCTTCACTCCATTTCCAGAAGCCTGTTGCTATCAGTTTCCAATGTTTCAGAGATTCTATGGTTAAATAAGGTTGCTTCTCAACTGTCCTTCCTGCCATCTTAGAATTTACCTTCTAGAGTTAGCTAGGAGAGGTATCTCCTAGCGATCTGCTTGATTGCTTCTAAAATTTTTATCGACGTTATCCATTCTTTTTCTTCCTATTTTTACAGGTTTCTATTTTTAAATTAAACATATTATTTTGAGATAATTCTAGATTCACATGCAGTTAAAAGAACGATAATCATTCAGGGAAACCACATACCCTTCCCCTAATCATAACATCTTGCATAACATGGTACAACATTAGAACCAGGAAATTGACATTGATATAATCCACTGGTTTTATTCACATTTCACCAGTTTTACATGCACTCATTTGTGTGTGTGCACGCGTATGTGTATGTGTGCTCATGTGTGTATTTACTTCTATGCAATTTTGTAATGTGAATTATATATGTATATATTTAAGGAAAAATTCCCTTTACTATATAATATTTGAAACATGGAAAATTAGATGCTATATCCCATGTGCCATCTTCTTCTGAAAGCTGAATGACTGGAAACGTAACGAAAAGTATCTTGAACTTGCAAACAAGAGCAGAGCATGGGTAAATTTTATCTTCTTTACAACCTTGCCCATGGACTGTAGGGTCAGCTAACAAGGCTCTTTGTTTAGCTCACTGTGTTCTAAACATTCTGTATCCTTCCTCCCCTTTAAAAAATCAGCCCAGAGAAAGGCATTTAGCAACAGAAAAGAGAATAAACAGACTTTTTAGGATCATGGTGTTGAGTTGTTTCTGTGCCAAGCTTCTTATCCATACAGAATTATAACTGATAGGTTATTTTAATCAATATTGGTAAAAAAAAAAAGACTAACAGCATTTAAAAAGAATCACATTCTCTTCTTGGAGAGAAAAATTATATTTTCTGATTTCTGCAGAGATGAAGAATTAATGAATCAACAGCATGCGTAAATAGAGAGGCGATGGAGATCTGTTTTGTAATATGTAGCGTTCCTGAATCCCCTATAATCATAGCTGGTAGTTGGGCACTCAGATAATTAAATTGCCCCAATAGGTCATTTGCATCAAATTTAATGCAGTCATGGAAAATTCGCAATATATGTTTGTACTCAGAATCAGGTAGTAGGAGTGAGAGCTGTATGAGACTATCAAAACCAAGCAACATCTAGTCTAAAAGTTAACATAGGCCAGGCGCGGTGGCTCACGCCTGTAATCCCAGCACTTTGGGAGGCCGAGGAGGGCAGATCATGAGGTCAGGAGTTTGAGACCAGCCTGCCAACATGGTGAAACCTCGTGTCTACTAGAAATACAAAAATTAGCCGGGTGTGGTGGCGCATGCCTGTAATCCCAGCTACCTGGGAGGCTGAAGCAGGAAAATAGCTTGAACCCGAGAGGCAGAGGTTGCAGTGAGCCAAGATCATGCTACTGCACTCCAGCCTGGGCAACAGAGCAAGACTCTATCTCAAAAAAAAAAAAAGTTAATAAAAAAAAGCAGCAAAAAAAAAAAAAAAACCCAACATTTTATGTTAGTCATTTATATATATTGTGCCATATTACAAAATGTATTTAGGTGAGAGAAAGGGATACTATTTTTTCCTATTCTCTTTTTAGTGGGCTCTTCTGGGAGGTTGTGTTTGTGAGATAACTGTGGTTTCATCTGCTGTATTTGATCAGGAACAGGCAAGGTAGGTGACAAAGGTAGTGAGTGTTTATAAACAAGGGATAACAGGAACTTTTTTTGTGTAAGTGCTCTGTAACCTTTTGCTTCAGTCTATCTGTGGTGCTGATTTAGAGCATGAGAACTATATCATTATAAATTCAGATTGGAAGGAGCTCTTTCAGTTATCTATCAATGCATAAGAAACCATTCCAAAATATGTTGGCTTAAAACAACCATTTATTCTTGCTCATGAATGTATGATTGACTGGGAAAAAAAAACTAGTGATGTTGGCCAGGTCAGACTGATCTTGGCTGCACTCAGCCATGCATCTGCAGTCAGTTGGCAGACTGTCTGCCGACTGGCTGGTATAGAAAGGCTGTCTTCCTCGTGGTTGCTTAGTCTCCAGAAAGCTAGCCTGAGCTCATTCATATGGTGGTTGCAGGGGTCTGAGATAGCAATGGAACTATGCAAAGCCTTATGAAGACTAGGATAGCAATTGGTACACAGTCACTTCTGCAGCATTCTACTGGACAAAATAAATCACAATGCTAATTCGTGTTCAAAGCTGATCACAATGGCTAAAAGAAAAATGCTAACAAAATTACCCAACCAATATGTTCACTTGGTTTTTTTTTGTACCTGGTAAGAGATTTTTCTCTTATATTCTTGTGCAACTCTTACTCATCCTTCAAGTCTCAGTTCATGCACCGCCTCCTCTGGGAATCTGGCCTGTCCTTTCTTCCAGCAGACTGAACCACAGTATTTTTTTGCGGGGGAGAGGAAGATAGTGTCTTACTTTGTCTCCCAGGCTGGAGTGCAGTGGCATGATCATGGCTCATTGCAGCCTTGACCTCCTGGGTTCAGGTGATCCTCCCACCTCAGCCTCCCAGATAGCTAGGACTACAGGCATGAACCACCATGCCCCACTAATTTTTTGTATTTTTTTAGTAGAGACAGGGTTCGCCATGTTGCCCAGGCTGGCCTTGAACTCCTGGGATCAAGTGATCTGCCCACCTCCGCCTCCCAAAGTGCTGAGATTACAGGCAGGAGCCATGGTGTCCAGTCTAGGACAGTCTTTTTTTTTGTGTCACCAGCAACTGTGTTTCTATTGTCTGTTTACAGTTCTCAATTCCTTGAGGGCAGGAATCAACTCATATAACCGTTTCTATATCTCCAGTTCCTAGCACAGTGCTTGGCTCAACAAATATCTTCTGAATAAGTGAGATGATGGCCATTTCTCCAGTTCTTTTATCTCCCCAGTTCATATTCTCTTGATGCTGTCACCTTGAGAAGACTTTGTCCCTCCTGTTAATTTCTCTTCCTTAAAGCCTTAACAAATTGCACTATTTGTTAAGTTGTAATCAATGCACCAATGAAACTATATTCCATATTTTGCAGCTAGAGTTTTGAGCTTTTGTGATGTTTACTAATTGCAATGTAGCATTGTTGCTTTAACTGTTCTGTTTTGGGGTGGCTTCCTTTTATATCCTTTTTTTGGTACAGTTGCAAGTGCCTAGGTTCCTAGCATTTACAAACACAGAAATGTTTATGGTCAAATGTTCAAAACTCCCCGGTAGTTCTGTAAGACATAGCTCTTAAAGTGCTTTTCTTTAACTGGCAATTTGATGCCATGGGAAGTTGTTACATAGTTGTGGAGGCCTGTAATGAGATTTTTTTTTTTTTTTTTTTTTTTGGTAACAGACCCCTCTGTTTCTGAGCATTTACCTCTTATTTCATGTTATTGCTTACAGATGTAAGTACTATAGAATGAATGCCATTAGTTAAGACTCTCTGGGGTTGAGAAGAGAGATAATACCTAATTCAATATAATCTCATTGCATATAAATGACAATGGAGGCCCATGGAGGCAAAGTAACATATCCGAAGTCACATGTTGACTTTACGGTTTTAGAAACAGGATTTGTACAGTTAGAATAGTTCAGAAACATGGTAGACAAGCTTGCTGCCCAGCAAGATAGTATTTTCCCCCTGGTTAAGCCAGGTGAAGCTCCACGTGATATGAGCCCTTTCTTAACAGAGATTCCTCTTTGAAAATGCACCATTTACCTTCCAGGTGGCCGAGTGTAGAGGGCAGTACCTCTTTGGCTGGACTAGGAGTCCATGTGCCTATGTTTGGTCCACTTGGGTTAGAATTATCTGGCTAAATGCAGATTACTGGGCACTAAGACCTCTTGAAGTCTTGGAGATTTCGATAGAAATCTGGTTGTGTTTTTTTTTTTAATTTTTTAATTTTTTTATTTTTTAGCAAGTACTCAGTTGATTCTGATGCACCTGGAAGTCAGAATAAGAGAATATAATATAATGTTAGGCAATGAAAAGTGCTATGGAGAAAAATAAATTAATTTGAGGGATGATACTATTTGGATGGATTAGTTAGTGGGAATGACTTTGACCAGAGACCTGGAAAGAAGTAGCTGACCATGAAAATATCTATGGGAAGGGGGAACAAGAGTAAACACAGGCTGGGCGCAGTGGCTCATGCCTGTAATCCCAGCACTTTGGGAGGCCGAGGCAGATGGATCACCTGAGGTCAGGAGTTCGAGATCAGCCTGGCCAGCCTGGCCAACCTGGCGTAACCCTGTCTCTACTAAAAATACAAAAATTAGCCAGGCATGATGGTGCGTGCCTGTAACCCTAGATACTAGGGAGGCTGAGGTAGGAGAATCACTTGAACCCAGAAGGCAGAGGTTGCAGTTGTGCCACTGCATTTCAGCCTGGGTGACAGAGCAAGACTCTGTCTAAAAAAAAAAGAAAAAAAAGAAAAAAAAAGAAAAAAAAGTAAATGCAGAGGACCTGACCAGAAATGAGCTTTGCAGTTTCAAGGAGGAGAACGGCTTTACTATAAACCACCCAGTTGCCTATCAATCTTAGAATAAAATCCAGTCTCCTTTCCATGCTCTATAAGACCTTATACAATCTGATCATTGTCAAGGACTAGTCACATGGCCACATGTGCTAGTGGGGCCAGAAAGAGTTGTTGGAAAATGTAGTCTCTAGCTCAGCAGGCTTCTGTCAACACAGGCTCCACACTATGGAAAGGGGAGCACAAACCTTTGGGGATATCTTCTTCAGTAAGACCTTAGCAAGATGAGCCAAAAACTGACCACTGGATTTGGCAAAATGAAGATCATTAATGATTTGACAAAAGCTGTTTGAATGGAGTCAGGGGAAACTGATTGGAGTGATTGGTAACTTTTAGAGACTTCCTATTATATATGAGTGAATAGCATGTTGGCTAGAAGGATGCGGGCTCTGGGAGATCTTTTTCTAAATTGGAGGTTTTATAGCATCTTTGAAAGCTATTAGGATTGATCAAGCTTGGAGGGAGAAATTGACATTGTAGGAGACAGGAAAGAACAAACATTTTGAGAAGGGAAGAGCAGAAGGAATCCAATGCACCAAGGGAGTTGTTGGCCCTAGAAAGCATCAGGGACAGTCCATCCTTTCTAACAAGGGAGGGCAAGTCCAGAGGGCTTATAAGGGGAGGAGTCATGATCCTAGTCAATTCTTCTTCAAAGCCTGTTTTACAAATTTGCCCAAGGCCAGCTGTGTTCAGGAAAAAGGGATTTCATTATTTTTCTCCTCCTCCTCCTATCCCTTCTCTTCCCATTGTGTGCCATATGGTCCTTTGCTCTCAGAACCCGTAGTTCTAGCTAATACCATGTATTCATTCAGCAAGCTTTTTGTGCACCCACTCCAAAAAATGTGATGTCCCCAAATGTATGGTGTAGCATCTGGGTTACGGCTTCTTACCATCAGTGAGAAGACATTCTCTTTTTTTACCCTTGATAGAGTAGTTATCAGAGTTCCTGGGAGAGCTGATGATTTTGACTAGCTGGCTACATTCCTGGGTCTGAGCCTAGAAGGGGTGTCCTCTCTGATGATTGGGTGGCCTCAGGAGATGATGTGGAAAGGGGATTTGCCCTGTCAGCTAGATGAGCTAAAACACCCCAGAGATAAAAGAGTGACAAAGGTCATAGTCAGATCTCTCTCAATGCCCAGGCTATCATCAGGTTAATGCTTTTATGTCATTTAACCAGAATATTCCTTTAAAGACTGGTTATCTTGCTAGACATTGGCAATTGATTTTATGAATGTGGGAGGGAGCATTCTTTTTAATATTTTTTTCTTTTATCTGCCCAGGATTTTCTTAAGTCAACTTTATTTCGTACCATTCTTTGATGCATAACTAAGAAGCTGGAAGGTACCCAGAGGGGAATTTTTATGAAAAATAGAAACTCAAATAGGATACCCAGCTCATTGAAGAGTTTGAGTTACTGATGAATAACTTAGTATGTACCAAGTAAAAACCTGATGCTAGAAGACATGGCCAGCAAAGAGAATACTTGAGTATGCTTGCAAATATACAATTAAGTAGGCTTGTGTGAGATGGAGGCTTTAAGTAATTCCTGTGGTAAAATATGTTGTGAGTTTCACACAAGGGGCTTTAAACCAAAGTCCTGAAATACAAATCACTTGAGAGTAAGTATGCTTGATTGTCTAATTGTCCTTATTACCAATATGTAAGATTATTAACAGAAATATATGAAGGATTCAGGGTAGGGTGAAAGGATAATGAGGAAAGGACGACAACACCAGGGCTAAGGTTGGTACAGACAAATATATGACAAGTGCTGAGAGTACTGAAACTATATGGAATATCTGGGTATATATTATATGGCCAGCAGACACACGGAAACATATTTACCCCTGGAGAGAGTAACTGTCAGGGCTCCCAGGACAGCTGATGGCATTTGCTCATTTGGTCACATTCCTGGGTCTGGGCTTGGGAGGAGGGGTATCCTTTTTCTTGAATGGGCGGGCTCAAGGGATGATGTAGAAAGGAGATTCCCACTCATTCATTCGGTAGCTTTATACTGACTGAAAAATTTAATTGTGTGTTCTAAAATACAAAGGTACAGCCAAAGAACAAGAGGAATCCCAGAATTTTCATAGGTATGCTCCTCGAGATGTTCTGTGCAATTGAAATTTAGGCTGCTAACTATATTTTAAACCTGTCTATAAAGATTTATAGTTTTCCTGATCTAATTAGATTGTAGGTCAAATGCTGCTGAATATCTGTCAAAGCTATGTCAGAGATCAAGTGCCTATAATTTTCAAGAAGTGACTGAGAAAGAAACTGTTACTTCCAGTCATGACTGCTGCATGTTCCTCTGTTCTCGCCCAGTCTGGTGACAGTTCTAGTTTCCTCCTGCTGATGAGTTGGGCCTTTTTCCTGGACTGTGATGACCCCCAGGAAATGGAGAGGTGTCTTACATGATGGGCATGGCAAGTGAGAAGCACCTGGCTCCCCCTGACGGAGGGCATCACTGGGCCATACAGACATTGGGATATTGCCTTGGCATCTCTGATGCAGGAAACATGTGCTCAGGCACTAAACAGCACACATGTGAATCTGTTCCCTGGCACACGCTTAATGTCATTCGTAGTAGAACCAAATCACTCAGCTGAAAGTGGTGGCTTTTCTTTTATCTCTTATTGCTATTTTTCCCCCTGTTTGCTGGCTGAGAGGAAAGTAGAGCAATACTGTGTACATTTGATAAACCAACACTTTTATTCTTTTATTGTTTTTTCTTTTGGTGTTTCTAATTCTGCCTGAATCTACAGGAGAAAGGCACAGCTAATGGATTTGTTTTTGACAGCACTCTATTTCAAGAAGCTGATATCCTTTGGTTGAAATAAAGTATTAATATGGTATGCAATATATTTTATCTTCCTTCAATATATGAAGTTTCTGAGGCTGTCTTCAAAGTTGCAAGTTCCCTAGAATTGGCACATAGATTAGAAGTGACTGATGGCTCACTTTAAATATATAGGAAGAAATACCCACAGTGATAAGGTGACTGTGGGAAGCTGAGTGCCCAAGATGCATTACTTGTAACACTCCTCATCCTAATCCCCAAAGCACTCAGGACAGGCTTTCTTCTCAGTGCAGGAGCTTACACGGGGACTTATGGCAGAAGAGAGTCAGCAGCTTTCCAACGCGCATTGTCTTAAAAACTTTCATATCCAGCCTACTGGGCTGTGTGAACAAGAAAGCTCACTCATCAGCAATTTCACCTCTGAATTCTTTCAAATGACCTTAGGCATTCTTTCCTAACATAACCTGTAGTTAAACTCCAAAGTAATGAGATTTAAAATTAGGCTTAGAGAAAAGATTGTCTTGTGAGGAGCAGCAAAGAAAAGACCAAATTAACCTATTATTGAATGGTTGAGTATTCTCATGGAGCAGTAATATTTGGCCCAATTCATAGCATAATTTTAACTAAATCCGTGGGTGTCATGGCATATACATAGAAGATACATAAAAGGTAGGTTGCTGCACCAGGCCTGTGTTTAAGAAGACTGCCTTAATTCAATTTAAAGAAATAGTTTAAGAGTAGCAGTTGTTTTGTTTTCTTTGTTTTGTTTCACCATGTCATCTCAGAAAATGGAAGTACTTCCTCTCAAGACACTGAACAGGAGTGAGATACGTGGCTGAAACAAAGGCTTTCACATCCCCTCCCCACAAGGTCCTTTGGGCTCCAGGGCTGATGAGCCATTGGCCATTTCTAGTGTTAGCTCTGCCTCAGTTCTATTCCTGGGCCTGTTAGGAGCAGCAGGGCTGAGTGCTATTAATCAGGTAAGCAAGAAGCCAGAATCAACACAGACCACAAAAGATTACCATTTTGTGAAGACAAGATTCAGTGGATTCCAACCCAGAAGATTCTGATGGTTGCCATTCATCAGCCATACACCTACTCTTTTCCTTGCTAACAGAACACTGATTTTATTCCCTTTCTTCTAAGCAGCCATGTGTTTGAGGGGAGGCTCAGCTTCTTCCCTGAACCTAAGAGTGAAACTTGCTTTGTCTAAACCACATTGTTAATGTGTGGGCTGGCAGTGTCAACATCAACCTGGAAACCTGTTAAAAATGCAGATTCTTAGGTCCCATCCCAGACTGCTGAATCAGAAATTCCAGGGAAGAGGACCAGGCGTCTGTTTTAACAAGTCTTCTGTGTGATTCTGATGCCAGCTGAAGTTTGAGAACCATCGGTCTAAACCAAACATGGAGGCCATGCCCCCAGCGATGTGATGGCTTTAAGTGGGGGTATATGATGCATTTCTGGTTGATGAGATGTGAGGGGAAGCTGAGGCTTCTTAAAAGAGACAGAAGACAGGTATGTTCCTCTTTTCCCTTGCTTCTGGAGGTTGATGTGTAAGGACACAATGCCCTCTGCAACCAGAGAGCTTATGATTTTTACAACCAGAGAACTTACGATTTTTATGAACAAGAGGTATTAGTAAAGAGGTTTGACAAAGAGTTATGTCTTTGAAATGATAAAATGTTAAAAATAAAAAGAGAGCAGAGGTTAGATGTAGTTTATGTGAATAATTTATTTGGAATATTCTGGCTAAGTGAGATCTTGTTTAGCTACCTGCCCTCTGCAGGTATGCCTCAATTGGCCCAGAACCTCACTCATGGGATGTCACCTTGAGGTCAGGCACTGGCCACAGGAATGGGGCCATCCACTCTGTGCAGATCCCTTGCCAAACACTCTGTCTCTCACAGGAGCATTTTCCCAGGATGGTGAGGAATGGTTAGGCTTATATGTCACTCAGCTCACCCATGCTAAGACAAAGAGGGCCCCCAGAGTTGGGTTTGTAGCTGCCCAATGGCCACTGCTCAGACCAAGAGCAGTGTTTGCAGAGCTCAGCTATTTCTCATCAAGGATTATTTGCAGTTCTTTCCAGGCTTATGAGAAGTCTCATTGTGAACTCTGCAGAAGGGAGTCACAATATTTGATATTTAGTTACAAAGGCTCACAGTAGAAAATGTGACCTTTCGTTCTGTTTTATTTTCTTAACTGAGCCCTAAAGCACAAGAAGTGTTGGTTGCTGAGAGTTAGGCTAGGGACTTTGACTTCCTATCCATCTAAGTTAGAGTTAACTTTGTAATGGTTGGTCCGATTTCATACAACCTCCTTTCCATCCTCCAGTCTTCTGTAACATCAAAATCTCAAAGCATTTCCTGATTTGGCCTTTGGGCTTAGGTAATATACCGTATAAAGCAGGCAGACTGATTTTGTTTCTTTTCATTTTTAATACCAATTGCCCAGATAAAAAGGAAACTTCAGTGAATTTTATTGCAACAGCAGAATGTGGAGATTAATTAGCAGGCTCCCTCTCTTTTCCCTGCCGAGTTGACTATGTGGGTGACACGTGGGCTCCCTCTCTCCACTCTCACTGATTTAGGGAGCATTCAGCCCATTAGTTGGAGGGCCTTTCAGCAACACGGCCTATCTGTCCCAGTGTGACTATTTATAGGCTACTTTGTTCCAACAAACCGCTTTCATTCTAGCTCCTTCATCTGAAATTGTTGGTAGTGAACTATTTCCATTATCCAAGAGGGTGCTATGAGCCGGATCTTATTTTCAATTTGAGGTCATTAATATCATTAGGTTGAAGTGATTTAATGTGGCACAGTAGGGATGAATGCACTACAGATGTTACTGTCATGGAAGCAAATTGGGCACAGACTCAAGGCGTAAGATAGAACTGCTGTAGACTGTGGTGTTCAAAATAATGCATGTAACATTTATTCCAAACCAGATGTGGCCCCAGTCAGAGTCCCTGCTGTTTCCTGAATTGAGTTTAGTAAGCTGGCATTAAGGTTTTTCCTGCTTTGACCCGAGCCTCTCTCCTGCTCCATCTTCCTCTTACACTCTCTTTTACCACTCCCTCGGAATGCCCCACACTGCCTGCTGTGGTCTGCATTTGCCCAGTACTTCATGTATCCATGTCTCTGTTCATGCCCTACCCTGACTTGAAATGTCCTTGTTTTATCTGTCTAACAATGGGCTCATGTGTCCTCCGACAATATTCTACTCACTTTTCAAGGTCCAGAGTAAATATCACCTCCTCCATGCAGCCTTCTCTGGTTTCCTCTCACTCAGAATGAATCTCTCCTTGGCACCCACACAAACTCGCCAAGCAGATTACCTGCACTTCTTTTAGCATGTATGTCATTTTGCCCTATATTGTGGTTAGCTGTTTTTATGTCTGTCTTTCTCATGTGACTGTGTAAGCTGCTTAAGGGGAAAATGGGTCTTATTTATTTTGAAATGTTTCTTCTGTTCCTAGCACCTGGAGCAGCGCCCAGAGTGCGGTAGGTGTTCAGTAAATATATGCTTAATAAATGGAAGACTATTATGATTTTTCTTCCACATTAGATTCTCCCTAGAAAAAGGCAGAAAAAAAGCAGCCATAGTTTGACTGCAGAGTTTGAATAATTTCAGAGAAATTGTTTGTTTCTTTAGGTTTTTTGTGGATTAATTTTAAATTAACAAATGAAAAAGTGTTATGTTTTCAGCACCTAATTGTATTCCTGATTTAATCTTAAATATAAGACAATGCTCCCAGAAATCTGGCCTTTCTCTTCTATAATATTTTTTTCACTTCTTTTCAAACACAATGTTGTTCCACATTTTGATTAAAAAGAAATATATTTGACTGAAAGAATGGCACTATCCCGTTCAGCTATCTCTTAGGAAACGCCTGAAGGATGATGTGGCCCAGCATTTATGGCTGATGCCACTTTACACAGAACACTCAGGACTGCCCTCCCTCCCCAGGGTCACTGTGCAGTGCTTTTAATGGAGGAGGTGGTTTCCTATTTCATGATATCCTCAGGCAGGACAGCTTAGCCCCACCAATGTGAGTGGATGCTCACTGTCTCCTCAGGCATCGTCTTCTGTTTTATGCTAAAAGCAGCGTTGAATCAGCCCATTCCACTGAAGACTTACCAGTGGGCCACTAGATTTTGAGATATTTTTGCCCACTTGAGAGAAAATGTAGCTTAAGTATTTTTTTTACCCCATGTGTGCTGAATATTTTTAATTTACTCCTCCAGATATACTTCCTACCATTTTTCTACTCTGCTTTGTGCCCCAGGAGGCTGTCCTGTGCTTCTTTGGTCTCTGGCTTCTAGTTGGGTTCAGCCCATTGGCAGGAGATTGGAGGAAGGTAGGGAGGGAGTTGGGTATTTATTCTCTGAGCTTCTTCCTGTGGGCTGGCTATGTCCCTCCATTGAAGGTTACAGTTTCTGTGGTGGCCCCGGCCACAGAGCTCTCTATGTGTCTGGGTTCTGGTGACCACTCCTTCCAATTGCCCCTTTAGGCTGAGAGGTGGTAACAGACCCAGCCATTACTAGGCCTCAGCTATCTCATGTTTTAGGGATACTTTTACTTCCCTTCAGGGACATTCCCATTATACCTTGTCAATAGTCTTTGTGTTAAACTTTCCTCATGACCCATGAGTGTACCATCATTTTCCTGCCAGGACTTGATTGAATCACAGTGTCATATCAGACACACCTGGAGTGTCCTAGATTTGGTTTTGTTTTTAAATCTCCTTCTCCTTGTGAAAAACTTGTGCTCCAGACTTTAGTGAGACAAGAATTGGGTAGTAAGTGAGGAAAGGAACAAAATTCATGGGGCTTTCTGCTTAGCAACTTCCTTTATCAATTCTTCTGGGAAGCATCTCAATGTTAATAAAAACCCAAACAAAATTTCTCCTTTAAAAAGAGAATTTTATAATAAAAAGGAACTGGAGAACCTGAAAATGGGAAAGAACCTTGGAAATTGTCTGGGGAGGGATCCGGGGTGCTTTGCCTGTTCTATGTCCAGAGCCCTACTCTGAGGACAGCTTCTACCCTACAATATCTTTACACAATAAAGAAGTTTGAAGCAGGTTCCTTTTGATAGATCTAAAACTTTTACTAGTCATCATGGAGCACTTTCACTATAGGGAGCACACTTTTCTTTATAATGTATCCCCATGATCACAGGGAGTTGGATTCAGGATTGATGCCTTACACAAAGACTGCCTTCCATCCATGGTGGCTGCTTATGAGAGTCATAGTTTACTGGGGGATATCACATGGATGGTGACTGGCTGGTGCAGTCTCAGAAAGGACCTGTCAATCCTTTCTCTTGGGGAATTTGAATAGGAGTTGTACAGTTATTAAGCCTGTAGACCTGGGAGCAGCGGAAGAAGGGACCAAGTAGCTGAATCACTGTGACAGAATAACAACAGAATAGGAAAGAGAAGACATTATCTATGGAGGGAGACCACCAGAAGCAGTCTGCTACAGCATACATCCTTAATGACTTTCCAACTTATTCTCAAGCAGGTCCTTTCCTTGCAATAACCCTAGGCAGCATTAGGCTTAACTAACTTCAAGTACAGAAGAAAGAGAGTCTCTCTTTTCTAATAAAATTCCCAGGATTGAGTCTTTTTGGACTGGTTAGAGTCACATGACCAACCCTGAGCTAATCACTGTGACTTGGGAAATGGAACACTCTCATTGATGGAGCTGGGTCACATATACACACCCAGAGCCTGGGAGGAGCGTCTATCTTACCTGAACAATGGAATGCTATTTTCAGAAGAAAGGAGAAGCCTGGACAGGCCAAAAGAACAGACTGGGTCATTTTAGCACATTTCAGTTTCTTACTACCTGAAAGATCCTGCCTAACATAACTACCATTCAGAAAAGCAAATCCTCTTTTTTCTATCATGTACTGTCATCTAGTCCTATGGGCACAATTTGAATACTTTCAGGGACAGCTTACTAAACCTCCAGGTGGGCTGCCTGATATGCTGTTGAACAGCCCACACCGTAGCAAGTCCCTCATTCATATGCATCCACCTGCCTGCTGCCAATTCTCCTTGGTCCTGTTCTGTCCTATGCAACAACACTCCCAAATGTCCTCCCTCCTCCACATGACAGCCTTTTGAATTTTATGACAGTTAAGAATTAAGAATGATTACAGGGAAATTAAAATCGGGCAATCATTTGCTGGAAAGAACATATTTTTCTCATTTACCTACATGCAACGTTAAATAACTCACTCCTACTCAATTAAAAGCCCCAAGCCAAAAACATTAGGACTCCAAGTGCTCTCTCTCCCCTTCCCCCACATGGAAGATTTTATAACAGACAACTATATTGCTATAAATAATGTGCCTTGCTGTTGAGTGAGCCAGCACTGGGCCTAAATAATGACTTTAGCTGTAGAATGGCAAATCCCCCTCTGCATGCAGAACATAACAGACAATCCAGTCTGATGAGCAGGGAAATGGAACGATTCGGCTTCCAATTGGTCTTTGTTTAATGTTGTCTCTCTTTCAAATGTCACTTAAAGTGTCACAAATTGACTAATTGATCTGTAAATGAACCTAGCAACATTTAGAGTTTAAACCTTTGAACACCTTTGGGATCTAGTGACTCAATGCTGTAGAAGCAAACCATTTCAACACCCTGGCAGCTAGGAGTTTTGCCTGAGGTTAATGAGAAGATTCCAGTGGTAAGAAGACAGTGGCCCAGCCATTATCTCTGGGCACCTTGTTCTCTGCCCTGACCCCCTTAAGGGGTCCTGACTCTCAAGGAGACTTCCTAATCTGATAAAGTGAGATTCCTTTCAACTCAGAAGAGTTGACTATTAATTAGGGATATAAAATGTTCTTTCTATCAAGTCAACCTGGGAAGCCTGAGATCAAAAGTCACATCACTAACCCTCAGCTCACTGGGAGCTTTCCACACCCTGCAAATGTCTGCCAGCGGGCAGCAAAAGGAGATATTTCTTTTTGTTTTGGACTGTCCTCATGTTGTCTAAAGCTCTTAGTTCTGCTAAGGGCTGGGAGAAACAAACACTCCTGAACTTGCTGTTTCAAGGTAACCCATCCATTACCGAAACAGGAGCGTTGCTAGTTTAAAGTTCCAAGTCCCTAACATAGCTGACTTTTATGCCATTGCCTAGGTTTTGTTGCTTTCCTCTGAGTTGTTCCTTGCCCATCTGGACCTGTGTGTCCTAAAGCTGTCCTGCCTTGTCTTTGGGACACTCTGCTGTGCCCAGTATCTTTAACTAAAAACCTTGCACTGCTCAGTATCAGCTCTCGCTCTGTGACCTCCATGATGCTCTGGAGGTCCTGTTTATGCCTTGACTGCTTTGTCGCCCCATCCCACAATGTGGGCAACTCGGTGAGGCTGCCTCTGCAGCCATTCTCCACTATTGCTGCTCTGCCATCTCTGCGTGCCATCCAGACCCAGTGTTATGCCCAACGGGGAACGTTTCTGGATGCCCCTGGACTCTCCCTCACCCTTGTTAGGGATGTCTAGTATCTCAGCCTTGTAATGCAGGATACTCAGACTTTTCTCAAGAACCCCCCAGCAACTAAACGCATTGTTCTTTCTGATCCTGCCTTGAAACTTCTGTCTAGGACTTCCCAGACCTCTGACCTCTTTCTACAGCAGCTTGTAATGAAGTCTGCATTCAGACCTCCAACCTTTGCTTCTGACGTGTAAAGGAAATCTGGGGCCTTTAAAAAAATAAACCTTCTCTCTTAGCAAACCATGTTCTGTTGTGTTTTTTAAAAACAGTTTTATTAAGGTATAATTTATATACCATAAAATTCACTCAAAATAAATGTACAATTCAGTGATTTTAGTAAACTTATGGAATTGTGAAACAATAAACAAAATCAGTTTTATGATATTCTCCTATCCTCAAAAAGTTCGCTCATTCCTGTTTGCAGTTAATCCCTGTTCCCACTCCCAGCCCCAGCAACCACTAATCTGTTTTCTGTCTCTATAAATGTGCTATTTCTAGACATGTCATAAAAATAGAATTATAAAATATATAGTCTTTTTTTGTCTAGCTCCTTTCACTTAGCATAATGTTTCTGAGGATGATTCATGTAGTTGCATGTATCAGCAGTTCATTCCTTTTAATCCTGAATAGAGTTCCATAAATACAACACATTTTGCTTTTCCATTTGCCATTTGATGGACTTTGGATAATTTCCTGGTTTGGTTATTATAAATGTTGTTGTGACATTCATGTATATGTCTTTATGTGGACACACATTTTCATATCTAGAAGTGCAGTTACTTGGTTGAATGATATACTTGTATTTAAGTGTTTAAGGACTTGCCAAACTACTTTTCCTAGTGGCTGTACCACTTTACATTCTCACCAGGAAGCATGAAAGTTCCAGTTTCTCCACATTTTCACTAATTCCTCGTACTAAAAAAAAATTATTATAGCCATTCTAGTAAGTGTATAGAGGTGTCTCATTGTGGTTTTCATTTGCATTTCCTTAATGACTAATGAGGTTGAAAATCTTTTCATGTACTCATTGGCCATTCACTTATTCTCTTTGGTAAAATGTCTACTAAAATCTTTCATCCAGTTTTTTTAGTTGGGTTACATATCTTCTTTCTATTGAGTTATTAGTATTCTCCATGCATTCTGAATACAGGTCCTTTATCAAGCATAGGATTTGAAACTATGGCTTGTCTTTTCATTTACTTAATGATATCTTAAGTAATTGTTTTACTTAAAGTAAAATAATTTTTATTTTTAGGAAGTTCAATTAACCTTTTTTTCTTTTATATATTTTCTTTTATTGGTGTCATAGCTTTGCCAAAGCCAAGATCATAAAGAATTCTCCTGTGTTTCCTTCTAGATGATTTAGAGTTTTAACTCTTAACTTTAGGTC
The DNA here is from genome assembly GCF_000001405.40 of Homo sapiens. Taxonomy (NCBI): domain Eukaryota; kingdom Metazoa; phylum Chordata; class Mammalia; order Primates; family Hominidae; genus Homo; species Homo sapiens. The sequence goes on from NC_000003.12 coordinate 156,261,386, forward strand.
TGTGATCCATTTTGAGTTTATTTTTGTGTGCAGTTTGAGGGAAGGGCCTAAGTAATTTTTTTCTCACATATGGATATCCAATTGTCCTAGCACTATTTTTTGAAACGATTATGCTTTCTCAATTGAATTGTCTTGGCATCATTGTCAAAAGTTAAGGTTATAGTCCATAAATGTAAGAAATTATTACTAAGTCTCAGTTCTCTCCTATTAATCTATATACTTATCCTTTGCCAATACCACACTCTGTTGGTGACTATAGCTTTGGAGTAAGTTTTAAAATTAGATCATGTAAGTTCTCTTTGTTCTTCTTCAAATTGTTTTGGCTATTTAAGTTCCTTGCATTTCCATACACATTTTCAAATCAGCTTGTTAATTTTTACAAAAGCAGTTGCTGGGATTTTGATAGGGATTGTATTGAATTTCTAGATCAATTTGGGGAGAATTTGCCATCTTGACAATATTGACTATGCCAGTTCAGGAATATGAACATTATTTAGATCTTTAATTGCTCAGTAACGTTTTGTAGTAATCAGTATGCAAAATTTGTACTTCTTTTTAAAAATTTATTTCTTTGTATTTGATTCATTTTGATGTTTTTATGACAAAAATCTTTCTTAATTTTGTTTTTGGCTGTTCATTGCTAGTATATAGAAATATTGATCTTATATTCTGTGATCTTGTTAAATTCATTTATTCTAGTAGTTTTTTTGATGAATACCTTGAGACTTTCTACATAACAGATTATGTCATCTATGAATAAAAACAGTTTTACTTCTCCCTTTCAAGTCTGGGCATCTTTAATTTCCTTTTATTTATTTTTTATTGCATTAGCTAAAACATCCTTTACAGTGTTGAAAAGAAGTGGCAAAGTGGCATTGTTCCCTGTCTTAGGGGAAAAACATTTAGTCTTTTTTACCATTTAGTATGATGTGAGCTGTGGATTTTTCATGGAGACACTCTTTCAGGTTAAGGAAGTTCTCCTCTAGTTTTTGCTTGGGAAAGTTTTATCATGAATAGGTGTTAGATTTTGATAAGTGTTTTTTTCTTCATCTATTGAGCTGATTATGCATTCTTTTCCTCTTATTCTATTAATCTGGCACCTTACACTAACTGTATTTTGGGTGTAAAACCAAACTACAGACCACTTAGTTATGGCCTATAATCCTTTTACAAGTCGCTGGATTTGATTTGCTCATATTTTGTTAAGGATTTTTACATTTATGTTCATGAGTGATATCAATCTGTAGTTTCTTCTTTTTTGGTATCTTTGTGTTGTTTTGGTATCAAAATAATACCTTAAAGAAGAGGTGAGAATTGTTCCTTCTTCTGTTTTCCAAAAGAGTTTGTAAAGGATTGTTACTATATTGTCTTAAAATATTTAAGAAAACTCACTGGTGAATTCTGAGCCTGGGCTTTTCTTTGTGGAAATATTTAAAATTAAGACTCAATTTCTTCACTTGTTATAGATCTATTTAGATTTTCTCTTCTTGAGTCAGTTTTGGTAATTTGTGTTGTTTTAGGTATTCATTTCATCTAAGTTGTCTATTTTTTGTTGTGAAGTTGTTCATATTTTCTTATATATTTTTTAATTCTGTAGGGTCAGAAGTTATATCCCCCTTTTAATTTCTGATTTGGGTAATTTGTTTTCAGTCAGTCTAGCTAAGTTTTGTTAACTGTGTTGGTAATTCATAAAACCAACTTTTGATTTTATGGATTTTATCTTATTTTCCCATTTCATTGATTTCTACTCTAATCTTCATTAATTCTTTTCTTTTACTTGGATTTTGTTTACTTTTCACTTTCTTTTTTAGTTTCTTAAGGTGACAGCTTAAGGTGACAGCTTAGGTTATTGATTTGATACTTTCTGATATAGGTGTTTAAAGCTCTCAGTTTTCCTCAGAATGCTGCCTTAGCTGCTTCCCATAAATTATTAAAATTTTATTTTCATTCAGTTCAAAATATTTTTAAATTTCCTCTGTTATTTCTTTGTTGAACCAATGGTTTATTTAGAATAGTCCTATTTAATTTCCAAATGTTTGAAAATTTCCTAGTTTATTCTCTGGTTTAGATTTCTAACTTAATTTCATTGTGTTTGAAGAATATATTTTTATAGCATGAACCCTTTTAATATAGTAAGACTTGTTTTCTGGCCTAGCATATGGTCCATCTTGGAGAATATTTCATATATAATTGAAAAGAATGTGTGTTCTGCAGTCATTGGGTATGGAGCTCTATTAAGTTTTCCTTCAGAATCCACCAGGGATTGTTTTAGGATCTCCTGGTGCTCATATCACTTATATAAATTAGTGTAGTATTTGCATACATCTTATGCATGTCCTCCCATATACTTTAAATCATCTTTAGATTACTTATAATACCTAATACAATGTAAATGATATGTAAATAGTTGCATTGTATTTTTATTGTTGACTTGCTATTTTTAATTGTTGATTTTTTCAAATATTTTCAATCCACAGTTGGTTGAATCTGCAGATAGGGAGGGCCAATTGCATATTGCTACTCACATAGAGTTGATTGACAGTATTGCTCAAGTCTTCAATATTCTTGCAATTTTGCAGGGGAGGATCTGGTTGTTCTATCAGTTACTGAGAGTGAGGCATTAAAATCGCCAAGAAGAAGTGTTGAATTGTCTATTTTTCCTTTCAAGTCTATTGTTTTTGTGGTATTTTGGTGCTCTGTCTATAAGTCCATATATACATTTATAATTGTCATATTTTACTAATGTACTGGCAGTTCTATTTTTATAAAATGTCCTTATCTTTGATAACATTTTTTATCTTAAAATTTGTTTTGTTTGACAGTAATATAGTTATTGCAGCTCTCTTATGTTTGCATGGTCTATCTTTTTACAATATTTTTTTCAACTTATATTTTTCGTTGAATCTAAGGTGTGTCTCTTATACACAGCATATAGTTGGATCTTGATTTTTCATGACAATCTTTGTCTTTTCATTTAGACTATGAAGGTTTAATGCATTTATTGATATGATTTAATTTACGTTTACTGTGTTGCTATTTATTTTATAAATGTCTTCTTTCTTTTTTGTCACTCTGTTCCTCTTTGATTCTTTTGTGTTAAATACATATTTTAATTAGCTTGTTCATTTTTAAAAATATTTCTGTGAGTTATTTTCTTAGTGATATTGTTCTAGTGATTATGATATGCACTTTAACTTATCACAATATACTTCAGATTAACATAACTTGATTCTGATAAAATGTAGAAACTTCGCTCCAATATACTTCCATTCATTCCTTATCCTTTGTATTATATTTTGTAATATTATATATATACACACATACATACACATGTATATAATAATGATAACAACACAGTATTAAAATTATTTATTCATGCAATGGTATGTCTTTTAATAGTAAACTAAAGCACTTTACATTCCCTGCGAATCTTGTTTTATAGGGAATAAAAAGCTCTTTGGTTTAACATTTTCAGAGTTATCTTTCCATTTCAGTGTCTGATTCACTTTAACCTCAGTGACCACTTAGCTTATTTGGTTCCCCAACTACTATCTTGAGTTGTCCAGATTCCAGGCTTTCTTTTTAATGAGAAACACTCAATTCTTTTGAATTTTAGTGTCTTTCCCAGCTCCTTGACCTTACCATGAGTCACATGCCTGTAATCTTCTATATTCAGAATTGAATCTGAGATCTGAGTTCCAGTTGAATTTTGAGCCATTCTAGTCCTGGACCACCTAATACTATGACTTCCAGATTTTAATGTCTACATCTGGGGACATGATAGTTCAAGCTTTCACAAACAAGAAAGGTATTCATTTAAAAACTTGGGGTACTCTTGCTTAGGAAAATGGTGAAAATAATAACAAACCCATAATTTTTAGGGGTTTTATCATTGCTTGCTATTTTCTCCACAACTTGCATGTTTATAGTTTCCATCCTGCTTCCATCCAGCTACTTCTTCTCCCTAAGCTTCCATCTGGCTACTTCTACTTCCCAAGTAGGCCATGTGTCATTATCTCCCCATCCCTGGGTCAATGCTGCTCCCAAAGAGGCCCTGATTCAGTGGGCCATTCCATTTTCACCATGAGTGTGGTGACTGGTGATCCTTTCATGTGGATTCTTTCATGTGGACGTGATTCTCCATACCTGAGCCAACACTGCTGTCCCTGGGAAAAGGGCCTCTGTGTGGGGTATGGGCAGGCTCACCTGCCCTTATTTGATTTATGGGAATTCTTCTATTTACCCATGCTTTCCCCAAACTGACTATAGTTAATTGGATGGTAGATCCCAAAAGATATGCCTGTATCCTAATCTCTAAAACCTGTGAGGCCGGGTGCAGTGGCTCATGCCTGTAATCCCAGCACTTTGGGAGTCCGAGGTGGGCGGATCACGAGGTCAGGAGATTGAGACCATCCTGGCCAACATGGTGAAACCCCATCTCTACTAAAATACAAAAATTAGCTGGGTGTGGTAGCTCATGCCTGTAGTCCCAGCTACTTGGGAGGCTGAGGCAGGAGAATTGCTTGAACCCAGGAGGCGGAGGTTGCAGTGAGTCGAGATTGCACCACTGCACTCCAGCCTGGTGACACAGCGAGATTCTGTCTCAAAAGACAAAAACAAAAAACAAAAAAAACTGTGAATATAAATAATATCCTAAACTTTTCCCAAAACTGACCAACCACCTCCCCTTGGAATTTAGTGAGCAGATTAAGCTTAAGCTTTATGCCTCTCTTCAAATCTTCTCCTACATTTGATTTTAGCTCATTTTTTTCCCCATTGTTCCAGCCCCTTCCTCATTCCTACCCCTCTGCCAATATTCTGAACATCTACACAGAAATACCATACTGCATTACTCCCATTTTCTCTCCTTCATTACTATAGAACTATGTAAAATCAAGTAGAGGGAAGGGCAAAGAATAAAAGCAAAAAACTGGGGACACACTAATGTTATTAGAGATAACGTAGAAATCTTAACATAATGATTCAATTTCTACATAGACTATTCCCATCCAGTTATGTCACTATCCCAGAGGTTGGTTTAAATCCCTTTTTTCATTCAATAGGAATTCAAAAAGCACCTCTCTGCACAGCTGTGTGATAGATTGAGAAATGTCCTTTGCTCCCAAGGAGCTCAGTTCACATTACCTTGATTAACTATGGACTAAAGCTTCTCTTTTCTTTACTAGAGGCCAACTATAGAGAGGGTTAAAAAGCCTCAGTTATTAGAATTCACAAAGTCACTATTGCATAAAATTCCTTTAATATTCCATGCATAATTATTGCTGTCCTTAGTGGATCAGACCACTCCCTGCCTGACTTCTCAACAGTAATCCATATCAGATCTATAGAGAATCAGTTACACAGTGATGTGACTTGGTAAATTCTTCCACATCAGTCAGCAAAGCTCAGCGGTCATATTCTGGATAGTCTGTCCCCAGATGCTTGTTTATTATAAAGTAAACTGAGTCTGCCCAGTGAAATTTATCCCACATTACTAGATGTGGTGAAATAAACAGAAAAAAGTCATTGGTCTTCCCTTCAGAATATGTAGACCTACAGGCTCCCCATTACAGAAAGCATTATTTCTTTTTTCTAGGTATGACTTTCTTTGGTTCCAAATGCAAAAGTGATATGTACTCAAGCAGAAAAAAAAAATACAATACTAACAAAATAAAGGCACTAAAAATTGCCCCTAATCCCAGTATCCACACAGATAACTACTGATAATATTTCGGTATATAGTATATCTTTTTTTCTCTGCAGAGATACTTTTTGCCTATGTCAAAACAGTGTTACACTGTACATATTATTTTGCGGGCTGCTTTTTCAGCTCATAGTGCATAGTGAACATTTTCCCATTATATTCATGTTAGAACTGGCAGTAGAAGCATCGTTCTTCCTTTAACAGATTTTACCTTATGGCTGGCTGACTCTAGTTATCTCCTCCTGGTCTTCCTGCTTTGAGTCTTTTACACTCCCTGGCCACCCTATGCCTGTTTACAAGATTGATCTGCCTAAAATACTATTTGTACCCTTGACCCCCAACCAGAATCCTTGATACAACTTTTTCCTTCATTCTGCCCCAATTGCCTAGAGGGAGGAGTTCTCACCTAGCCCTTTATTCCAGGCTGTCCTCAACAAGTCCAAGATGATTTATGTACATTGTTTTGCATCACTTATTACATAAATCCTTTGTCTAAATGAGTTTCCATCCCACATGGTTTGCTCATTATTCCCTGATAGACAACTCAACCTCCCCATTGAAGCCGCTCTATCTGCTGGTAGAGTCTTCCTCTCCTATTCTCTATCTTTGCCCAGGTTCTTTTCTGCCCTTACTGCCCAGATGTTTTCTTTGCTTTTTAATTTTTTTAAAAAAATTTTATGGGTACATAGTAGGTGTATATATTTATGAGGTATATTGGATATTTTGATACAGGCATGCAATGTGTAATAATCACATCAAGGTAATCACCTTGAGCATTTATATTTTGTGTTACAAACAATCCAAGTATACTCTTAATTATTTTAGAATGTATAATTAAATCATTATTGACCATAGTCACCTGCTTTTGCTATAAAATACTAGATCTTCTTCATTCTTTCTATTTTTTTTAATCCATTAGCCACCCCCACTTCCTCCCCACCCCCCATTACACTTCCCAACCTCTGGTAACCATCATTCTATTCTCTATCTCCATGAGTTCAATTGTTTTAATTTTTTGATCCCACAAATAAATGAGAACATGCAAAGTTTTTCTTCCTGTGCCTGGTTTATTTCACTTAACATAATGACCTCCTTGTTGCAAATGATAGAATCTCTTTATTTTTTATGGCCGAATAAAATTCCATTGTGTATGCGTGCCACATTTTCTTTATCCATCTATCTCTTGATGGACATGTAGGTTGCTTCCAATCTTGACTATTGTGAATAGTGCTACAATAAACGTGAGAGTGCAGACATCTCTTAAATGTACTGATTTCCTTTCTTTTGTGTATATCCCTAGCAGTGGAATTGCTGGATCATATAGTAGCTCTATTTTTAGTTTTTTGAGAAACCTTCAAATTATTCTCCATGGTAGTTGTACTAATTTACATTCCCACCAACAGTTATAGGGGTTTCCTTTTCTCCACACCCTCTCCAGCATTTGTTATTGCCTATCTTTTGGATAAAAGCCATTTTAACTGGGGTGAGATGATATCTCGTTGTTGTTTTGATTTGCATTTCTCTGATGATCAATGATGTAGAGCACCTTTTCATATACCAGTTTGCCATTTATATGTCCTCTTTGGAGAATCAGATATTTTGTCCATTTTCAAAATCAGATTATTATAATTTTTCCTCTAAAGTTGGTTGAGCTTCTTATATATTCTGGTTATTAATCTGTTGTCAGATAGATAGTTTGCAAATATTTTCTCCCAGTATCTCTTCACTTTGTTGGCTGTTTACTCTGCTATGCAAAAAGCTTTTTAACTTGATGTTATCCCATTTGTCCATTTTTGCTTTGGTTGTCTGTGTTTGTTGGGGTATTACTCAGGAAATCTTTGCCCAGTCCAATGTTCTGGAGAGTTTCCTCAATGTTTTCTTGTAGTAGTTTAATAGTTTCAGGTCTTAGATTTAAGTCTTTAATCCATTTTGATTTGATTTTTGTACACAGAGAAAAATAACGGCCTAATTTTATTTTTCTGCATATGGATATCCAATTTTCCCAGCACTATCTATTGAAAAGACTGTCCTTTTCCCCAATGAATGTTACTGGTGCCTTTGTCAAAAATAACTTCACTGTAGATGTATGGATTTGTTTCTGGGTTCTACATTCAGTTCCATTGGTATATATGTCTGTTTTTGTGCCAGTACAATACTGTTTTTGTTTCAGGAGCATATTGTTTAATTTCCATGTGTTTGTATAGTTTCCAAAATTCCTCTTGTTGTTGACTTCTAGCCTTATTCAATTGTGGTCAGAAAAGATACTTGATATTATTTCAGTTTTTTGAATATTTTAAGACTTGTCTTGTGGCCTAACATATGCGTATTGTCTATCCTTGAGAATGATCCATGTACTGGCAAGAAGAATGTGCATTCTGTAGCCATTTGATGAAGTGCTCTGTAAATAACTATTAGGTACACTTGACCTATAGGGCAGATTAAATCTGTTTTTTCTTTGTTGATTTTTTTGTTCTAGATGATCTGTCCAATGCTGAAAGTGGGGTGGTGAAGTCTTCAGATATTATTTTAGTGCTAATAATGTTTATTTATATATCTGGGTGCTCCAGTGTTGGTTGCATGTATATTTACAATTATTGTATCTTTTTTCTGAATTGACTCCTTTATCATTATGTAATGACCTTTGTCTCTTTCTATAGTTTTTGTCTTGAAAAGTTATTTTGTCTGATACAGGTGTAGCTACTCTTGCTCTTTTTTGGTTTCCATTTGCATGGAGTATCTTTTTCCATCCTTTATTATTTTCAGTCTATGTATGTCTTTATATATGAAGTGCATTTCTTGCAGGCAACAGATGACCGGGGCTTGCTTTTTTTTTTTTTTTTTTTTGAGACAATGTCTCACTCTGTCACCCAGACTGGAGTGCAGTGGCACAATCTCGGCTCACTGCAAGCTCTGCCTCCTGGGTTCGCGCCATTCTCCTGCCTCAGCCTCCTGATTAGCTGGGACTACAGGTGCCTGCCACTACGCCCAGCTAATTTTTTGTATTTTTTAGTAGAGACGAGGTTTCACCGTGTTAGCCAGGATGGTCTCGATCTCCTGACCTCGTGATCTGTCCGCCTCGGCCTCCCAAAGTGCTGGGATTACAGGCGTGAGCCACTGCGCCCGGCCATATCTTTTTTAATCCATCGAGGCACTCTATGTATTTTGACTGGAGAGTTTAGTCCATTTACACTAAATGTTATTATTAATAAATAAGGGCTTACTCCTGCCATTTTGCTATTTTTTTTTCTAGTGGTTTTGTGGTCTTATCTTCCTTCTTTTCTTTTTTTCTGTGTTCCTTTTAGTGAAGGTGATTTTCTCTGGTGGTATGTTTTAATTTCTTGCTTTTTATTTTTTGTGTATCTGTTGTATGTTTTTAGATTTGAGGTTACCATAAGGCTTGCACTTAATATCTTATAACTCATTATTTTAAACTGATGACAATTTAACTTCGATTGTATAAACAAACTAAAAAACAAGCAAAAAGAAAACTAATAAAACTATAATTTTGTCTCTCTGCTTTGTAACTTTTTATTGTTTCTATTTATATGCCATTGCGCTGTCTTGAAAAGTTCTCGTAGTTATTATTTTTAACCATTTCATCTTTTCATCTTTCTACTTAAGATATGAGTAGTTTATATACCACAATTACAGAGTCATAATATTCTGTGTACTTACTATTACCAGTGAGCTTTGTATCTTCACATGGTTTCTTATTGCTCATTGATATCTTTTTCATTCAGACAAAAAAAAAATTCCTTTTAGCATTTCTCGTGGGACAGGACTGATGATGAAATCTCTCAGCTTTTATTTGTCTGGGGAAGTCTTTATTTCTTCTGCATGTGTGAAGGAAATTTTCATCAGGTATACTATTTTAGGATAAAAGTTTTCTTTCCATCAACACTTTAAATGTGTCATGCCACTCTCTCTGAGCCTGTAAGGCTTCTACTGAAAAGTGTGCTGCTAGACATATTGGAGCTCCATTATATGTTATTTGTTTCTTTTCTCTTGCTGCTTTTAGAATTCTTTCTTTATTTTTGACCTTTAGGAGTTTGATTATTGAAGGTTTTGAGGTAGCCTTCTTTGGGTTAAATCTGCCTGGTGTTCTATAGCCTTCTTGTACTTGAGTATTGATATCTCTCTCTAGGATTGGGAAGTTATTTGTTATTATCCCTTTAAATACACTTTCCACCCCTATCTCTCTATCTCCTTTTTAGGGCCTATAACTCTTAAATTTGCTCTTTTGAGGCTATCTTCTAGATATTGTTGGTGTGTTTTATTCTTTTTTATTCATTTTCTTTTGTCTCCTTTGACTGTGTATTTTTAAATAGCCTGTCTTCTAGCTTATTATTTCTTTTTTCTGCTTGATCAATTCTGCTGTTAAGAGACTCTAATGCATTCTTCAGTATGTTAACTGCATTTTTCAACTCTAGAATTTATACTTGAGTATTTTAAATTATTTCAATTTCTTTGTTAAACTCATCTGATAGGATTCTGAATTCCTTCTCTGTGTTAGCTTGAGTTTCGTTGAGTTTCCTCAAAACAGCTATTTCAAATGCTCTGTATGAAACGTCAAATATCTGTCTCTCTCCAGGATTGGTCCCTGGTGCCTTGTTTAGTTCATTTGGTGACGTCATGTTTTTCTAGATGGTCTTGATGCTTGTAAATGTTCACCAGTGTCTGGGCATTGAAAAGTTAGGTATTTATCATAGTCTTTGCAGCCTGGGCTTGTCTGTACCCATCCTTCTTGGGAAGGCTTTCCAGGTATTTAAAGAGTCTTAGGTGTTGTGATCTAAGTTTGTGGTCACTGCAGCCATATCTGCATTAAGGGACCTCTCAGGCCAAGTAACACTGTAGTTCTTATAGACTTGTAGAAGTACTGCCTTGATGGTCTTGTATAAGATCTAAAAGAATACTCTGAATTAGCAGGCAGATACTCTTGTTCTCTTTCCTTACTTTCTCCCATACAGAGTCTGTCTCTCTCTGTGTGAGCTGTGTGGAGCTGGGGGAGGAGTGACACCAGCACCCCCGTGGCTACCACCACTGGGATTGTACTCGGTCTGACTTGGAGCCAGCACAGCACTGGGCCTTGCCCAAGGCCTGCTGTAATCACTAACTGGCTATTGCCTATGTTTGGTCAAGGGCCTCAGGCTGTACAATCAATTGGTGGCAAAGCCAGGCAGTTTTTTGTCCTTCCTTTCAGGGTGGTGGCAAGTTCCCCTGGGCCCCAGGTGGGTCCAGAGATACTGTCTAGGAGTCAGGGCCTGGAGTCAGATACCTTAGAAATCTAGGTGGCACTCTATTCTACTGTGACTAAGCTAGCAACAAAAACACAAGACAAAGTTTTTCCAACTCTTCCCTCCCCTTTCCCCAGGCAGACGAGTCTCGCCATGTTCACCACTACCACGGCCCTGTGTGCAATACTCCCGGGCTACCACCAGTGTTCCCTTAAGACCCAGGGGCTTTTCAGTCTGCTTGTGGTGAATGCTGCCAGGCCTGGGACTCTACCTTCATAGCAATGAGTTCTCCTCTGGCTCAGGGTAGGTTCAGAAATGCTTTCCAGGAGCCAAGGCCTGGAATTAGGGATGCCAAGAGCCCTCTTGGTGCTCCTCCCCACTGTCGCCAAGCTGGTACCTAAGCTGCAAGACAAAACCCCTTTTATTCTTCCCTCTCCTTTTCTCAAGCAGAAGGAATCTCTTCTCATAGCTGCCACTTCTGTGAATATGCTGGGTCACACCTAAAGCCAGCATGTCTCAGAGTCTTAACCAAGCCCATGGTGTATACTACCTGGTTACTGCTGCTGATTATTCAGGGTTCAAGGACTCTAGTCAGCAGGTGGTGAATCCTGCCAGGAGCAGTTCCTTTTCTTAGAGGCAACAGGTTCCATCCTAGCCCAGGGTTTGTCTAGAAATGTCATCTGGAAGCTAGGTCCCGGAAAGGGGGCCTTGCACCTCTGCCTGCTGCCCTATCTACCATGGCCGAGCTGATACCCTAGTTTTAAAACAAAGTTCTCTTTACTCTTCCCTCTCCTCTCCTCAAGTGAAAAAAAAAAAAACGGGTCTCTTTTGGAACTATGAGCTATGCTGCTTGGGAGTGGGGAAGGGGTGGAACAAGTACTCCCTTAGCTGCTCTGGCAGATGTCTAATTAGGTTACACGCCCTCCAAATCCACTGGCTCTGAGCACAGCATAGCATTCAGACTTGCCTAGGAACTGCAGGCTTTATGGCCTAGACTGCCTTTCAAGTTTATTTAGATCCCATAGCACTTTACCCCCTGGCAGTGAGGCTTGCCAAAAAGCAAGTTCCAACTGCTGGGATGGGTAATTCCCCTCTGGCTAGGCCTGGTCTAAATGCTCCTTCTGTGGGCATTGGCTGAGTCTGCCCAATGTAGCTTTCCGCTGTGACAGCACAGCACTGGGTTCCAATACACAGTTTTACAATTGCTGCACTCTCCCTCCCCTAAGCACACAGATGCTCTTTCCATGCCATGCAGCTGCTGCTGTGGGGTGGGAGAAGGGTGGCATCGGCAATTCACCGCTGTCTTTCCTACTCTCTTCACTGCCTTTTTCAGCGATATGAAGTTAAAACCAGGTACTGTCATCTCTCAGCTGATGTTTGGTTCTTAGGAAGGTGCTTTTTTTGTGTAGATAGTTGTCAGATTTGGTGTTCCTGTGGGGAGGATGATCAATGGAGGCTTCTATTCAGCTATCTTGCTCCACCTCCTCCAGATCTTTTCTGACATCACTGTAGTTTCTCTAACTGCCCCAACCCACAGTTGTCTCTCCCTCTTCCTCTAAAGTGTGTATCAGCTATTGCACTTATTCTGACGTGTAGAATATACAGCTAGTCATCCATGAATATCTGTGTACTCCCCAGGTAAGAAGTGAGTCCCATGAAAAGGGCTGAATTTTCCACCTTTTTTCCCTTACCAAGGTATAGAATTTGTCACCCAAGCAACAAAAAATGCATATGGATGTTGGCGATGACAAATATTAATAGCTGATTTAAGGATAGATGATACACAAAGAGGAAAAAACAAATGGACAAATAGAAAACAAAAGCATGGGGTAACTGATACATACCTTGAAAAATCCTCAACTACACACATGAACAACAACAATATCAATTACAACAACCACAAAACTATGCATGGGAAATAAACACCAAAACCAAGAAGACATTGAAAATCTGGATTACTTAATGACATTTTCTCCTTCTCTCTTCCATGTATCCCTGTTCCTGCCCTGCTCTGTAACCAAGTTTCACACATGGTTAAGAGAAATTACCTATGCTTTCTCAATTTTTCCATTAGGAACTTGTGACACCCTTATAATAAAATACTTATTTCATTTGACTTACAAGAGTAATTACATGGACATTGTAAAAACCAGAAAATACAGTACTTGGAGCATAAGGTAAGAACTTTTTTTTTTCTTTTAACTAGGAAATTTATTTGACAAAATCTTAATGACAGATTTGAAGGTTTTAAATAAAAAAATAACTATCTCTGTGATGTAGTCAAAAGTGTCTTTGAATATCAGTCAGGATACCTGGATGATGGCTCAAACTCTACCATTAAGTAGTTTTGTGGAAAGTTATTTAACATTTCCTGGGTTTTTGTTTTACAGATTTATCGTGGTATAATTGACAAGTAAAATTACGTACATTTAAGGTGTATAACTTGATGATTTGACATATGCATACATTGTGAAATAATCACCACAACCAAGGTAATTAACATATTTGTCATCTCACATAGTTACCATTTTTCTTTTATTTTTTTCTGGTGAGAACACTTAAGATTTAATTTCTTAGCAAATTTCAAGTATACAATGCAGTATTGTTAATTTCAGTCACCATGCTGTCTGTGGATCTCCAGAACTTAGCGATCTTGCGTAACAGAACCTTTGTACCCTTTAACTAACATGTCAACATTTTCCTTGTCCCAGGCTCCTGGCAACCATCATTCTACTCTCTGCTTCTATGAGTTTTACTATTTCAGATTTCATGTATAAGTGAGATCAGACAGTACAGGTATACTTTGAAGATATTATGAATTCAGTTCACACCACTAGAATAAAGAAAATATTCCAATAAGTTTGTTTATTTCCCAGTGCATATAAAAGTTATGTTTACATTACACTGTGTTCATATTAAATGTACAATAGCATGTCTAAAAAGTAATGTACACACCTTAATTTAAAAATACTTTATTGCTAAAAAAGTGCTAATGAATATCTGAGCATTCAGTGAGTAATCTTTTTGTTAGTGGAGGGTCTTGCTTTGATGTTGATGGCTGCTGACTGACCAGAATGGTGGTTGCTGAAGGATGGGGTGGCTGTGGCAATTTCTTAAAATAAGATGACAATGAAATTTGTCATATCAGTTGACTGTTCCTTTCATGAAAGTGTTCTCTATAGCAAGCAATGCTATTTGATAGCATTTTACTCACAATAGAACTTCTTTGAAAATTGGAGTCAATCCTCTCAAACTCTGCCACTGCTTGATCAACCAAGCTTACGGAATATTCTGAATCATTTGTTGTCATTTCAAGAATATTCACAGCATCTTTACCAGGAGTAGATTCCATCTTAAGAAACTACTTTCTTTGCTCATTCATAAGAAACAACTCCTTATCTGTTCATGTCTGACCATGAGTTGCATCAATTCTGTTACATCTTCTGCCTCCACTATTAATTCCAGTTTTCTTTGCTATTTCTACTGTATCTGTAGTTACTTCCTCCACTAGAGTCTTGAACCCCTCAAAGTCATCCATGAGGGCTGGAATCAACTTCTTTCAAAATCCTGCTAATGTTGATATTTGACATCCTCCTATAAATCACAAATGTTCTTAATGGCATCTAGAATGGTGAGTTTTTTTTTTCAAGAAGGTTTTAAGTTTATTTTGCCCACATCCATCATAAAATCACTATGTATGGCAGCTGTAGCCTTATGAAATGTATTTCCTAAATAATAAGACTTGAAAGTGAAAATTACTCCTTAATCCATGGGTTGTGGAATGGATGTTGTATTAGCAGGCATGAAAACAACATTAATCCCCTTGTACATTTCTATCAGAGCTCTTGGGTGACCAGGTGCATTGTCAATGAGTGGTAATATTTTGAAATATGTCTTTTTTTCTAAGGAGTAAGTCTAAGAAGTTGGCTTGAAAACATTCAGCAAACCATGTTGTAAACAGATGTGCTGTCATCCAGGCTTTGTTGTTCCATTTAGAGCACAGGCAGAGTAGATTTAGCATAATTCTTAAGGACCCTAGGGTTTTGGGATAGTAAATGAGTATTGGCTTCAGCTTAAAAGTCACCAGCTGCATTAGCCCCTATTAAGAGAGTCAGCCTGTCCTTTGAAGCTTTGAAGACCAACATTTACTTCTCCTCTCTAGCTATGAAAGTCCTAGATGGCATCTTCTTACAAAAGAAGGCTATTTTGTCTACATTGAAAACATGTTGTTTAGTGTTGTTAATAATTATCTTAGCTAGATCTTTTGGATAAGTTGCTGTAGCTTCTATTTAGTACTTACTGCTTCACCTTGCACTTTTATGTTATGGAGATGGCTTCTTTCCTTAAAACTCATGCATCAACCTCTGCTAGCTTTAAACTTTTCATCTGTAGCTTTCCCACCTCTCTTAGCCTTTTGAATTGAAAAGAATTATGGCCTTGCTCTGGATTGTGCTTTTTATTAAGGGAATGTTGTGGCTGGTTTGATCTTCTATCCAAACCGCTAAAACTTTTTCGCTATCAGCAATAAGGCTCTTTTGCTTTCTTATCATTTATGTGTTCACTAGATAAGCACTTTTAATTTCCTTCAGGAATTTTTCCTTTGCATTCACAACTTGGCTGTTTGGCAAAAGTGGCCTAGCTTTTGGCCTGTCTAGGCTTTTGACATGCCTTCTTCACTAAGCTTAATAATTTCTAGCTTTTGATTTGAAGTGAGAGATGTGTGCCTCTTCCTTTCACTGAGAGGCCATTGTAGGGTAATTAATTGGGTTGATTTCAATATTGTTGTATCTCAGGGAATAGAAAGGCCCAAGGAAAAAGAGGGAGATGAGGGAATAGCTGGTTGGTAGAGCACTGAGAACACACACAACATTTAACAATTAAATTTGCCATCTTATATGGGTACAGATTGTGGCACCCAAAACAATGACAGTAGTAACATCAAAGATCACTGATGATAGATCACCATAACAGATGTAATAATAGTGAAAAGTTTAAAATGTTGTGAGAATTACCAAAATATGACACAGAGACATGAAGTGAGTGTATGCTATTGGAAAAATGGCACCAGTTGACTTGCTCCATGCAGGGTTGTTCACAACTTTTCAGTTTATAAAAAATGCAGTATGTGTGAAGTGCAATAAAGCAAAACACATTAAGATGAGGTATGCCTGTATTTGTTCTTCTGTTTCTAGCTTTTTTCACTTAGCATAGTGTCCTCCAGGTTCATCTGTGTTGTTGCAAATGGTGGAATTTTCTTCTGTTTAAGGGCTAAATAATATTCTATTGTATATATACCACATTTAAAAAAACCCATTCATCCATTGAGAGGCACTCAGATTGCTTCCACATCTTGGCTATTGTGAATAGTGCTGCAACAAACACAGGACTGCAGATATCTCTTCAAGATGCTGATTTCATCTCCTTTGGGTATATACCCAGTAGTGGGATTGCTGGGTTACTTAGCAGTTCTATTATTAGCTTGCTGAAGAACCTCCATATCATTTTTCCATAGTTGGGCGTACTAATTTACATTCCCACCAACAGTGTACAAGAGTTCCCACATCCTTGCCAATACTTGTTATCTCTTGTCCTTTTGATGGATAGCAACAGGTGTGAGGTGATAGAACATTTATGTTCCCAAAATGCATTTCATTTTACCTGTGATGAAAAGCTGAGGGCGTCTCCTACATTAACTTTCTGTGATCTGACAAATTTAAGAACTTAACTGTTACAGAATTTCATAGGATCTTGGATCTGCCCTTTTTACAACATTCTTCCTTCAAAAATGAATGGAATAAAAAAGAAGTGAGAAAATACGCCTATTTATAAAAATATATTAGATGTTATGAGATAAAGAGACATGTAATAATGGCTTTTCTCACCCGAAGAAGATGAACAAATTTGAACAGAAACAAATAGATTTTGGCTTATTAACTTATTTCTTGAAAGACCTTCAGGTTAGATATTTTTCTCCATCCCATCATGCGAGGTTAGCTTTATGTGGGAAGCTCCTCCAGAGTCTGGTTCACTGTAGTTTTCAAGGGTGAAGATAAATGTTTATGTAACTCCACCTATAGAATAGTTACTTTTGAGTCCAATTAGACTAGCTTCACGAAGTCTATTTTTTCCCCCTTTCCTTTGAAATGAGATAATGGATGTGGAAGTTTTTAACACAGTGCTTGCAACATAGCGGGTGCTCAAAAAACATTTTCTTTTTTCCTTCCCTCCTTCATTTAATTTGTAGTATTTTAGATTTAAATTGCCATAAAATGAGAGTTCGTAATGTACCATTTTAGAAATCATCATAGTTCATCAATTCTCTGAAGCATATTTTTAAAATTTTGCTGAAATTGTGAAATCATTTTTAACTGCTGCTGGCCAGGCAGCTGTCATGATCTGGTTGCTAATGCCTGTAAGTGAGCATCAAAACTCGCAGAGTCGGTGTCACCAGATTGGAAAAAAGTCTCAGAGACAAAAGTTCAGCATGCTTTCAAAAAAAAATGCTACATCATCAACACAAAGGATGGCTGGGTGGAAAGACATGGACATTAATAATGCTCAGTAAAACATTCATAATTTCAAATTCTGAATGTAAACAAATTTGGGAATACTTTATTTTATTTTTTTATTTATTTTTATTTATTTTTTATTTTTATTATACTTTTAAGTTTTAGGGTACATGTGCACATTGTGCAGGTTAGTTACATATGTATACATGTGCCATGCTGGTGCGCTTCACCCACTAACTCATCATCTAGCATTAGGTATATCTCCCGATGCTATCCCTCCCCCCTCCCACCACCCCACAACAGTCCCCAGAGTGTGATATTCCCCTTCCTGTGTCCATGTGATCTCATTGTTCAGTTCCCACCTATGAGTGAGAATATGCGGTGTTTGGTTTTTTGTTCTTGCGATAGTTTACTGAGAATGATGATTTCCAATTTCATCCATGTCCCTACAAAGGACATGAACTCATCATTTTTTATGGCTGCATAGTATTCCATGGTGTATATGTGCCACATTTTCTTAATCCCGTCTATCATTGTTGGACATTTGGGTTGGTTCCAAGTCTTTGCTATTGTGAATAATGCCGCAATAAACATACGGGTGCATGTGTCTTTATAGCAGCATGGTTTATAGTCCTTTGGGTATATACCCAGTAATGGGATGGCTGGGTCAAATGGTATTTCCAGTTCTAGATCCCTGAGGAGTCGCCACACTGACTTCCACAATGGTTGAACTAGTTTACAGTCCCACCAACAGTGTAAAAGTGTTCCTATTTCTCCACATCCTCTCCAGCACCTGTTGTTTCCTGACTTTCTAATGATTGCCATTCTAACTGGTGTGAGATGGTATCTCATTGTGGTTTTGATTTGCATTTCTCTGATGGCCAGTGATGATGAGCATTTTTTCATTTGTTTTTTGGCTGCATAAATGTCTTCTTTTGAGAAGTGTCTGTTCATATCCTTTGCCCACTTTCTGATGGGGTTGTTTGTTTTTTTCTTGTAAATTTGTTTGAGTTCATTGTAGATTCTGGATATTAGCCCTTTGTCAGATGAGTAGGTTGCGAAAATTTTCTCCCATTTTGTAGGTTGCCTGTTCACTCTGATGGTAGTTTCTTTTGCTGTGCAGAAGCTCTTTAGTTTAATTAGATCCCATTAGTCAATTTTGGCTTTTGTTGCCATTGCTTTTGGTGTTTTAGACATGAAGTCCTTGCCCATGCCTATGTCCTGAATGGTAATGCCTAGGTTTTCTTCTAGGGTTTTTATGGTTTTAGGTCTAACGTTTAAGTCTTTAATCCATCTTGAATTGATTTTTGTATAAGGTGTAAGGAAGGGATCCAGTTTCAGCTTTCTACGTATGGCTAGCCAGTTTTCCCAGCACCATTTATTAAATAGGGAATCCTTTCCCCATTGCTTGTTTTTGTCAGGTTTGTCAAAGATCAGATAGTTGTAGATATGCGGCGTTATTTCTGAGGGCTCTGTTCTGTTCCATTGATCTATATCTCTGTTTTGGTACCAGTACCATGCTGTTTTGGTTACTGTAGCGTTGTAGTATAGTTTGAAGTCAGGTAGTGTGATGCCTCCAGCTTTGTTCTTTTGGCTTAGGATTGCCTTGGCAATGCGGGCTCTTTTTTGGTTCCATATGAACTTTAAAGTAGTTTTTTCCAATTCTGTGAAGAAAGTCATTGGTAGCTTGATGGGGATGGCATTGAATCTGTAAATTACCTTGGGCAGTATGGCCATTTTCACGATATTGATTCTTCCTACCCATGAGCATGGAATGTTCTTCCATTTGTTTGTATCCTCTTTAATTTCCTTGAGCAGTGGTTTGTAGTTCTCCTTGAAGAGGTCCTTCACATCCCTTGTAAGTTGGATTCCTAGGTATTTTATTCTCTTTGAAGCAATTGTGAATGGGAGTTCACTCATGATTTGGCTCTCTGTCTGTTGTTGGTGTGTAAGAATGCTTGTGATTTTTGTACATTGATTTTGTATCCTGAGACTTTGCTGAAGTTGCTTATCAGCTTAAGGAGATTTTGGGCTGAGACGATGGGGTTTTCTAGATAAACAATCATGTCATCTGCAAACAGGGACAATTTGACTTCCTCTTTTCCTAATTGAATACCCTTTATTTCCTTCTCCTGCCTAATTGCCCTGGCCAGAACTTCCAACACTATGTTGAATAGGAGTGGTGAGAGAGGACATCCCTGTCTTGTGCCAGTTTTCAAAGGGAATGCCTCCAGTTTTTGCCCATTCAGTATGATATTGGCTGTGGGTTTGTCATAGATAGCTCTTATTATTTTGAAATATGTCCCATCAATACCTAATTTATTGAGAGTTTTTAGCATGAAGGGTTGTTGAATTTTGTCAAAGGCTTTTTCTGCATCTATTGAGATAATCATGTGGTTTTTGTCTTTGGCTCTGTTTATATGCTGGATTACATTTATTGATTTGCGTACATTGAACCAGCCTTGCATCCCAGGGATAAAGCCCACTTGATCATGGTGGATAAGCTTTTTGATGTGCTGCTGGATTCGGTTTGCCAGTATTTTATTGAGGATTTTTGCATCAATGTTCATCAAGGATATTGGTCTAAAATTCTCTTTTTTTGTTGTGTCTCTGCCTGGCTTTGGTATCAGAATGATGCTGGCCTCATAAAATGAGTTAGGGAGGATTCCCTCTTTTTCTATTGATTGGAATAGTTTCAGAAGGAATGGTACCAATTCCTCCTTGTATCTCTGGTAGAATTCGGCTGTGAGTCCATCTGGTCCTGGACTCTTTTTGATTGGTAAGCTATTGATTATTGCCACAATTTCAGCTCCTGTTATTGGGCTATTCAGAGATTCAACTTCTTCCTGGTTTAGTCTTGGGAGAGTGTATGTGTCCAGGAATTTATCCATTTCTTCTAGATTTTCTAGTTTATTTGCGTAGAGGTGTTTGTAGTATTCCCTGATGGTAGTTTGTATTTCTGTGGGATCGGTGGTGATATCCCCTTTATCATTTTTTATTGCGTCTATTTGATTCTTCTCTCTTTTTTTCTTTATTAGTCTTGCTAGCGGTCTATCAATTTTGTTGATCCTTTCAAAAAACCAGCTCCTGGATTCATTAATTTTTTGAAGGGTTTTTTGTGTCTCTATTTCCTTCAGTTCTGCTCTGATTTTAGTTATTTCTTGCTTTCTGCTAGCTTTTGAATGTGTTTGCTCTTGCTTTTCTAGTTCTTTCAATTGTGATGTTAGGGTATCAATTTTGGATCTTTCCTGCTTTCTCTTGTGGGCATTTAGTGCTATAAATTTCCCTCTACACACTGCTTTGAATGCGTCCCAGAGATTCTGGTATGTTGTGTCTTTGTTCTCGTTGGTTTCAAAGAACATCTTTATTTCTGCCTTCATTTCGTTATGTACCCAGTAGTCATTCAGGAGCAGGTTGTTCAGTTTCCATGCAGTTGAGCGGTTTTGAGTGAGATTCTTAATCCTGAGTTCTAGTTTGATTGCACTATGGTCTGAGAGATAGTTTGTTATAATTTCTGTTCTTTTACATTTGCTGAGGAGAGCTTTACTTCCAAGTATGTGGTCAATTTTGGAATAGGTGTGGTGTGGTGCTGAAAAAAATGTATATTCTGTTGATTTGGGGTGGAGAGTTCTGTAGATGTCTGTTAGGTCTGCTTGGTACAGAGCTGAGTTCAATTCCTGGGTATCCTTGTTGACTTTCTGTCTCGTTGATCTGTCTAATGTTGACAGTGGGGTGTTAAAGTCTCCCATTATTAATGTGTGGGAGTCTAAGTCTCTTTGTAGGTCACTCAGGACTTGCTTTATGAATCTTGGTGCTCCTGTATTGGGTGCATATATATTTAGGATAGTTAGCTCTTCTTGTTGAATTGATCCCTTTACCATTATGTAATGGCCTTCTTTGTCTCTTTTGATCTTTGTTGGTTTAAAGTCTGTTTTATCAGAGACTAGGATTGCAACCCCTGCCTTTTTTTGTTTTCCATTTGCTTGGTAGATCTTCCTCCATCCTTTTATTTTGAGCCTATGTGTGTCTCTGCACGTGAGATGGGTTTCCTGAATACAGCACACTGAGGGTCTTGACTCTTTATCCAATTTGCCAGTCTGTGTCTTTTAATTGGAGCATTTAGTCCATTTACATTTAAAGTTAATATTGTTATGTGTGAATTTGATCCTGTCATTATGATGTTAGCTGGTTATTTTGCTCGTTAGTTGATGCAGTTTCTTCCTAGTCTTGATGGTCTTTACATTTTGGCATGATTTTGCAGCGGCTGGTACTGGTTGTTCCTTTCCATGTTTAGTGCTTCCTTCAGGAGCTCTTGTAAGGCAGGCCTGGTGGTGACAAAATCTCTCAGCATTTGCTTGTCTGTAAAGTATTTTATTTCTCCTTCACTTATGAAGCTTAGTTTGGCTGGATATGAAATTCTGGGTTGAAAATTCTTTTCTTTAAGAGTGTTGAATATTGGCCCCCACTCTCTTCTGGCTTGTAGGGTTTCTGCTGAGAGATCTGCTGTTAGTCTGATGGGCTTCCCTTTGAGGGTAACCCGACCCTTCTCTCTGGCTGCCCTTAACATTTTTTCCTTCATTTCAACTTTGGTGAATCTGACAATTATGTGTCTTGGAGTTGCTCTTCTCGAGGAGTATCTTTGTGGCGTTCTCTGTATTTCCTGAATCTGAACGTTGGCCTGCCTTGCTAGATTGGGGAAGTTCTCCTGGATAATATCCTGCAGAGTGTTTTCCAAGTTGGTTCCATTCTCCCCATCACTTTCAGGTACACCAATCAGACGTAGATTTGGTCTTTTCACATAGTCCCATATTTCTTGGAGGCTTTGCTCATTTCTTTTTATTCTTTTTTCTCTAGACTTCCCCTCTCGCTTCATTTCATTCATTTCATCTTCTATCGCTGATACCCTTTCTTCCAGTTGATCGCATTGGCTCCTGAGGCTTCTGCATTCTTCACGTAGTTCTGGAGCCTTGGTTTTCAGCTCCATCAGCTCCTTTAAGCACTTCTCTGTATTGTTTATTCTAGTTATACATTCTTCTAAATTTTTTTCAAAGTTTTCAACTTCTTTGCCTTTGGTTTGAATGTCCTCCCGTAGCTCAGAGTAATTTGATCGTCTGAAGCCTTCTTCTCTCAGCTCGTCAAAGTCATTCTCCATCCAGCTTTGTTCCGTTGCTGGTGAGGAACTGCATTCCTTTGGAGGAGGAGAGGTGCTCTGCTTTTTAGAGTTTCCAGTTTTTCTGTTCTGTTTTTTCCCCATCTTTGTGGTTTTTATCTACTTTTGGTCTTTGATGATGGTGATGTACAGATGGGTTTTTGGTGTGGGTGTCCTTTCTGTTTGTTAGTTTTCCTTCTAACAGACAGGACCCTCAGCTGCAGGTCTGTTGGAGTACCCTGCCGTGTGAGGTGTCAGTGTGCCCCTGCTGGGGGGTGCCTTCCAGTTAGGCTGCTCAGGGGTCAGGGGTCAGGGACCCACTTGAGGAGGCAGTCTGCCCGTTCTCAGATCTCCAGCTGCGTGCTCGGAGAACCACTGCTCTCTTCAAAGCTGTCAGACAGGGACATGTAAGTCTGCAGAAGTTACTGCTGTCTTTTTGTTTGTCTGTGTCCTGCCCCCAGAGGTGGAGCCTACAGAGGCAGGCAGGCCTCCTTGAGCTGTGGTGGGCTCCACCCAGTTTGAGCTTCCAGGCTGCTTTGTTTACCTAATCAAGCCTGGGCAATGGCGGGCTCCCCTCCCCCAGCCTCGCTGCTGCCTTGCAGTTTGATCTCAGACTGCTGTGCTAGCAATCAGCGAGACTCCGTGGGCATAGGACCCTCGGAGCCAGGTGTGGGATATAGTCTCGTGATGCGCCGTTTTTTAAGCCCGTCGGAAAAGTGCAGTATTCGGGTGGGAGTGACCCGATTTTCCAGGTGCGTCCGTCACCCCTTTCTTTGACTCAGAAAGGGAACTCCCTGACCCCTTGTGCTTCCCAAGTGAGGCAATGCCTCACCCTGCTTCGGCTCGCGCACGATGCGCGCACCCACTGACCTGCGCCCACAGTCTGGCACTCCCTAGTGAGATGAACCCGGTACCTCAGATGGAAATGCAGAAATCACCCGTCTTCGTCGCTCTTGCTGGGAGCTGTAGACCAGAGCTGTTCCTATTCGGCCATCTTGGCTCCTCCCCCGGGGAATACTTTAACCAATTTTTTTCTGTCGTATTTTCTTTTTATATATGTACAAGAGTGAAACTGGAGGGAGGCAGCGTGAGTTTAAAAAGATTCTTTTGATTAATTGAAAATAAACAAGGGATAAGAAAGCATTATGTCATAAGTGACCACATTTTTAATATTAGTGATATATAAAATAAATGTGTACTCGGGTTGATATTATTTTACAGTAGTTGAAATATAATAATTCCACTTATCTTTGAAAACAAATTCTCTGTGAGTTAAGGTCTTTAGATAAATCTCTTATCCAAAGACATGGCCAATATTTATGCCATCTTGTTCTAACATAAGACAATGGCAAAAATTATACTAATGACTAATAATTTAGGAAAAACTAATGACAGTTGTAAAAAATAAACTGACCATGTGTCCCTGTCTCCTCTCAGTGCTATGTCCAGGTTCCAGACAAGCTTATGAGAAGTTAACTACCATGAAGAGGCCTGAACAAAATAATCTGAATTGTGAATTTCTTTTTTTGGTGGGGGGGATGGGGGGGTCTCACTTTGTCACTAGGTTGAGTGCAGTGGCGTGACTCTTGGCTCACTGCAACCTCTGCCTCACAGGCTCAAGTGATCCTCCCACCTCAGCCTCCTGGGTGCCTGGGACCACAAGTAGGGGCCATCATGCCCAGCTAATTTTTTGTATTTTTTGATAGAGACAGGGTTTCACCATGTTGCCCAGGCTGGTCTCCAACTCCTGAGCTCAGTCAATCCACCTAAGCCTTGGCCTCCCAAAGTGTTGTGATTATAGGTATGAGCCACCGCACCCGGTCTGAATTTCCTATTTTTCACACTTGCTTCCTGTAACACTATGGCACCTTGCCTTGAGCATATAAAGTGTTATGTAAATATCAGAGGTCTGCTATATCAGAGTGTTCAAATTCAGGAAATAATCATTAGTGGCTGTAGATATAGTTTAAATGTTAATTGGAAAGCACACCTATCCTTTGATTAATTATGCTATGGTCCTGGACATGTGGCTGGTAGTGTGAGAAAATCTGTATTAAGCCTGCCTTCAGAGTTTCTCAGTGGAGGTTCTCTGGTGAGCCTGTTTTTCCAGGGAAGTAGGAGGGTAGACATCTGGAAGTTTGTTCTATTCAGCAGAGCCTTGATATTTCCAATATGGCTTCTCCATTTTACTTTGCCTGTTATTCAAAATGCTGTGCTCATGCAAATGTGGGCCCATACTAATTTTTATAGCTGGTTCAATTTCTCAGAATATAATAAATTGCTCTTCAAACCCATGTTTTAAGAATTTCTGATGAATAGCAAACTTGCATCCTAGAAATTCTTTTAATCACAAATGATAGGCACAAAAAGTGGCTTGCCATCTGTATACTCACATGTTTAAAATTCTTCTAATATTAGCATTCTTTTCTGTTTTGGATAAACCCAATTTTGCCTGGCTGCATAATTGAGTGTTTTCTGTCCCCTGTTGGCTGTGGTTTCCAATGGAATATAAACCGTAAATTCTGAGTGGACCCAGCAAAAAATGTTTGGTTCTGACTTTACTGGCAACAAATTGAATCAATCAATAACTTGCCAGGTGATAGGAAAAAAATTTTTTTAAGCAACAGGAATAAATTATCGTGAAGTATTTGAAAATGTTGGTAAAAGACATACTCAAAAGCATAGGTGATTTAGTTGTTCTAAAATCTTTAGTCTTTTTAAATGGAAATTATTTCTATCACTTATAAAAATATCGGGGTTTCTTTTAAACTATATTCATAAAGTGACATGATTTAAAGCCCCTCTCATAAGGAAGTTCTTGCAGTGGGGATCACTATGCACAGTGGGTAAGAACCAAGTCTCTGGAGGTAGGCTGCCTCAAGTTAAATTGTAGTGTGCCTGTGTCACTTTAGGCAAGTTATTTAACTTCTCTGAGTCTCATGTTTCTTCATTTGTAGAATGGGGTTGATAATGATAACACCTTTCCCAGAGAACCACGTTCTTGCACCATTTTATCTCTCTGAGGATACTGAGGCTTAGGGAGGTTAAGCATCCTGCTAAATGGCACACGGGAAGGCGGGGCAGAGTAGAGCTGGGATTCACACCCAACTCCAACTGACTGCACACCCTAAAGTCCTTTGAGTTACCATGAAGACTCTAAGATGAGCATGAGGAGACAGGGCACTGGCATAGGAGTTATGTAGCCTGTGATCTGTTCCTAACCAGTTCTGTCACCATGACCCAATATGGGAGACATTAATGCCAAAGAATTCCACATGTTACATAACAAATAGGGACCAGCTGAGACTCAGGCAAAGTGTAGGAGTAAGTCATTATTTGGCCCCGTGCAATGTTGCAACCTCCGTATCAAAAAAAAAAAAAAAAAAACTACCCCAGGGCGTCCACAAAACAAGAGGAAATCAGTTTTACGAAGTAATAAATCCTCTATATGGTGACTCTTGATAAAAGAAGTGGTGATTTTCAAGAACTTTATTATTAAATAATGACAACTATCGTTATCATTCACGCTATACATCCTATATACAATGTGCTCCAAAAAAGAGCTCCAGGCTGGGCATAGTGACTCACACCTATAATCCCCGTACTGTGGGAGGCCGAGGTGGGCAGATCAGGTCAGGAGTTTGAGACCAGCCTGGCCAACATGGTGAAACCCTATCTCTACTAAAAATACAAGGCGTGATGGTATACACCTGTAATCCCAGCAACTCAGGAGGCTGAGGCAGGAGAATTGCCTGAACCCAGGAGGCAGAGGTTGCAGTGAGCCAACAGCCTGGGTGGCAGAGTGAGACTCCATCTTAAAAAAAAAAAAAAACTCGAAATACAACTTTGTATATAGGTTGCATAGGGTGGAATAATAATGATAGTTATCATGATCTAATAACTTTTAGAGGCACCTTCTTCAGTGAGCTCCAATAGTTTCTTGCAAGCAATGATATAAGAACTAAAGTAAAAACAAACTGTGTCTATATCTGTATTAATTTGTTATGGCTGCTATAACAAAGAACCACAGACTAGGTGGCTTAAACAACAGAAAATTATTTCCTCACAATTCTGGAGGCTAGAAGTCCAAGATCAAGGTACTTGCAGCATTGGTTTTCTCTGAGGCTTTTGTCCTTGGCTTATAGACAGTCGTCTTCTCCTGTGCCTTCCCATCGTCTTCACATATCTGTGTCCTAATCTCCTCCTTCTATATGGACACCAGTCACATTGGGTTAGGGCCCACCCATATGACCTCACTTTACCTCAGTTACCTCTTTAATGTCCTATCTTAAAATACAATCACATTCTGAGGTACTGGGGGTTAGGGCTTCAACACATGAATTTGGAGGGAGCACAAGCCAGTTGAAAACAATATCTATATCTATATTTACACCCACATCTATATCTATGTTTGTGGGTCTTACTGAAACCTGAAATGATAGCAGTGAAGACTCTTCCCAATCTTATGATGTGACAATGAAAAGATACATATTCCAAGTCTAATTGACATGTGGCCTCTTAGCACAAACTTATTAGGAATGAGCGTTTTCTCAGCCAAGTGTTATCTAATTTCTGGGCTCCTGAGACCGACTGCTCCATTAACACTGGGAAGGGGAGCACGGCTGGGGGAAGCCACCAATCTGCTGGCTGGCAGTCAGAATGCCCATGTGGTATCAGATCTGAAAAGGTGCACTGTGGGCAGCCAGAAAGAGACTAGCACTGTGAGCATCCTCTGGCCTCAGGTCTTTGATTTTCTTTGAGGCATGTCCTAAAGGCTGGGACACTCATCTACACACAAGAGGTGCAGACATGAATGTGGGGCAATTATCCACTCCTTTCAAGTGAGCTGGCTGTGCTTAAACTAGAACGTGCAGGATTTTCTTTCTTTCTTTTTTTAAGGAATCAAGTTTATCCAAGAATATGGCATCTTCCCATCCACCTACCTTCCTTCCTTTCTTCCTCCCTCTTCCTTTCTTTGTTTTCTTATCTCCTTCTCTCAATTATTTATAGAGTGAGGGCCTGCTATGCACAAGGCACTCTGTGTGGTCCTATGGGGGATAAAAAGGTGACTAAGAGGCACTCTGCCTTGCATGTTTCATTCTAATAACCTACTCCCTGTTCTGCTGTTGGTTGTGCTTTCAGAAATTGCTCTGCTAGTTCTTGGCAAGGCTGAAAGCCACTTCAGCTAACAGCATCCAGACCTTCCCTACCTTCAAGATCTTCTGTCCTCCCTGTGGAACTGACAGCACTCCACCTCATCTCTGAGCCCCCCACACATCTCCTCAAGCTCAGCCAGTGTCCAAACTGAAGTTCCTGGCTCCTGACCCCTCTAGACGGATGATTATCCATTCACTCTGTCTCGCCTCCCAGACTGCTTTATTTTTTTCCTTTTCTGAGCTGTTCCTTCTGATTCCTCCCACTTCTTCCTCTTCTCATTTTGACTCCTTTCCCAATTCACATTGATCATCTCTGATGAGCCGGCTGAGTGTGAAAAAATAAAGGTTCTAATGATCTGGCTTCCTCTCTGCCCACTGTTGTTTATCCAGGGAGTAAAGACATGCTTCAAGTACTCCTCCCTCAGAGCTGAGAGTACAAGAAGGGGTCCCAGACTTATTTGTTCCTTTCCCCAACCCTCACTGATTCTAAAATTACTTCTCAATCACTGAACATTAGTCAATATGTTTATTTTTTAAAGTAAAGTGTGGGAAGGTTGTGGAGAGTGAATGATGAGATTCTATAATCTGATTTAAATCTTATCTGCAGGTTATAAAATGTTAAAATTCATGTTTGGAATAGAATGCAACACAGGCACATATTCTCCTTGAAAATTTTATTCCTGCAGTTTAATTTAGTTGGGAAGAAATGGTCAGACCAGCTATTTTTTTAATCACGTAGATAGATTGTGTGTCCTGTCCAAACCTGGCAACCCCTGGGATCACTGCCTTCTTCCTCTCCTGCTAATCAAATTCAACCCATTTTTCATGTACCAGGCAAAGTCCCACTCTTCTAGGAGGGTCGCCTGGGCACCCATGAGCTTCTTGAGGGCCCAGCCTCTGTTTCAGCCATCTTTGTGGCCCAGCAACAAGCAAAGTCAGGGACTTGGTAGAAGTGTGGGGAATGAATCAAAATGAACAACTTTCTCCAGTGTACTTTCTCTAGTGTACTTAGTGTCTGTGCCATCCATTCAGATATGTCATAATATGCCTTCCAACATTGTTAGTCAGACCCTTTAAGGCTGAATATTTTGTCCTTCCCTCCCAGATGGCCTGCTCCTTGAGGAGGGGGACAGTGCTTCCTTTTTTCTCCATATTGATCTTCATTGACTAATACAGTGATGGTATTCAGAAATATTGTTGCGTTAAATACTGGTTCTTTTTGCTTGACAGCAGTATCTGTTGGGAACTACATTTAGAAAGCTGATTTTGCAGAAGCCATAATTTTATTGTAAGTAAATCTGTGAGAGGGGTTTGGTTTCCATACATTTCAAATGGAAAGTAAATTACCAGCCAACTGATGCTTAGTTTGGTTCAGTCACATTTATTGAGCAATTGCTTTGCACCTGACATCAAACCAGAAAATATTCCTGCCTCATGTGGGTTCAGAGTCCCCAGGGATGTCCTACTGCCCACCTGACCTGGAGACAGGATATAGTGCTTGTCCTCACAGGTGGCCACAGATGATCAGTGGGCAGTGTATGTGGTTTCAGCCACATGCCTGGACCTTACTGGGTGGTACTATGGACCTGCTGCACACCTAGTGCATCCCCCTCCTGAGTGGTGCTGGATTGCTGCCCCTCCCCCATCCCAGTCCCTCCTCTGGTAGCCAGAATAAATTTTGCAGTAAGTTAGCAGAGTTGATTCCAAAAAGTCTGCACTGTGGCATCTCAGGAAACCAAACTTATCTGCTTAAGAAATAACTTGCAGAGAGAAAAGGAACTCTGACAAGGCTAATAACAGGGATTTCAAGCTGTGTTTCAGCAAGCCAGTCACAGAGTATTCACGTGTTAATTCACTGGCGTGTTCCGCGGCATAAGCACCCCCTCTCTGCCTTCCCCCAGTTCCAACTGTTGTGCTGCAGCAGATTTGGTCTGAGTCTGGGCAGAGCCCCTTTTTATGGAGCAACCCTCCCGATTTGTTACAGCAAGAGCCTGGTGCAAGTGATCTTTGCCTTCCCATCGCACACAAAGGCAAAGAGCTCCTTAAAGGGACCTGCCTGCTCCTCCGTGCAGCTGCAAACCCGTGTCGGTGCAGGCTCAGCAACCCAGGCTTTCGCTCGAGAATGAGTGGGGAGGGGTCTTGAGGAGCCCCCACGTCCTCCCGGAGCGGAGGCGGGAGGGAGCTGACAGCCGGAGTGGATGGAGACCACCAGTCCGAGGGGACCCGCTTGCGATTAGCTGCTTCTTGGGATGCTCCGCGCGCCAGTTGAGCATCCTGCCTGTGGTCCAGGGGATGCTGGCGGCGCATCTTGCGGTAAGCCTGCGCTGATTTGAGCCATCGCCCAGAAGCGAGCCCGCATTCAGACACCGCGGACCGGCTCCGCGAAGGGCTGCGTGCAGTCACCATGAATGCTCAGCTCTAGGCTTCTGTAAAAACCTCCCCCACTGCATGGATTTGGCTGTTTAATCAGCCGAGATTACAGCCCGGGAAGATTTGCAAACCTGATTCTCCCTCCAGCTGCTGTGACAACTTCGGGGCCGTCTGTTTACTTCTCTGGGTCCCCGGGGACTCTTTCCTGCATCGCAGCCCCTTGTGCCACTTTGTGGGCTTGGCTCGAAAGTCAGCCGCCAGGACTCCTCTGACGGCATCCCCAGGAAGGGGGAGCAAGGAGGGCTTAAAAGAAAAGCAGAAATCCCCGCAACTGCTCAACCTCTCGTGACTGCCTGTGTTCTGGGGTTCTGAGAGGGACCGTGCGCTGCCTGGGGAAGCAATGCAAGTCTCCATAGCCTGCACAGAGCACAATTTGAAGAGTCGGAATGGTGAGGACCGACTTCTGAGCAAGCAGAGCTCCACCGCCCCCAATGTGGTGAACGCAGCCCGGGCCAAATTCCGCACGGTCGCTATCATCGCGCGCAGCCTGGGGACGTTCACGCCTCAGCATCACATTTCTCTCAAAGAGTCCACCGCAAAGCAGACTGGCATGAAATATAGGTATGCACGTAAGATTCCCTCTGTGCGGGGTATCCAGGTTCTATACAGGTGCAGTGGAGACAGTCCATCGGTTTTGAAAAGTGATTTACTCATCAGTGGGTTGCTCACTTTAGAATTCTCAGGTGGTTCTAAAATAGCTCTTTAGGGGGATGAATAAACCCAGGGTGGTTGTGTGTGTAAAGATTTTTAAAAATGTGGCCCATTTTGTATAATTCTAAAGTCCTATGAACATTTTAGAAACTATGTACATTCCAGTCCCCAGAAAAAAACACAACTGCTGGAACTGGTATTTAGATCAGGATAGTTTTTCAGTAGCAAATGTGTTTGTTCTATTTTATGATAAAGACAGTAGTTTCTGGGATTATACTATCAGAAATAGTTTCTCATCTAGTACTGCTCTCTTATTTATCTTTTGTTTGTTTTGTTTGAGACAGAGTCTCGCTCTGTTGCCCAGGCTGGAGTGCAGTGGTGCGATCTGGGCTCTGTCGCCTGGGAAATAGCCTCCTGGGTTCAAGCGATTCTCCTGCCTTAACCTCCTGAGTAGCTGGAATTACAGGCACCTGCCACCACACCCGGCTCATTTTTTATGTTTTTAATAGAAAAGAGCTTTCACCATGTTGGCCAGGCTGGTCTCGAACTCCTGACCTCAAGTGATCCGCCGGCCTTGGCCTCCCAAAGTGCTGGGATTACAGGAGTAAACCACCGCGCCTGGCCTTATTTATCTTTTGAAAGACCAAGTTAACAAATGCTATACAAAGCTTTTTAAAGAAGCTTTGTTGCAGGAAAAACCACCTATATTGGTAAATTAGATTGAATAGCCATATTTAAGCCTAAATTACTGCTTGAAATTAAATGTAGACCTTGTGAAATATGGAGAAAATGTAAATTGTTGCAATTCTACTGGTTTCCTCATAAATTTTAAAGCTTCCTCATCCCCTATGTTGTTTTCCATAGTTGGAATCATCCTGGTAATAGTGGCTGCTCTAATAGGGCATGACTTACATTTGACAAGTAGAAAATTTCATTATTCAATTATGTGACTCCTGCCTCCTCATTACATTTGCTTTGTACCAAGTCCCTCTGACTTTATTTCTTTAAAACTACTGTGCTTCTAGTTTCTAAAAGTGTTTGTGAATGTAGAGGAGAGAAGCTACCAACACATCTTCCAAAAAACTTTGGTTACTTCAGTTTGCAGATATGATTTTGTTAATTGTCCATATCTAACTATCTCTTGTCTTTGTTAGGAACCAGGTTTTAGTTTAGGATGAAGTTAATGAAAATAATGCATAGGCAACATGTGTTTCTCATGTGAGGTTGCTGAAATAAGCATTTAAACCTGTTTTTATAAAAGTTGCCCTTGAAAAAATTTCTTTGCAGAGTTACAGGAAAGTTTCTCATTGCACAAACATCAAGCACTGTTATTTTGATATATGTTTGAGCCATTAAGAAAAAAAGTCCTTGGGTGGGAAAAAGCAAAACAACCATAACTAAAGCTCTTTACCCCAGCTGCAGTACAAATGTAAGCAGCCTGACTTAGGTCAACTCATTGAAGCATCAGCTGTGTGAGTGCCTTTGCTTTTCCTGATATCCCTGTGATGGAGAGAGTGGGGCACCACAATGACAGTTCTCTAAATGAGACTGTAGTCTTGAGTCCACTGATGTTTTCTATGGCTGCTGCTGTGGCACACACGCAGCCCCTGCCTTGTGGACACAGTGCTGCTCTGCATGCACTTCAGCTACTGAGATGGAGATGAGCAGCTGCTTTCCTGGGCAAGGTCCCCAGGAACAGGACCCTCCAGGGTTAAGGCAGATCACAGAAGGTGGTTTAAATTGTGGCCTCTAGTACTTTCGCAGCACTATGAACTTTCTTTTTGTAAATCAGAAGAAATCAAAAGTAAGACCACTAATTTCTTGAGGCAGAGTTTCATAGTTGCTTGATGATTGTGTTGGAAGAGTTTGCTCTTATGAAGGCCTTTGGAAGTCAGGAGATTTCCATTAAGGTTTTTCTGGTGGCACAGCTCAACTCATGTTGAGTGATAACTCTGCTTCCCAAAAGCTCAGAGTGTGAGCAAGGTTCGCTTGGGCACCTTTCATTACTGACAACTAAAGATAGTTCTCTAACAAAAAGTTAGCCACTGGGATCTTCGGTATATGTTGTTTCTTAAGGTAACTAAACAAGATGCCTCTTTTTCACTTGTGCTCATGTTCCAAGCCACTCTATCTGTAACAGTCAGGAGATTTGCCTGTGTGTGTGTGAATGTGACTTACTCTTCTGTTTCAGATTCTACTCTGAGTGACCTTTATGAAGGAGATTATGAGATTATGCCAAATGTACACCAAGCTTTCTTAGGGTTAAAAGGGGGAGGGAGACTAATTATATACTTTATAAAAAATGATAGAAGTAACTTTTATTAGCTAAATTATCCTTTTTTACATTGTTTTAACTAAAGTATAATGTGTATATATGGACTATTTGTTAATGATAACAAATAGCAGAATATACAAAAATAATGCCATAGAATAGGGAAGATAATTGGCTTAGGTAAGCAATCTGGAGAATGCCTGAAATAACTAAAATCGAAAGTTAGTAGTAGCTAATTGTGGTCACAATTTCATCCTTGAAAATGGTTTTCATAGGCAGAGCTTTAAAGGGGATCCCTAAATCCAACAGAAGATTTTTTAAAAAGTCTTTTTGTTCATTTTTCTGAGGAAAGGGTTTATAGCTTTCACCAGAATTTGAAAATGGTCTACAACTCAAAAACTGTCAAACAGCAATGTTGCCTAGTGAAGAGGTACTCATTTAGTCAGCATAGTCAATAAATATTTGCTGAGCACCTATTCTATATCAGGAACCTCACTCAACTGGTACACAAAGGTGCAGAAGCCAGGTGAAGTCTGGGGCTAAAGTACAAGTTGAAGAAACAGACCATAAATAACAAAACAAACAAACAAGCAAACAAACAAATAACATAATTGTCTAATAGAAGATATTCCTATGAAGTTATTTTTTTTTGGAGGGGTGATAGTCATGCTTGGGCCAACTTAGTTGATCCATTTTGAAGTTACCAACTCTGCTTCAGTTCCAGAATTAATGATTGCATCTTGGGGCATGAGTAATTGTGCGTATGTCTGCCACCCATTTTGCTATCCAGAGACTTCTTTAAGGTATATGGTGCTACCTGGCAGCTGAGGACCTACTTGTAACCCTGATAAATAGGTATAATGCCTTCTACTTATATAATGCCTTATGATTTTTAAAGCCAACTAATATAACAGCCTATGTTTACCACCCATTAATCAATAACTCACAAAACTGAGATTTTAGAAAGAATTAATGTATACTTGTGCAAAACCTCTGAATTCTGCAAAATAAAATGCTTAAAGGCACTATTATATTCACACCATCATTGTATAAGAATATTGCATAAAACTGGTTATTGTTTGAAGGCAGAAGATAAAAAAAATCTACTAGAACATTCTGGCATTCCAAAGCTACTGTCAGCCCAAGAGAACAAGATTCCACCTAATGTTTATACTGAGGACTATCCTGTATGTAAATAACACAGGATTATTCCTTTCCTTAGAGGGCTTTTTTTTCCAATACAGATTATTTGTATATATTTATGGGGTACATGTGATATTATATATTACATGCATAGAATGTGTAATGATCAAGTCAGGGTATTTAGGGTACACATTACCATCAGTATTTATCATTTCTATGTATTGGGAATATTTCAAGTCCTCTCTTCTAGCTATTTTGAAATATACAATACGTTATTGTTAATTATAGTCAGTCTACTCTGCTATCAAACATTAGAACTTATTTCTTCTATATCACTATGTGTTTGTACCCATTAACCAAACTCTTCATCATTTCACTCTCAGAGTTTCATAGTTGTGCTTTGTTAGTGCATGAAAGTTCCTTTGTTCTATTTTTATGTCTATTTTTAATCTCAGATTTCATTACACTGTGTTAGTTTGGTGTACACTCTACAACCATACATGATAGATTTACACATGATAGATGTAGGTATATACATGAATCTTTCATCCTAAGAAGAGCAAATCATTCAGGACAGAAGTTAAGGCACATTGGGTTGTTTTTGTTTGGTTGGTTTGGGTTTTGTTTTTTTAAATAACTTTTTGGAATGATCCAGCTACCAGTGTTTGACATGGTCTCAGAGCTTCTGTCATTCAGAATTGAGCACGTTTGTACTGATAAACTCCCTCCTCCTCATTCTGAAATTGTTATTTTAGTTTTAGAACATTGGCATATGATGGGCCCCATTTCATTGAAAACAATCTTTAAATTCCACTAAAAACTTCAACTCCCCCCCCCCCCACCTTTTTTTTTTTTTTTGAGATGGAGTCTCGCTCTGTAGCGCAGGCTGGAGGGCAGTGGCGCCGTCTCAGCTCACTGCAAGGTCCGCCTCCTGGGTTCATGCCATTCTCCTGCCTCAGCCTCCCGAGTAGCTGGGACTACAGGTGCCCACCACCATGCCTGGCTAATGTTTTATATTTTTAGTAGAGATGGGGTTTCACCGTGTTAGCCAGGATGATCTCAATCTCCTGACCTCGTGATCCGCCCACCTCGGCCTCCCAAAGTGCTGGAATTACAGGCGTGAGCCACCGTGCCCGGCCAACTTTTTCCCCATTTTTAAAGTTAACTACCATTAAAATTGTTTTTGAAATAATTATAAATTTACAGAAGTTTGCAAAGAAAAGAAGTACAGGGAATTTCCATATGCCCTTAATTTCTCCAGTGGTTAAGCATGCCTGCTTAACTATATAGCATGATAGCAAAACCAGGAAATTGATGATCCATATGGTTTGGTACAATCCATAGGATTTATTCCGATTTTACCAGTTATACATGTATTCATTTTTGTCTGCATGTTGTATGCCTATGTATATTTATCACATGTATAGATTTGTGTAACCACCACCACAATGAAGAATCAAAATTGTTCCATCATCACAGGGCTCCCTCATGTTACCCATTTCTGTCCACATCCACTCCCCCTTCTCCAATTTCTAATCTTGGGTAACCATTAATCTTCAAGTCATCTCTGAAATTTTATTGTTTCAAGAATATAAATGGCATAACACAGTATGTATTGAGGTTGGCTTTTTTTTTTTTTTTTTTTTTTTTTTACTCAGAGGGTTTGTACAGGGAAGTGGTGAGAAAGAATCTTGTAGTGGTGAAAAGAGATTGGAATATGGCTCCATGGAGGGTAAGATATTTAGACACGAGGGAACATCAGCAATGGAGGGACCAGTAAGGATTTTTAAGCAAGATGTCTGCTTACAAAGTTCTGTTAAGAAAGGATTAATCTGGCAGTTGTTCCAGAAAAAAAAAAATTAAGAGTTGTAGCTATGGAATAAGAAAATTTATGTTAAATTCCATGGCACTCTCTACTTTCCTATAGAGAGTCAGGACTATATGCAAAAGACTCAGACCAGATACCAGATGCCTTTCCCATGCCATTCCTTTCAGAGCCTTTTTATTAAAGCACATGTCACAGTCACCATTCTTTACCTCCCACGAATGGTGGGTAGTTTTTGAATTAAAACAATTCAACTGAAAGATCAATCTTGTCAGCCAATTATGTAAAAGGCACTTAGCGCGTGTGTGTGTGTGTGCGCGTGTGCTCGTGTGCGTGTGTGTGTGCATGCAAGTCTCCGTATGGGGAAAAGTGGGAGGAAATAGGTGGGCTGAAGAGGAGGAAAAGGAGAGCTAGCTCTGTGGCTGTGTTTCAAACAGAAATATTTGATTTTAGTCCAGAAAAAAAGAGCAGTTTGGTTATTTGAAATGCCAAGTTTCTTGGTTTATTTTTGGGTTTTGTTATTGTTTTTTGGTAAAGAATACCGTTGTCATTTCCACTGACACCCATGGGTATGGGCTTTCCTCTCTGCCTTAAAGTAAAATGGTGAGAATGGGGAGGTGGAAGAGCCTTCCTAAAAATTAACTGCTGATTCAATCTCATAGAGTTTATTCCACCTCTGCAAGGCAGCAGTCAGAAGTCTGGCATCCATGGGATGGTGAGAAAATGGTAGGAGGGGAGGGAGCCTCCTGGAAGTTATTACGCAAACATTGTTCCAGTTCTATGGTTCTGGAAGTGTGTGTGGGGGCTGTGGGGCTGTGTATGTGTGTGTGTGCATGCATGCATGTGCGCACGTGGACGTGAAGGAGTCTGAAGAGTTTCCGGAAACGGCTAGTTTTCTAGCTGCAATCTTCAGTTTGGTTGTTACACATGGAGTCCTTAATCCCACATCCACTCAATGACCCTCTTTAGAAGTACACTCATTTTAAAGAAATTCTTTTTTAAAAATTCTGCAAACATTTCAATTTATGGTAATTTGAGAAATGTTCTGAAAGGAGAAAAAAATCCCATCACATTCAAAAGGAAAATCAGATTCCTAAATTTCACTTTGATTTTTAAAATTCCTTTCATCAAATTCATAGTCTATCTTTAGTATATCAATTTATGAACAGTATGAGATTTGGATTCAGTGAATTTGATCAAAATATAGGACTCTTAATTTATTTGAGTACCCTTTAAAAACTTTTTTAGGAGAGAAAAGTCTCTTATGAGAAGAATTCAGTAGCATCAATTCATACTTTTTCTTGAAGAATTTCAAAGCCATTCAGATAAATAGCTATTAGGCATCATAAGAAGATTCGATATTGCAAGTTAATCATATTGTATGCTTAAAGACATTTTTGTAACCAGTTTTTCACTTTTTTAAGAATTAGAAATAGAGTGATTGAGTCTGGAATTCAAGGCAAAAGTCCTTTAAATTTTCATTTCAATATTGAGAATTATTAATACTATGTGATCACCAGAAATAAGAGAGTTAGCAATGGTTGTTGGTGAGGGAACTCAAGACGCCATCTAGTACAGTTACTTTGTTTTATATAGATTGGCCAGTTAGTTCCTTGGTCAGAGTTACCCATGAAGTTGGGCAGAGGGCCAAGGCCAAAGTGAGGTCCTGACTCCAAGGGCAGAGTTCCTTATGCTCCTTTCGCTTCCACATTGCAGCTTCTTGGGTAGGCCCCATTTTTCAACACAGGAAAGAAGCACAGCACATGCAACACTTCTAGAAAGGACAATTCCCTTCTCTACATAGGCAGAATTTGCAGCCCAAGCTTTTATCTCTGGAAGTAGCAAAGCCATGCTGTGTGCTGAGAGAGCCAGACCAACTTTCTCCATCTCCTGTAGAGCCATGAGGACCCCACAGTGCTGCCACAGAGGCTCTTCACTGGTACATGTTCTGAAGTTGGACATAAATTAACTTCCAGATGATAGCATGCTTAGCATCACAGTGTCTAAAGCACAGGCTTCTCAGGAAGAGATCTACAAAACCATAGGCATATATGATTGAACATTGCCACATGTAACACTGGACAGGAAATGCTCATTTGGGCATTCTGTGCTGAACATACTTAACTCTCCTGTATGCATTTAGAGATTACTTTGAAAGCTTGCTCCTGAAAGTCGAAATCAAACACATTTAAAATTCCTTACTGCAGGTTGATTTTCATTTACCCAGATTGGAAACCAAAACAGAAGCCCAGCAGTGATTTTTTTTTTCTTGGAATCGACAGCTAGGGAGGACTCTGAGAGCATTCACACAGGCCATCTGGTCTAGCCCTCATGAGAAATCTGTCCTGTTTTTCCAATTTGCACTGTGCAGCAACTACTTGTAAAGGCCTCTAAAGAAATATTGTATAATCTTTCACAGCAGTCATGAAAAAATTTGGCTCTTCTTTTTGAGAATCAGAATCATTCATTCAGCTCTAAAGTCCTCAGAGGAAGTGATAAGGTGAGGGTTTTCAGAATTGTTGTCTATTGCCTGGACTCCAACAGTCAAGTCAGGGAGAAAAATGAATATAAAAGATTAAAAAACAAGAAACCAAGGGCACAGCAACAAGACAAAGGAGGCACGTGTGGCATACAGAGGACTCCCACTTCCTTCTGATACCTGGGGAGGGAGATTCTCTCCCATTCTCATCCCAGCACCTGTTCATCAGATCTGGCCTGACTGTTCTACTACGAAACCATCCAAGGTAAAAAAAAATACTTCCCAATCACAAAATTCCTCTTTGCAATTGACTCGGCTTCTTTAAAGCTGCATCGGAAACTTCTTGTCCTGTCCTCTGTTGACGTGAAAATGAGCTAACTATAATTTTCTGCCTCATAAGGTTGCTGGTACTTGAAAACCGTTACTACAACTCAGCTTCCTAATTTCCAGAACGATACCAGCAGTTTTCTCCTAGATTTCATTTTCTGACTCCCAACTGTAACTATAACTCTCATTCAAACCCTCTATACAATGTCTATCTCTTCTTTCAGTCACTCAGTGCTGGATACAATTCCAAGTCAAAGTCTAGACTTTTCAGTATAGAATAGCAAGATTGGCTAATAACAGAAACATGGTATGTCCTTTCGTCTGCATGCCCTGGTCATGCTTCCTGTTTTAGAAGGAAAAAAAATGTTTTTCATATTTTGAATTATTCTATGAAACAATTTCTGTAAAACATTAAAAAAAAATCCTAACCTATTTATTAGAGTAATGGGGGATGACTATGCTGACACATAGCAATTCTTATGAGATATCAACTCGAAAAATTATAATGGTGACAGTTGAAGTTTCTTGGGTTAAAGAAATATGAAAAGGCCAAATTTGATGTATAGGTTTCAATGATAGTTGAGTATCCAGGTAGAAAGCTAACAACTTGTACTGTGATTAATTTGCTTTTTGATATATTCTTATAGATAATTTATTTTTAACATAGGAGGTTTAAATATAAATGCAACTGTATATGACTGCTATGATTAACAAGAAAAATTTTCTGTATGGGTAATTAACATCTTATAGGAGAATGCCCATGGAGGGGCTCAACTCCAGAAATTACAAGCACCGAGCTCCTCATGATTAGTTCATATCTACTGGAAAGCCCATCTGGTTTAACAGAGCTCTTATGTAAGAAATGCAAGATTTTTCCTGAGGAGCACATGCTAATAAGCTTCCTCTTTTCCATTAGCTTCCTCTTTAAACTAGGTTTTTATGTTTTGTTTTTTTTTTAAAATGTCTTTGGCCTGAGACCACAACAACAACCTTGTTATAAAAATCAACTGCGTAAATAACATGGCTTTAATGAATGCTACTCTCTTTCAACTCAAGAATCAGCAAAGAATTCCTCTGAGGCATTTGAGGAAAATAAACCTTTTGACTCACTACTCAATTTCCTATCTGTATATGCACAAGCACGTCTGCATGATAGTGTCCGTGCATTTACTTTAAAAAACTGAAAATGTTCAGAAGAAATCTTAGCAGCCTGATTTCAGAAGGTTTTCATCTTGATGAAGAACATATTTGTTTCATTTTAATGAAGAGAAAATAAATGAACTGCTACTCTAAAGAGACCCAAATAGAAAGGAGTTGGGAAATCCATGGTCTAACATACAACGTCTCACTCAATAATGGCTTATATTTCATTTCCAAGGAAGGAGTTTAAGGTTTCACTTTCACTCAAATACAGTTTCTCCAGAAGTGATCTTTTGGAAATCAAGAGGCTTGGATCTTAGTTCATAAAAGTTTGGGATAATTCCTTAATGAGAAAAACAAGTGGACATTTGCCAGAGAACTCCAAATTTCACCAGATATTTTTTCCTGAGGGCTTCAGCAGGACCTTCCGTGGGTTCTGTTTCAAAACAAGAGGTAATTTTTTAAAAGGGGGTACAGCAAGTATCCTTAAGAAGCAAAGCTGTAAATTTCACACTGTATTGGTTTCCTCTTGCTGCTACAACAGATTTCCACAAAATTAGTGTCTTAAACTAACACAGATGTATTATTTCATAATTCTGGAGGTCCAAAGTCTAAATTTAAAGTGTCAGCAAAGCTCCTTTTCTCTGGAGGCTTCTGGTTGGAAATCCATTTCCTTGCCTTTTTCGGCTTCTAGAGGTTACCTGCATTCCTTGACTCTTTCCTCCATCTTCAAAGCACATCATTCTAATCTCCAGTTCTGTCTTCACGTCTCTTTTTTTCTCACTTCGATTCTCCTGCCTGCCTCTTAAAGGACTGCTGTGATAACATCGAGCCCACCTAGGTAATCCAGCAAATCTCCTCACCTCAGAATCCTTAATTAATTCCACCTACACTGTCCCTTTTACCATAGAAGGTAATATGTGCGCAGTTTCCAGGAATTAGGACATAGACGTCTTTCATGGGCCAGTATACAGCCTGCCACCCATATCATGCAAAAAATGTTATATGGGAGAGGGGAGAGTTAAAGGAACCCTAAAGTATCAAGCATCATATCCCCAACACTTTTTCTAGAATCCAAGACTTGTCCAGGTGAAGCAAGGCAGCAAAAAGAATAATGGGATCATTGAAAATGCTGAGTGCTGGGGATTTTCTCTGAGTAAGGCTACAGCTTGGGTTTTGAATCAGAAATAAAACTCTCATTTACATTGTGTGGCTACAGTGTGGTAAAGTTTAAAGTTTTATCTTGGCCTTTGCAATTATTATTACAGCAGCTACTATCTGAATCTGCTCTGCTTCCCTCAGCCCCTCACTAACACCTACGAGGAGTATCTCTTTTTTCTTTTTTTGCTACCAAGACCTAAGTACAAACTAAATTAAGGGGTCAACATTAATTGAAAATCAATGGACAGCCACAAAGACCAAGCTGTAATTAAAATGCTCATGACTTAAAAATATATCTACCTCCAAATTTCATGACTGTAATCAGTGAGATATGGGAATAGAACTTCTTTCTAGCACTTGGGATCATGGGAGATGAAGCAGCGCATTCCCAGTGCATCTGGGAGGCTCTGTTCACATCACAGAATAGACCTTAACCCTTCCATAAAACTCACGCTGTCCCTGCTTTGTTCACATTGTCATAGCAGTGTTGTGGAGGAGAAAAGAAGGAGTTTATTATGACACACATTTTCAAATGTTTTAAATCTGATGTAGTTTCCCCTCTGTGAAGTTCTGTCTCACATGCCAATAGAAAAGCCTGGGTGTTCCCCAGTTCTTTCCAAAGACCTACAGCTCTCTTATCACTGCCTAGAATACTGGGCTTTGAAGGTTATACTCTTGATTTCAAATCATTTAAGTCTATATACTCTCTCTTGGCATGCAAGCAAAAGTACCAGATTGCATTATATCTGGGGAGAAATATTAGTGGTTACAAATCAAAGTGAGTTAGGAAAAGAGTTTTCTGGAAATTCAGAAATCAGGAGACTCAAGAGTTAAAACTCAACCTTTGCCTATAATTTAGTCTCTTGTGGCCAGATATTGTTTCCTGGAGGCTGTAAGAGACACAATGCTTGAGTAAGATGGAAATGAGGAAATGGCTCCTGGGGGACCTTGCTGATTGTGAACTCTGCTACCACCCTGACCTATAGTCTGGGAAGCAAAGCATGGGTTAGAATGCAATAATGGAGGAAGTCATTCTAAAATAGGGATAGGAGGATATTGCTCTAGAACCCCTCACAGGGCTAGGTAACTCCCCATGCACTTTCAGCTAGGTGGCATCATCTTTATATAGATAGGGCAGTGTATTTAGAGTCAACAGTGCACATCAAGCCCCTCTAGTACTACACTGAGGATAGTAAGGGGAAGAGCCTGACCTACTTTGCTGTCTTCCAAATTACTATCACCAGGGTCTGTATTCTGACTTAGAAAAGACATTTTGCTTGGGCCTAATGCAAATACAACAATGAAAATGTTGGTTCATGTTGACAGTAGAAAAGAAAAATAAGCAAATCGAAGTCTGCATATTTATTCTGCAGATGGATTCTGCCTGATTACAAGTCATTGATGATCATTAATGAAGCAAATGTGATGAGGTTAGTGTTTTTCAATTTCATTTCTTAGCAGCAAGGCAGTACTATCACACGACAATATCACTGAGAAAGTATTTGGCCTTACTTTAATAATGATTAATTTTAGAAATAGAACATTCGTAAAATGTTAGTTTATCATTTTGCTTGTTAGTATTCATGTTAAGGATATTAGCACAGTCTCTACTTATTTTGAGATAGAAATACTTTGGGGACAGGGTTTGACAAAAGACAAATGCTAATTATCAGAATGTCTGAATAACATTCTTTGCCAGTAAAATCATTCTTTATGCTGATTACCTCATGTCAACATCCAAACTAAGGGAATGAATAGTTTAACTACTATTATTTTATCCTTGAGAAAAACTCTGAAGGGGGAAGCAAGCGATGTTATGCCCATTTTAAGTTACCGCAACTGAGGCACAACATAAACAGAACTTAATGGTATATTATGTAGTCTAAATTATTGGACTTTTGATATCAATTCTAAGTTCAGACAGCTTCTGGCCTACTTCCTGTTATACTGACCAGCGTATGTTTATACTAATAGTGACTCAGGATTAAAAGGAATGTAATATTGGCAAATGACATTTCTGAACAAGGTTTTAATTTCCCTTGTTGGCATGTGGCAGTGGAATGTCCCCCATAATTACTCTGCTGAGAAAACCAGGGCAGAGGCAGGACTGGAGCAGTGTGGTGGTACAAAGAACATGCACTAAAGAGTTCAGGACTGATGCCAGAATCCAGAGGCTAACGGAAGGTTCAGCAGCCATTGCGGTTTTTTGTTTTTGGCAGTTCAAGCTATTAGAAATCTGCCTCAAGGGAGGAATAAAAGCATCATCAGGTGTTAATAGGTAAATTAATATCAAGCTTAAAGAAGTAAGAGATACTTTGAAGATGATTTTTATGGCAAGTATTTATCCTACATGTTTAGTCCATAATTTATATCGAGTATGTGAATGTGTGTGTGATGTGCGCTAAGGTGCACACACATACATGAGGTCATAGGGGTGAATGGCTCGGTGGAAGCATGGCATACTAGCTAAAGGGACTCGAGTATCAGTTTACTTCACTTTGTCTTTACTACCAGTATCTGTAAGATGGACTTGGTAATCTTTTTCAAGAGTTTCAGGATTGTTTTCATAATTGCAAGCGACCATATACCTGAAGTACCAATTACTATCCATTAAAATTGTCATTAATATCAGTATTAGCATAGAATGGGACAAATAGACAAGAAAAAAATTAAGTTCTGTGAACATATGATATCTTTGCAATAGGTCTTGTTATTTAGCTTTGTATGTGCATGGCTTCAAAATATTCCTGTTTTAATCATCCCCAGTCCTAGCACGGTGGCTTGGTATGTTGTAGGTGATCAATAAAGGATTGCAGGATGGATGAATGGATGCATGAGTGATCCAGTTTTCATAAGCTTCAAAGTCTTCTGTGGGATTGCATTACAATACAACCCTTTTGCTTTCCAGTGCAGGCTTAATTCTCTATGAGACTTGTCCTCTTCACATTCACGATGGGCTTCTTTCCTTTGGAAATAGGAATCCTATCTGTTCTTGACCTTGGTTACTGAATAGCCTGACCTATCCTTGGTGTCCCCCAAATTATTCTGCCATAATGACTGGAAACTAATAGTTGTACACAGTTTCTGTTATATCTACTTACACCCAGCCTTGTTCCAGAAAAGAATTTAAGGTGGCTCTCAAATTTGCATAGGTTACAAAAGAAAAGAAACCTAAAAACAACAGAGACAGGAGTCAAGGATGCTTGTGACAATTCATCCTACTATTTAGACACTAAAGAGCACACATGTCCTCAAGAAACATTTCCTGGTCATTGTCTGGGTAGTTGCAAAAGAGAAAGTGGAGCTGTGTGTGGGGTCCTTGGGAGACAATTGTGCAGGGACTGCTTGAGTCTTTGTTTTTGTTGGTCTGCTAAGAATGTGGGTCAGCATAAGGTAGCGATTCCTGAACTTATCACTTGATCCTTTACAAAGAGGGGGCAATGGAAGCAACATGGCTTGTGAAACTGTATTCCTTAAAGTAGTGAACAGATCAAGTAACAAAAAGAGAATATCTGCGTGGAAGCTATACAGTGGGGGCAAGTTATTGATATTGATACTTACAGGTTAGTATTGATCAATTAAAAAAAGTGATGTAACTATTCCAAAACTCTTAGAAAAACATGGATTTTGAGTGTTGATCTGATGTGGTGCACAGAAGGAGCTGAGTTTTCCCTGTGTGGCATGTTCAGTGACTCTGGCCTTTTCTCAAGGGGTGCAGTAGCCAGGAGACTGAATAGTCCAGGACTAGGCAGCAGGGCCACTTGAAATCCCAACTCCAAGTCCATTCACCAGGACCTG
Organism: Homo sapiens; assembly: GCF_000001405.40. NCBI lineage: Eukaryota > Metazoa > Chordata > Mammalia > Primates > Hominidae > Homo > Homo sapiens. Next base: position 156,306,364 of record NC_000003.12, read on the forward strand.
CAAAGAGCTACAACCTTTTCTTCGAGGTTGCATGAAGAAAGATGGGATCCTCCAGTTTGGTTGTACTGGGGTAAGTTTGGTGAGACCATTTGAAGATATTAACATGTGGTGTTCCTCCCTGCATCTCTTCACTTTACTACATTCAAGCAAGTAGCTTATGTAGTATTCTGCAAATACGTCCTTATTTGCAGAAAGTGTGTTTTCGGTGTCCAGATGTCTAAGTCCATTACAGAGAGTCAGGTTTGAAAGAAAAGGCATTTCCCAGATTAAGCTGAGATTCTGCTGGTTTGGTGGGAAGTCTGTGGGTCCCATGAGCCTTGCTCCCTGCAGCGTCCAAGGCACGTGATGGCCCTGTGGACATGGCCCTGTGACAGTGGAGAGACTGGATCCCCAGCTAGGGGTTTCCAACCTCTCCCAAGTTCTGCGAAGCCCCTGGTGTGGCTTGAAAGCAGCAGAACTGAGGACCATGTGGTCTGGGACAGCCATAGACAGATGACCAATGATGGGCAGAATCATCTGTAATCACGTGGTAAACATGGACAGAATTCCCTGACGCTGAAGAGTCTAAGACCCTGGGACCTTGACCCAATCTCAGCAGCATCAGCATGGAGGGAGGCGGTGAGGGAGTTAATATTGTGTAAAAATTAAATTTCCTTTTGGCTCGGTAGGAGGGAGTTCCTGGGTTGAAATTAAGTTAATTCATAGAAAAATATTAACATGTCATATGTCTTGCTACCTAAGTTTGTGACCTAAGATTCTAACTTGCTTCGTGTACATTTTGGAAGATGGAAGAGGAGAGCAGGAAGGACAATTCAGGCATCATTTCAAGATAGAAACCAGCCAGCCAAAGCATGGAGACAAAGATGAGGACATATGCTTCATACTGCAAAGAGACATGAGTCTCCAGACTTAGCCATTCAGAGACTATACTGATTTGATTTTAGAACAGAAGAGATTATTTTTATGAAAACCAGGAACTTCTTAAGTTTGGATTCTTTTCATCTTTTTTTTTTTTTATTGTTGGTCTACCTCCACAAGAAAAGAAATTATTTATTATGTTAAAAAGTTCCTCTTGCCAGTACACTTATGTCTCAAAAGAATGGTTAAATTGCTTTTCCACTTAGAGTTGGAACATGAACAAATTTTATTAAAATTGAAGTTGAGTTTGGTAGTGCAGGGCCAACTGTAAAAAGAAAATCAAGGGCTGTGAAATCATTCTGGTGCTGTCATTTCCCCTCTGAGAGAGGAGAACCCAAGGTGGCTCCATTCATCTCTGGGCCAAGGAAGGGGCAGATGTGTAAATGGGAGGCTGTCAACTGAGCACATTATTACTGAAATGTCATTACTCCAACCACGATGGAGCAGGAGTTACAGGGCAGGTCTGTCTAATTACTAAACTATTGTTATTAAAACTTTTCTCATATTAATTTTGATTTTTCAGAATACAGTAAGGCTGTACAGAATATAGTCTCTGAGCATGATGCTCAGAGATATGAATTCTTAACCGTATGATTTGGAGTCAGTTGATTCATTCAATAAACATTCCCTAAGCAGGCACTGTGCCAGGCACTGTTCCGGGTGTTGAGGATAAGGGAGTGAACGAAATAGCCTTGGCCTTTGAAAAGCTTATATTGTAGAAGAGGAGAAAAAGAAACAAGTAAATGTTTAGCATGTCAGGAGGTGATACCTGCTATGAAGATAAGCTGAGCAAAAGGTGGAAAGTTGTGGAGGGTGCTATTGAAATAGGTTGGGCAGGGGACATTATTTGATAACTTTCAGTAATAGATTGGAAGAAAGTGAGCAAGTGAGCCTTTGAGTATCTGCGAGAAGATCAATCCAGGCAGAGAAAAAAGCAAGTGCAAAGGCCTGAGTGCACATCTGAGGAACAATCAGGAGAACATTAAGGTTAGAATGGGCCAGATATTGAGGGCCCTGTGGGCCATGGTGAGGACTTTTCATTTTATTCTGGGTGAGTGAGATGGAGCAGGATTTTGAGCTGAGGAGTGATATTATCCGACTTGGGCTTCCTAAGGATTGCTCGGGTTTCTTGGTGAGGAATAGACTGTAGGGGCATAAGTGTAAGCTGAGAAGTCAATAAAAAACAGTGTGTAGTCAGTTCATGAGGACGATGGTGGCTTGAATTGTGGAGGCAGGGATGGAAACAGTGAGAAGCTGTAGATAAGCCCATGATGATAATGATGCAGTTCTCTCACATATGGAGCTTCTCTTCTGGGGCTGCCCACTGTAGTGTTTAGCCTTGAGTTTGAATCCAGCACTGCCACTTATACGTTCTTGATGCTGGCCAAGCTTTTCATCAGTGAAATGAAGATCATGACAGTGTCTGTCTTACAAGTTGTTAAGAGGATTGAATGGAAGGCTTTGCACAGCACTGACTTTAGCATTCTGGCACTTTAGTTTTATCATGTTAATGTTAGAAAGCATCAGGAGTTTTGTCATCATGTTTCTTTGTTCTGAACAGCTATTTTTAAATGGATGGTGCATTTTTCAACTGATGGAACATTAGAATTTAGGAAATATATAATATAAAACTAAAAAAATTGGCACACACACTTGTACTGATAATTTATTAGCATTAGCTTTCAGATTTTCAATAAAAGTTATTTTTTCCCTTTTAATTGGGGGTCCATTACTTATTTTTCTGCTTTTTCTTCTTCTAAAAAGAAAAAATAATCTTCCCTCCAGTTTCAAAACTGGAAATCAAACATTTCATCTGGAAATGTATTAGAAATTTATTTTTTTCTTGTCTTACCTACTTCTCTCTGGCTCCATACTGAGTTGTAAATAATATATCAGTTTTTTAAAAATAAAAAGCAAATACCTAATCATATGGGTGTTTTGTGTCTCTGACACTGGAAATATAAATTTTAAATCTGACTTGTCTGAGTTTTTGATGAACAAAACTAATATTGTGTATCATGTAGATACAGCTTTATTAGCCTGAATGAAGCTGCAGTTGTCTTTACCACAGAGGCCTCAGCCCTCTCTAGCTTTTATGTGGCAGTGGGAAGCCAACACAGATGCCAGCACTGGCTCTCAGGGTCTATAAGCCCATGCTGTTCATGTTCCATTCAAGTCAACAAATCTAGTTTTTATCTGTTGTGTGCATAGCACCATGATAGGGTTTCTGCATAAAGCAAAAGAAATATTGAATGCTACTCCTTTCAGCTTTTACCTTTACTGGGGAGACAAAATTTACCTGCTTAATGAGTCGAGAACAATGTTAGATAATGTAAAGTAGATTGCCCATTAAAATTAAAATAATATATCAAACGGAATGTTACAAACCATGGATACCAGCTCACACAATCTTTGTGATCAGCATCAAAGAAAGAGCTGGCCTATGCTTACGAAAGGAGTGGTGTAAAGGCTGGCAGTCCTTGGTCCTGCTGCCCTGTTTGTGATCAACCACATTATCAAGTGTCACAAGCCAGAGATTGCAGGGGCAGAAGAATTCTAGGAACTAAAGAGAATTAGTTCTAGAATTCTAGAATTGTAGGCCTTCACAATTCTAGGAACTAAAGAGAAAGCCAAGTGCCTAGTGCAATGTTTTCTATTGTTCAGGGAGTGAGATTAGTCCTGTGCGTTCTGTTCACACAGCTGCCAAGTACCTCCAACAGGGCTTGTTGAGTGATGAGATTTCAGCAGAATCAATCTTGGCACCATCTCCATCTTCTACTCTGCCCTCAATTTAATATAAAGAAGCAAACTGGAGAAAGAGTGAACGAGAGGACTCTTTGTGCAGTAGTGCAGTGGTCTTTCTCCCCTCACTAATCCTCCTCAAAAAAATGGGGTATTTCTCTCCCTGCCCCCAAGCCAAGAGGGAGACTCCAAGAGAATCACTTATAAAACTTGCCATGACTGTACAACATCTTTAAAATCCAAGATGGTGATGGAATGCCATCTTGATAGTTTTCAAGCCACTGGCTGCTGTAGGGTGTGGAGGAAGGGTCAGGAGAGAGATGGGTGGTATGACATGGGGCAAAGGCATAAGTATGAAGAGTTGTGAAAACAGGATCCCAATTGGTCCTGCAGGCCCTGAACACTGAGCCCAAAGAGATGAGTTTGCAAGCTACAGACTTCTGGGTGGGACAGGGTAGGTATGCACCAGAGGAGTTGATAAGAAGCTATCAGCTTACCTGCTGGGCATGGTGGCTTACGCCTGTAATCCCAGCACTTTGGGAGGCCAAGGGGGGCAGATCACGAGGTCAGGAGTTCGAGACCATCCTGGCTAACACAGTGAAACCCCGTCTCTACTAAAAAGTACAAAAAATTAGCCGGGCGGGGTGGCGGGTGCCTGTATTCCCAGCTACTCGGGAGGCTGAGGCAGGAGAATGGCGTGAACTCAGGAGGCGGAGCTTGCAGTGAGCTGAGATTGCGCCACTGCACTCCAGCCTGGGTGACAGAGCGGGACTCCTCTGACTCAAAAACAACAACAACAAAAAAGAAGCTATCAGCTTATCTCATAAAGGGTCCCACCTCCTAAGAATTGTCCACCAGCATCCACTGTTGGGCTTCAAGAAAATGAGCTAGGGCAGCAATTAGGGCCCAGATGTGGGGAGGACTGGAACTCTCCATGGGCAGAGCAGAAAGGAGACTCCTCCATTTTCTTCATTTTCTTGGATCAACACTATAAGCAGGTGCAAGTGAAAGAGGAGATGGTGTTCGAGGAGCAGAAGACCCCCCACCCTTCTTCTCCTGCTCTTAATGTGCCAGTAGCACTGGATTAGGGTAGGATCAGGGATGGAAAGAGATGGAAATATGAATTAAATATGAGGTCAACATGTTAAAAGCAGCAGGGCTGAATCTTAGAACGTGGTTTAAGAAAAGTGATTTAAACGTCATGGAATTGAGCCAACAGAGGCTCAGTGGAAGCTATCACCCTGTGGAAAAGAGAGAGAGGGTTCCAAGAAGTTGAGTTGAAAGTTGTGAGCAGGAAAATAAAACCAATTGATGTTTATACCCTAACAAGTTAAGGCAAGAGTATGTGTTGTGAGAAAATAGGAAAGGCAAAGATGAATTTTGACCAGAGAGTTATCAAGAAGGCTTCAGGGAGAAGGTAGGGGTTGGGTCCTACCACTGAAGGATAGGTCGTGGGTGAATGAAGTGGGGAGAACAGGTGAGCTGTGTGAGGTGGAGGGAGGACTAGTCTGCCTGGAGCAGAGGCATGGGGAGTGTGACAAGTTGCACCCATGCGCAGACCTGGGCCAGCGGTGGCCAAGCTTCCACAGGAGGAATTTGGCCTCCATCAGAAAGACAATGGGAGTCATTGCATATTCTTTAGCACTGAGTGAGTGGTCCAATAGGAAGGGTGCCTTAGGAAGATGGCTGGTGTGTGAGAGAGAGAAGAAGCAAAGGTGCTCCTTAGGAAGTTATTCCAAACCTCTGGTGTGGGGCTAAGGGACACATCAATACGAGTGTGACTTGTTACTCCTGAATCTTTCCTCAGCCCCATTTATTGACTGCAAATAGTGCAGTGTGCACTTAAGGCCCTTCGTTTTAAGTATTTAAAGGGTTCACTGGGTAGGCAGGCTCTGCAGCCTGTTGACGGCTATCCATTCATAAGCTGCATGTCCCTACCTGGGCAGCAATCAGCTTTGGAGCACCCCACTCATCACACATTTTGTTTATGTTACTTTTCGTTCTCCTGTTATCTATAATTTTAAACTGCCGTGTGCTCCCCCAACCTTGCCTTGAAATGCATTAGTAACTATGGGAACATGATGCTATTAGAACGAGCAGAGCTTAGTGACATGCACAATTGCAGTGTTAAATTGGTTTTGAGATGACTGGCAGTGTGGATGCTATTGCTGAGTAAAATAGGCGACAGGTATTGTGACTATATTAACATAGACCATCACCTCTGGTGGAAGACATGGATATTAAACTTAAGACAGAAATCAGGGCTACATCCTTATCTTGAAGAAGACATGTTCCCAGAGGTTTTAAATAGCGTGAAAAGTGAACTATTGAGAGTTCCAGTAAGAAGGAGACTTTTCATGTGCTAAAACCAACAAAATTTCCCCAAAATATGTAAGTATGAATGCCCATTGTGGCTATGTCAAATATTTCATAATACCAGCACTTCGGGAGGCCGAGGCGGGTGGATCACTTGAGACCAGGAGTTTGAGACCAGCCTGGCTAATATGGTGAAACCCTGTCTCTACTGAAAATACAAAAATTAGCTGGGTGTGGTGGTGCTTGCCTGTAATCCCAGCTACTTGGGAGGCTGAGGCAGGAGAATCGCTTGAACCTGGGAGGTGGAGGTTGCCAAGATAGCATTACTGCACTCCAGCCTAGGTGACAGAGTGAGACTGTCTCCAAAAAAAAAAAAAAAAAAAAAAAAAAAACTCATAATAATGAAATTAGTTCTATGTGCATTCGAGTGGTCAAATTCTGCTATAAAGAAAAAGATTACTGCAGACTCAAAAGATGCAGGTTGACTGCTCATTTGGCCCTCTCCCCAAGGTTTGTGGAAATTTCTCTCAAGGCAGGGAAGGTGTTAACAACTGCCTCTTCTGACAGAAATGGCCACTAGCCTGGCTCCAGCTGGATCAACTAGCCCTGAGGAATTTGTCCACTTTGTGAGCACTTCTCTCCCTGTCTTGTGTCTCCTCAACCCTGCACCTCACCCAGTATTGCAGACTGGATCTTTTTGCTTCACATTTCTGTTTCTTAGGAGGTATCGATGGTCTTATACTTCCACAGCATTAGTAGCAAACAGCAATAGCTCAAATTTATACATTTAAATGAAATCCAATGAAAGAATTTAAGCAAATTCTGATTAACAGTAGACAGTGTAAAAAATAGTATATTATTATCAATTCACTGACATATTTGCTGGATTCAATATTAAAATGGACTAGAAAAAAAATCCAAGTGTTCTGAAAACATTTCCTCCCACCCCTATTTTTTGGCTACTGTGGTAGGTTGAATAATGATCTCCCAAAATCCCTGGACTCTGTGCATGTTCATGGCAAAAAGGACTTTGCAGATGGGATTAAATTTAGGATCTTGAGACGGGAGATTATCCTGGATTATCTGAGTGGTTCTTAAGTGTAATCACAGGTATCTTTACAAGAGTGAAGCAGAGGGATATTTGACTACCAAAGAGCCAGACAGAAGGCGATGTGATGATGGAGCAGTGAGAGATTGAGGATGTCATGCTGCTAGCTTTGAGATGGAAGAAGGGGCTGAGAGCCAAGGAGTGCAACTATGGAAGCTGGAGAAGGCAAGGGAAATGGATTCTTTCCTAAAACCTCCGGGAGGAATCAACCCCGTCTGCATCTTGACTTTAGCAAGTCAAGACTTGACTGAGTTAGGGATTCTGCTCTCCACAACTGGAAGAAAGTAAGTTGGTGTTGTTTTAAGCCACTGTTTTTGTGATAATTTGTGATAGCAGCAATAGGAAATTAATAGAGGTACCCGTCATCATGTTAAAGCATCAAGTTAAAGCACAGAAAATGGAGGGAAAAATATTGTCAGTGTTTGAGTGACCAGAGTGTGGCGTGAAATTCCTTTTTTGAGCACTAGCTCATTTTCACAGTATTGATTTAAGCTCAAAGCCCCCCTTTTCCATGTAGCCTTCTTTCCCCATCTGGTTAGAAGTATTCTCTGTCTCTCACCTCTGTGTGTAACACTCCCATTCCACCTATTTTCTGCTAGGCATAATTACTAGGTATCTGGCATATAAACCTCTTATCTGCCAATTCATTAGTAAACTCCTGCAGGGCAGGGATCCCAACTATACTTTCCTTTGATTCATTCAACCAGTATTTATTGAGCATATGCTATATACTGGGCACAGTTCAGAGCACTTGAGGGGCAGAGTTGGAGGTGAGAGTAAAAAGGCAAAAATGTAGTACATGTATTTGGTATGTTAGGTGCGGTGTCAAAAATGTACAGGGGTTGGGGTCCAGTGTTAACATGCATTGGGTTGTTACTATGTGTCATGCATGTTACCAAGTGCTGATGTTTATTCTAATATAACGCTCCCAACTTCCCTATAAGGTTAGTGCTATTATCTCCATTTTATAGATAAGTAAACAGAGGCTCAGAAAGGAATTCTATCAAAGGCCACCCAACCTGCCTGACTCCAGGGGCCAGCCTCCCCACCATTCTGCATTACTGCCTCCATAAGCCTACCCAGCTAGGAAGCAGTATGGGCAGGATTGCCGAGGATGAGGAAGCCCCATGGCCCTGAGCCAAGATCTTTTACGTCAGAAACACTAAATGCCAAATGCCTATTTTCTGATTAAAAGCTGGTCATAAGTTAAAGACATATGACAAGTGCATAGGTGACTTTAGCTCAAGATGCAAATAATTAATTGCCCTTCAATTTCTATTACAGGCTGAGTGCAGTGGCTCATGCCTGTAATCCCAGCACTTTGGGAGGCCAAGGTGGGTGGATCACTTGAGGCCAGGAGTTCAAAACCAGCCTGGCCAACATGGTGATATCCCCATCTCTACTGAAAATACAAAAATTAGCCAGACATGGTGGCACATGCCTGTAGTCCCAGCTACTTGGGAGGCTGAGGCAGAAGAATTGCTTGAACCGAGGAGATGGAGGTTGCAGTGAGCCGAGATTGCGCAACTGCACTCCAACCTGGGTGACAGAAGGAGACTCCATCTAAAAAAAAAATTATATTGCAACATTTTCTCGGGTCTCCAAAAAATCTGGCATCACGTAAGCAAGAGGCAGGAAACTGGTACATACTTTGTCAATAGGACAATTGCATTACCAAATAATTACATGATATTTCCAACATCAGAGAATGAGTCAGAACTATGGCCAAAGGAAGGTGAGGCTTGTCTCAATGGTGCTATGCGAGTGCCTGCTTTTTTCTCTTATGGTGGCCAGCCTGCCTTGCCAATGGAAAAGGAGGCCATCATCATCTATCTGTAAGCAGGGGTTGGGAGTACTGGGGTATAGGCTATAGTACACTCAGGCACTCAGGGGCTCTGGATTTGCCTCTGCTAGATGATGTGGCATTAGCCAAACCGCTGAGGTTCTTTGGGAGCCCATCTGTCCACCACTTCCACAACCAGGAGCACCTTGCTCACTGAGGTCCCTGGAATTCCTCATGACCTGAGGCTTTACAGATACAAGCACTGGTTCTCATTCCAAGGACCTGTGTCCTGGAATATTATCAAATATCTACTTACCTCCAAGCTGATGTAAAGGAGTGGAATCCATGTTTTTACTATCCCTTACAAAAGCTTTTTTTTTTAATTTCAATCATGACTACTATGTATTTGTATCTCAACTATAGCATAAATGAACCCATTTAAGAAAAACGTTTCTCATTATCTATTCATGTGGGATAAAACCACTTTATAAAAGTATATCTTCATATCTATATTATCATATTCTCTAAAGTTATAGATATGTCTTGTTACACAGAGAACTGATAATGGTGAATACAATTTTCTTACTTTCTAGAATGGTTGAATGTGAATGTGGGGTCCTAATGTTTAGAACATATAAAATTTGAACTGTACATTGAAATATGGGAAAATAATAGTAGATAACCTGACAACATGTTTGTATCATAGAAGAATAATGGTATTCTAATCTACAGAATAAATAAAAGAGAAATTCCGTGTGTTCACATGCACACACATATACATAAATATATACAGAGAGATCTATATCTTAATACAGTTACAAATGGTACAACTCAAAAAAACTAGTTTACATTTATGTAGCAGTCACATCCTTTTAAGGTTGTTTCACATCTCTTTTCTCATTTTTATTCTTACAAGAATCCTGAGGAGTTAAGTGGAACAAGTCTTATTTCCCGCATTTTATAGATGATGAAGCCAAGGCACAGAGAAGCCAGGTGGCTTAGAAAACCAACACCCACCCCCAGCCAAGCAGTGGTAAAGTCAAGTCAGCTCTTTACTGGGCTGGAAGCCTAGACTCTTTTCTTGACACCTCTGCAGAAAATCAACATAGTAGTGACTCTGTTCTAGAAAGTATACCATATTGGTTAAGAGCCTGGGCTGAGGGAAGATCTAAGATCAAATCTTGACTCTAGCATTTACCAGCTGTGCAATCTTGGATGTGTCCCATAACAGGTCAGTCTCAGTAGTTTTCAATCTATAAAATGGGAACTGATTGTACTGTACTTTTCAGGGTTCATAAAATAGATGACACATTCAAAGTAATTGAGAAAATTTAATAAGGGATAAAAGTGTAGGCAGAGTTAAGGGCAGTCAACAAAGGACAGTAAAGCATCCTGTGGATAGCAAAGCAGCTCCCAACCCTGAAGAGGGGAGCAGCTGCCAGCAGCTGAAGAGAGGGTGGTGCCTGTGGAAGAGGGCCCCTGCCAGGAGGCAGGTGACAAAGAGAGGTGCCAGTCCTCAGCCCAAAAGAGCTCAAGTTGGGAGAAGAAATACCAGACTTTACTCTCATCTTACTCTGGGAACCTGACAGAAGCCAGAAGACATGGGAACTCCAAAGATGAAATCCATGAAGGTCAGAGCCCAGGCCACAAAGCAGGGTAAAGAGAGATGGAGAGTGGATCTGCAGAAGCAAATGGAGAATAACCTGCACACAAACCCCGTCTCAGGGTGGAGGCTGGGACGATTATATGAGATAAGATGAGAGAAATGACTAGCACAGGGCCCAGAGCATAAGTTCTCAATAAATGTTAGTTGTTAGAATGATTCTTCTTATTATTATTCCCATTAATATTTGGTGGTGTTTTTCAGTTTCAGGGAGATATTTTTAGAATCTTGGCTGAAAAGAACCGACTTTGATCTGCAACCTAGAATAATTATTCTACTCAGAGGTGGGATAGGTTTGTCAGCAGTTAGAAATACGATTCTAGACATATCCACAGGACTAATTCATAGGCTTATAAAGGAACTTTTGCATGTACATTTTCACATTGCGTCTGGTGACAGTGTAATTAAGATTATGTCAGGGTTTCCATTGTGTCTTGCTATTTTCAAGCTTTTATAACTTGGTTATAAATTTTTGCCCTGGCAAAAACTTGGCTTACTATATCTCAGCCTTTAGATGAAATTTTTTACAGAGAAAAACAATCTGTTAATTGTCTTTCACTTGAGTAATGGAATATATGTGTGTTCATTGTGGGTGTAGATGTGTGTGTATATCCATCCATTAATACGTGTGGTAATAGCTTTGATGTTTTGTCTTCCTTCTTCCCTATCTCGATGCCATTAACCCTGCCACTTAATAAAGGAAATGACTCAAAAAGATGACTCATCCACAATTCCACCTAGCGGAAGAGAAGAAACAAAGAGCAAAAGAGCAGGAAAAGGCAGAAGGGAAAAGAATGGCTATATGACAGATGATTTACAATAGCCTTGCAAATAATTTTTTAATGTATCCCAGCCCTCACACTTTTCACAAAGTCAGTTCCCATTGGAGCTGAAACACGTAACCATTACTCTGCACCCACATGTCTTCTTGGATTTACTGGGAAGGAAAACAATGACTGAGTTAGCAAATAACATTGTAGAGCAAACAGGACCTTCCAGCAATATTAGCATATTGCTTCCATTAAAGCAATATGCTAATTCCCATTCAACTGCTCAACTGAAATTTTAGGCAGGTAGTTAGATATCTAAGATACCTAAGGTAGAGGTACTCCTGGTTATTTACAAAGCTAATCTGCATCTCCAGAATAAAAAGCCAAGCCTGCTTTAAAAGCAGTGACAGAGAGGTAAAAGGAACAGGAAGAAAGCCAAGGAGACCTCAAGTGTGCTGGGTGTCTTTCTTTCTTTCTTTCTGGAAGAGTTCAGTCAAGTGAGAGACAATAGGACTAAGCAGGATAGGGGGCAAAAGCCTTTGCTTTTTAATATACATCCATAGCTCATGATTTTCTATAACATACTTGAAAATACTCAGTTTTCATTTTGGGTTGGATATAAATTTAGAATCGTGGTTGTTAGAAATAAAGGTCTCTGAGGGGTCATCACAAACTCACAGGCCCACAGGGTCCAGGCAGGCAGAGTGAGTGCCCCCGTAGGCCTCTATGAACCTAAAGGAGCAGACCACATGCCCTATCCACAGGGAGTGGACCCCCAGCTTCCCAGCAACTGTTGCTTTGTTGGAATATGGACCCTATGCTGCCAGATCTTCCAAATATTCAAGAGAAGCTGGAAATCTTCTCAAATGTCAACTCCATGAGGGCATGGAGTGTTTTGTCTGTTTGTTTGTAAGTGTGACCCTGGTGCCTATAAGAGCGTATGGCACACAGTAAGCTCTCAAAAAGGTTTTGCTGAATAAATACATGTAGAAAAGAAAGTAGACAAGCAAGCAAGCTGGATTTTTATGTGAATGCTCTTAAATTTTAATGTTGACAAATAGATTTTTGTTTTGCATGGCTTAATTAAAAGTAGGAGCCCACTTCTGGGAGGACCAAACAAAACTAATCTCAGGGCTAGTTGCGATTTGTCACGAAATGCTACTTGGCCATCTCATGTCTAATTCAAGTTCTCTGTGCTGCAGACAAGAAAACCAAGGCCCCAAGACATTAAGGACTTGTTTAAGGGTCACACAGATGATTAGTGGCAGAGCCAGTAAACCAGTTAACTAACCTTCATCTTTAAATTTTCCATTTATAGCTTTTTCTTCCTTCATACCTTGCTGTTATTTCAAAAATAAATACAAAAACAAAAGCAAAAGATTAATAAATAAAGTTATATTCCTTTATAAGATTTCAAAGTATAGCCCAAAGCTTTACAATTAAAAGATAAGTTGCAAGGGAACATGGAACAACTTAGAAAGATACAGGAGGAACCATCCCTCCTGTGATTTTTCATACAGTCAGCCTGGCAGTGAAATAAGCTCTCCTTTCCAATATTTTGTCAGTTAGAGTAGTCCAGGTTATGCTGCAGGTGCAAATAGCCCCAAGATCTCAGCAGCTTTAAGCACAAGGTTTAGTTTTTGCTCACACTACATTTCCTTCATGGGTCCACTGGAAGTTCACTCTGCATTGTCCTTACCCTGGGACCCAAGGTGGCATTGTCCATTGCTGTGGCAGTCTAATTAAGTGAGCATGGCAAATGGTACACTGGCTGTTCAAGCTTCTCCCAGAAGTGATGTTATCACTTCTATTCATTTATTTTTGGGCCTTGTAAGTCACATGGCCATGCCAAACTTAAGAAGGGCAGGGAAGTACAATCCTACCATTTGCTGGGAATGCAGGGGGCCAGAAACACTGGTGAACAGTGCTGTTGATTACCACACACAACTTCACCTGCAGAGCTCAAGAGCCCTGTGAAAAGACACTATTTTCCCTCAATGCATTCTTAGTTTTAGATGATGTCATGAAATGCACTGACTATATCTACATTTTTTCCCTAAGACTAGTGAAAGGAAAACCAAATGTTCTGCTTATCCACATCTCCTATTGGATATTCTCCGTTTTGCCCTCTCTCCTTTAAAATTGTTCCAAATAACCTGGTAATCAAGTGCTTAACCAGATGGAAGGAAACAAAAACTTAGAAATATAGCTTAATTGTAAGTACCATGTTACTATTCTGGGTTTCCAAGTAAGTATACCATCTGCTTTGATGAAGTCCAGTTTTAATGTAGATCATACAGGCCCTCTCCAACTTCGTGAGCATCCTATCCACATAATCAGCCTGCACACTGTGGGCAGGAGCAGGGCTACATCCATCCTGGAAAATGAAGTGTTTTCAGGTACATTATATTTCCTTTCTACATTCTCTGAGGACTCCCCAGGCCATCAGACAGTGCTGTGCACAGGGTGTCAGGGAGCCATGCTTAGCTACTGTGTCCTAGCTGCACTGATAAGAAAAATTTTGATTTGTCAATAATTGAGTTACCCTCAGTTATGCTGCCCTGAATCAAAGCTATTTTCTCTCCTTAATCTAAACTGCGAGCTCCTCAAGGGAAGTACATTTTCCTTAAACAAAATAAACAAAGGCTTACTTGTTTCTGTACTCTTAGAATCTACATAATCCTACACAAAAGATTTATTAAATGAATGAATGAATGGTGCAAGCAATTGATATGAGCTTAAATGCACTGAAAGAAGTTCTTCGCCCAAATATGTTTTATTTGAGGACAGCTTCCTTGGAATTGAGAAAGTGGTGAGAGCCCATACAGAATTCTTGGTATTCTCACTGTGTACAATTCATTTTCTTTTGCCATTTTCCCACAGAGAACATTTGGGAGATCTCAGAGAAAATCTAGAAAGTGGGAGGCTACCGCAGCAGGACTGTGTCCAGTGAAAGACTGGCATGGTGGGAGGCAGAGGGGAGAGTACCAGGAATGTTGCTGAAATAGCTCTTGCTCGTCCCTCTGTCCTTATTGCTCTGGGCTGGCCTACAAAGACACCTCCACAAGGCCTGTCCAGTGGGCTTTGGGAAGCATGGGGAAGTTCTCCTCTCCTCACCATCACGTGTCCACATCTGCCTCCTGCTGCAGGCATCCCCAGATTAGAGGAGGGCATGCTATTTGCTAATAATAATGGCAGAATAAGTCAGCACAAGTGCCTGGCCCAGCACAAGTGCTTGCTTGTCTACTTTTTTTTTTTTTCTACATGTATTTATTCAACCAATAGTCTTTGAGAGCTTACTGTGTGTCATACACTCTTATAGGCACCAGGGTCACACTTACAAACAAACAGACAAAACTCCAATATTATTTGCTAATATTAATAGCAGAATAGGTCGGCACAAGTGCTTGGCCCAGGAAAGAGTGGATGCTGGAGCCCAGTAAGAGAAACTTTTCCCAGACCCCTGTCTGTAGTGCACACTTTTCCTTTCTTTTCTTTTCATTCACATTTAGATAAAATGTTCTTTAGAGCAAATGTTTCTGTGCTGGGCATGGTTTTTTGGTTAAGATTCCTGAATTCCCTGTCTCAAGAATGGCTGCTGTTTGGAGAAGTATAGGGAGTGAAAATGTGGCATGCAAGCCAATCACACCCAGAGGAACCAGTGCAAAAGCAAACACAGAGCCCTTTTTATGTGCAAGATGGGTAATATTGGCCCATTATATCCTCAAGCACATCTCTGAGGCAAATACTCTATTATCTCATTCTAAAGATGCACGAACTCAGAGTTCAACTTGTCAGGACCAAAAGCTACTGAGCGATGGTATTTGAACACAAACAGCACTGCTCTAGCATTCTCAGCTGCGATACTAGGCTTCCTGCTTTATATCCTTTTTCCCTTATGCTTCCAGTTTTTCTTTACAAGAATATACATTTCAGAACAAAGATTTATGTGGGTATTTTGGGAATGCATATACCTTTTATACAATTTATAACATTGTTTTAATATCAAAATGCATTCTGAGTTCTAAACTCTCAGCTTGCAAATAAACTTTTGGGTCTCACTCTATTTGTAAGCTGGATTTTGTTTTTGGTTTTTAATTTCATTTTAAATTTTAGGTAGTTAAAACTGTGTTTTAAAGAAACCAGGCAGTCTGGTTCCAGAAAGTCAAGATCCTTTAACATACCTTAGAATTTAAAAGATAGATCTTAAGAGATGCATCTTACTTGTTTGTTACGTTCCAAAATCATTGCATACAGAGAAAACCATGTGTCAAAACTACCCTTGAAAATAGGAAGGCTCCACACTAGAAGCCAACTTAACCACCTCCAATGTGGGAACAAACTATGGTTACTTCTGCTGAACACTAGGTGAAGTAGCCAGCATTTAGGGACACAAACAAGTGCATAACTTCAGGATCCCTTCAGCCTAGTGAGATGCTCACTCGCACAGCGACAGTCACAAAGGACTGGGTCCAGCTGAGCAAACACAAAGGGCAGATTCTCCCAGCTCATACTCGTCCCAGAACAGTTCTTAGATGAAGGAAACCACCAACAGAATGGTTTTGATTATTCTCCTGTCACTTTTCTGCCCCCAGTGTGTTTTATCAAATTTGAATATGTTAAATGAACGTTTGATGTGACTGAACTCAAAATATGTACAGTCAGCCCTTTGTAGTTATGGGTTCTGCATCCAGGGATTCAACAAACTGCAGTTTGAAAATATCTGGGAAAAATAAAAGAACAGTTGGATCTGTACCAAACAAGTACAGACATTTTTCTTGTCATTATTCCCTAAACAATACAGTGTAACAACTATTTACATAGCATTTACACTGTATTAGGTATTATAAGTAATCAGAGACTATTTAAAGTATACAGGAGGTTGTATGCAAATACTACACCATCTTAACTTGAGCTTCTTATATCCATTGTAGGTCCTGGAACCAGCCTTGCACAGAGACCGAGAGATGACTATATATAGTGATGCAGGTCAATAGGAAACTTAGGGTCTGAGAATGATTTTAAGATAATCACAAAAGCATTCTAATTCTTATTCCTTTACCTGCTTCTGTAGAACATTTTAATATTTAACAGAACCACTGGTTTCCAAGGGATTCCCTTTAGAAATGCAGTATTAAGAGACGGAGGCATTACTGACTGCTCCAAGTACTTCTGGGGTTCCGATACCTCTTGCCTAATGAGCCTCTTAGCCCATGTCAGTTTTTAAGTCCACATATCTGAGGAGACTACACTATAGGAGAAGCTGCTTGGATTTTGAGTGATCAGCTCTTCTTTTATTAGAAGATGATGCTACCGATGTGCCAAGAAGAAGCTCATATTTTAAATTATTTTTCCAAGAGTGTGAATCTGCACCAATCAGCAACACCTTTCTACTAGCATCCGCTTGGTGCACTGATCAGCAGGCCCTTTGCCTTAGTTGTGGATTTACCTTCTATTATTTGACTCCTAAATTCTTCTTAATTTTTTTAAGATTGGGGGCTCACCTATGTAAGAAATTAATTCTTTTGTTACTCATATTGGTGTATAAATATAAGTGGTTTTCAGGAAGATTCTTTAGGTAAAGTGGTAGATATGAAGGACCAATGACTGGAGTGGGTTTTCAAAGTGTCCTTTGAAAAAGCATAAAACTGAAATACTTGTACTGTTTCATTGGTGTTCGGGGAGAAATGACACTTGCATTTATTAGACTTCTCCTTTATCCAGTGTATACAGATTTGTGTTTATTTACATCATCCCAGTAGAACTCTATGTCATAAAACTGTAAAAATGCTTAACTCAATCATTCATGTACTTGGTTTTATCTTCATTCTGTCTGTACATTGACCCCCATGTCCTAAGTCTTTCAACCATTAAAAATAGTATTAGAGAAGTATTTTTTAAACAAATCCCTTGATCCTATGTGAGATCTGTGTCATTCTGAAGAGAGGATGTGAGGTGTTTCTTTTATGTTGGTAAAGGTTGAGTTGCCATGGTAATGACTTATTGTGCAATATTGGGAGACGTGCTTTAGGAACATGGCATGTGGCAACCCCATATTGGGTTCCTGTTATTATAGTCGTGTCATACCTTGACTTTTCTTGGTCCCAAACAATCTTTCCATCTTTTATACTATCCGGAATTTGCATTTCTAGTGTAAAGCTTCCTTTTTACTGCTTCCTGTTGCTTTTAGAACAACCAAAAAGAGAATTATTATGGAAATGGCTTTTATTAAGTATGATAGAGAAACAAAGTTCCCATGATTTTTACAGCATTTTCAAACATGTAGAGTGCTTTGCTTTTAATTTCTTCAGTTATGCATTGTTACTACTTTTTAAAACCAAGGAACATCACATAGAACAATTATCAAAAACCAGAATAATTTATTTTGCTTTTTTTTTTCTCTCACTTCCTCAGGACTGCACATATGTTTCATGAAAATACATGAAGAATTAGGTGTGCTTTTAGGGTATGATCAGAAATGTGAGTCTGAATTAATAGAAAAATTGAAACCATAATCTAAGCCCTGCTATATCAGCATCTTTTTTAGCTGAATGGATAGACATGTATTTTCACTTAAATAATTCAAGTTCATCCTGTCCTTGGCAACAGTTTGGTTCTCACAAGCCTTTAGAGTCCAAGCTATATTTTCTATATTAGTCTATATTACAATGCGCTTTAATTAGGAGGCATAATAGGTAAGTAGAAAGTGGTTTCATTAAGACCTTGCTCTATAATTTTCACTCATCTCCAGGGAAATGTTGCCCATGTATGTTTCCCATGAATCGGTGCCATTTTAGTGATTATGTTGAACAGGTTTTTCAGAGGACACCTCATTTATTCATGCATTTACTCATTCAATAGATACTATTGAGCACCTACTTTGTGCCAAGGATGCTAATTTGATGCCACACGCTCACTTGACTGATGGAGTTCTCAAGTTCGGAACTGATACCAAGTGGGAGCCAGCAGTCACAGGCCTCTCATGTTTCCCAGGCTTTGCTAGTTTGGGGACTTTTCCTCAGACCCTCACAGTCATATTCATTTTTCAATGGCTCTTTATCACAATATCACTCATTCACTCAACTGGCATTAGTTAGGCCAGGCTTTCTACCATGCTCAGGTAATAAAAAGACCAGGGTAGTCCCTGCCCTAAGAGGCTTAGTCCAGACCCTTTGGAATCCAGTTCTTGAGAGTGTGAGTACAGGGGAGCTCCTTTTCTTATTAACCCCACTAGAATCATAGGTTTTCTTCAAACTCTTTCATCTCTTCAATTCTCCCCTCCCTTTGCTCCTCCAAGCAAGGCCTTATGAGGGTACAATTCCTGAAAATCATGGCACTGAACTTCATTTGCCCAAGGGCACCCAATATAGTATATGGGATAACAACTTTCATTTATGGAGGGTTTGTTATATGCCAGATTTAGTGTGAAATACCTTACACCTACTGGCTCATTTAATCCTCACAAAACCATGTGAGGTGGATACTACTATCATTCCTGTCTTACATATGAGAAAATCAAGGTTCAGAGTAACTGTTCTGAGATCTCTTAGGTAGATAAGTGGAAAAGCTGAGATCTAAACGCAATTTTGTCTGACTCTGGGGCTCAAGCTCTTAAACTTTGCAGTACAGTCATAATTACTCCATGGCAAGTTATGGGTCCCACTGTAGTGTTCATTCTCTTTTATAAACTGATATCCATGACACTATTTTTGTTACACTTTATTGAGAAGCACGTCTCTTACTTTTAAATCTCTTCCAAAGTAAATGTGATTCGTAGACCTAGGAAGAGGAAGTGGATACTATTATTTGATGGATTTCAGAAAGATTTAAAAATTAAGTAAACAAAATAACTTATCTTTCCTTTGGATACTTGTTCCATGTTTTTAAAAAATATTTTATATATTAATAAATGTATATTAAATATAACATTTCTATATTAAAGAATGTAAGCGTTCAGCATAACATGAAAGTCTGAGATATGTATTGCCAAATTAAAATTATCATACTGGCCAGGTGTGGTGGCTCACACCTGTAATCCCATCTCTTAGGGAGGCAGAGATGAGAGGATAGCTTGAGCCCAGGAGTTCGAGACCTGCCTGGGCAATATAGCAAGACCTTGTTCTCCACAAAATGGAAAAAAATAAAATAAAATAAAATTGTCATACCAACTCAGGAATGCACATATATTTTATTTATTTAACCTAATTAGGTTTTATAATTGCACAAAACAAACTTCTCCTCATATTTCCTCAAGTAAGTTGGGGTTTACAAAAAGGATACCCATAAGATAATGAACCATGGATGACAGGAATCTTACAGGACTCCAAAGAAAATAATCATAGAATAGCCAGTTCTCCCCTAGAGTGGATACTAGGCAGCTCTAGAAACTTCAGAAGCAGGGGTTAGTTCATCATGCCTTGGGTGCTTCTCCACCAGTCATGCCCAGCTACTCTGGGGGTCTGCTCCCCTCTCCTGCATCTCTGACTTGCTTATTCATTTCTTCTTTCCCGTATTTTTGCCTTGTTGCATTGGATGTGCTTATTTATAACCCCTAACTGTCTTTGACATGGCATCTCTATACATCTCTTAAACTGCTGCCCTACCTCCTAACAACTTCATTTTCTCAGGATATTCTAGCTAAAATTTCTATGAGAGAGGATCAGATATGCCCAGCTTATAACCATTATCTCTGTCTAGGCAGAGTTCTGACCATATGTCATAGAATATTGGCAAATATATAGATGTCTCAGGCCTGTAGGGAGGTGCCCACTCTGATCCCAGATGCTTTCAGTGCACAAGAGTAGTAATGGCAAGGAATGGGATTCTCATGATGAAAAACATTACATTCTCAGTAATCCTTCAGCAATGTGGTCTACTCTGACTCTATGAGATCTGGCATCTAGCAACTTCTCCAACCTCAATTCTTATCACTACTCTCCCTATTCAGCATACTACAACTATGATACAGTCTCACCATTCCTCACTGCAGCATGCTCCTGCCTGAGGACCTTTGCACTTGCTGTTCTCTCTACCTGGAAAGCTCTTCTCACAGCATTTGGCATGGCTCCCTTCTGTACTTCATTCAGTTCTCTGCTCAGATATTTCCTCCTCCTTGAGATCTTGTCTGGAACCACTGTTTAAAGTGGTAATCACTGTCATTGTCTATCTCCTCACCCCATTTATTCTTCTTTATAGCGTTGACCACTACTTGGTATAACTTTAATTATTTGGGGTCTTTTTTGTCTTCTCCCATTAGAACATATAATTAAGAGTAGAAACAACATTTATCATGTTGTAGCTCAGACTCCATGCCCTGAAAAGCAGATAAGAAACAATTGACAGGAATACTGGCTCGCAAACCTCTCTGTGTCTAAGTAGGATTCTCTTTGCAAAGTTTACTACACCAAATTAAACATATTTTAAAAAATCTGGTTAAGGCAAACGTAAGAGCAATAATAAAATAGCATGTCTCTATGGTTGTGATTCAGCCCACTGACATATTCAATATTTGAAAGACAGCAGAAGAATTTTGTGTTAATATCAGTCACTTTATTTCCTTCTTGATCTGAGACTTAGAATTCACCTTAATCTGCCCGAAATAGACAGAAGTGCATGTGTTGAGGCCATACAATCCAAATGCCTTGTCTTTGAGTAGATATGACTACCTTGGAACATGGCTTGAAAGGCATTTTCTCAATAATGTATTTTTTTAAGGATGATCCATAATGAGATAGATCAGGATATATTAATTTCTATATGCTAATATTAGCATCATACTTTGAGAAATATGATTTCAAGCCATATTTAGCAAGTTAGATATACCATTAATTTATTAACCCATATATAATGTGTACTGTGTGTCACGTATTGTGTTACTGATGCAGATATAGTACTATGGGCTAGATCCGGGGCTTACATAAGTAAGTAACTCATGGCCCTATCATCAAGCAAGCATTCATTGTAGCATGGGAATTGGAAATATGAACAAATAACTGAATATCTAGGCTTATGGGATCTATTAGAGAAATATCCCAGGCACAGAGTTGGCACAGAGTAGAAAGTGGTCAGCTGTATCTTGGAGTCAGGGGAAATGGAGAAGACAAAGATTAAAAACATTTCAGGAGATGATTAAGACAACAGGAGGCAAGCATTCCAGATAGGTGGCTTTCTTCATTCCTGCTTATCTCCCTTGTTTCAAGTTCTTGACTCTCTACCATAGCTTTCGTGTCTCCCTCTGGTGCTCACCCAGCATTTGTTTCCCCAGTTCTGCATAGCTCTTAACTTTGCCTGTGACTTCCATCTGGGATCTCATGTTGTCTAACTCCTGACTCCATGGAATTATGCTCCCTACACCTGCCCACCACCCCAAAATTCTAGCCCAACAGCCAACATTCCTTCCCATCCACACTTCTCCATACCTCATAACATGAAAATTTAGGCAAGAACAACATGGACAAAGAAACAAAGACACAAAAATGCTTGGCCTATCAGGGAGCTGCATGTCGTTTGCAGTGGGATAGCAGATAGGAAACAAGGACGATGGTAAATGAGGCTGGATAGTGGAAGTAGATCATGAAGGGCTTGGTATACCACTTAAAAAGAGTTTGGGCTCTATTCTACAGGCCGTGATGAGCTGTGAAATGTTTTTGAGGAGGAGCTATAGCAGAAGCTTGGAGGTTGGATTGAAAGAACGTGTCGTTTCTGGGAAAACTACAATGAGATAAACACCTCTTACGGACACTGATCTTATATTAACACCTCCAAATCCACTAGATTTCCCAAAGTGTTGTCTCATCTTTTGCACGTGTTGCTATTGTGGTTAAGTCATCTGGATATGAATTTGGTGCTCCTTTATTATTTAGCTGGGTCACCCTATCCTGTAGTTATGTCGTTATTGTATTAAATACTACTAATTATAAGACATAACTGTTGTTGAGTTGAGTTTCATCAAGTTAGTTTCAGCTCATTGTTGCAGCTTGTCTGTCCTTTCTACTTGTAGGCCGGGTACAAATTCCATAGTTGCATCTTCTGATCTCTGTAGAATTGTTAATAGAGTTGTTGAACAGAGTGCAGTATAGCGTAGAAAAGCATTGCACAGAAGCATTAAGGATTTCCTTCCAGGGAGAAATTGATCTATAATTCAATAGGCTTTGAGTAAGTTCTTAAGTCAGCTACAAAGCCACTTGGCTCCACAGTCTACCTGGTGAGTCTTTGCCTTGTTGAAATGGAGTTGTTTGATATTTGTATTATTTCTATAGTCTATCAACTTATTATAGTATATCTAGACATTTGGTATCCAAATGGGAAAAGATTCTACCTTTTGATATTATCAAAATTTTCTATAGTGAGTTCTTTTCTAAGTGGGAAGTTACAGTGCGGTTTAAAAAAAACTTCCTTTTGCTGCACTTATCTTTTTGCTGGTGACAACCTTGTATTCAGCCAGTCAACTTGAGATCTCTAATATCTTCAGGGTGAGTGGAATTGAAGACCAAAAACATGAGATGCTTGACTTTAAAGGTCAAAATATCAAGAGGCAGGGCGAAAATTTGAAATGCCTTGAGATCAGACAGAATTTGTCCCCATCTTCCCCTTCCTTCCCCCACCACCTAATGTGGACATAAGATAAAGGCACTCTGAGCTGGAAATGGGATGGAGAAGTAGGAAACAAGAGATTGAGATGCTGGGGCAGGGGTGGGGGAGCAGGGGATGATTGCCTGCCTACAATTCTTCAAGTCCAAGAAAAGGATGGAAATCTACTGAACTCTTCTACATTTAGAGATCCAAGAGTAGAGGGATCCCCGGGAGAGAACCCCCCAACAGCTGGGCCTTATGCACCAGTGGCATGAGATGGGAATAGGTTGGATAGTAGATTAGGAATGACTACAAGGGGTCTCTTGGACAGAGCATCCTAAGGGGGACACATGGAGCCATCTG
Source organism: Homo sapiens (assembly GCF_000001405.40). Classification (NCBI taxonomy): domain Eukaryota; kingdom Metazoa; phylum Chordata; class Mammalia; order Primates; family Hominidae; genus Homo; species Homo sapiens. The sequence goes on from NC_000003.12 coordinate 156,329,598, forward strand.
TGGCCTGAGAGGAGTGAGGGAGGACAGCTAAACTCTCTCAGTGTCCCAAGTAATGTGAGAATTTGGCTAAGGAAGAGAAAGAAGCTGAAAAAGGAAGCCATTTCACTCTTGCCAAGAGAAAACATCAGAGAAGAGAGCCACAGGGACCATCCAATAGAAGATGGTAGAAAGACCAGACTAGAGACTCTTAGCAAATGTGGGTGTAGACACAACTCTCCTTTGAATATCTTCCATTAATTCCACATTTCAAGGGAGTCCAGACCAGGCTGGGTTAAGATTTAGAAGTAAATGCTTTCCTTTTTCAACACTTGCATTTACATAAGCTCAGAGTTTATAATCAACCCCACGGAAAATGGGGTAAATAGAGAAAGGAATTCTGAATGAAACAGAGTTTTAATTCCAAAATAACTTTGAAATCATGAAATTTCATTAATTTCCCGAAATAGAATTAAATTTTCTGAAAATGAGGCCTTCAGAAAAAAATTTAAAACTTGTTTTTTCACAAACTTAAGTGTGTAAAATATATCCCATCCCCCCTTTTATAATAAAGTGGGGAGAAACAATGAAAAGTGAGGAAATTGGACTTTCTATGGCTTATGATCAAATCCATGTTGGTGGCTAATTATAAATTATAACCTTTTCCTCAGCTAAATGCATATCCTTAGCCTAGGAATCAGCATTCGCCTTATCAGTGTTGTTTCCAGGGCCCATTTCTTCCCATTAAAAAAGAAAAATCAGAGCAGCATCGGCCTGTTTCCTCCCTTTAGGCACTTCTCTTTACCATGATTGCTCTCAGAGCCCTGACAGTTTCCACAATCCAGGTATCTACACTGTTGGAAGATGACCAGGAAGGCTTCCAAAAAAAATTCTTTTACAGCCACAAGGGTATTTTACTCTGTTGCCCCCAGTGCTAGGTCTTAGTTCCACTTTGAATCATTTCTTCTGACGTTTTCACCTTGAGACTATTTTCACTTAATGGAGCAAGATGAGCTCAAAAGGACAGCTCAGCAATTCTGTTCTGGTTGTCACTAATCCCATTACATCACCTATCCCAAGCAGTGACCATTCTTTCATCATTTCCCTAAGGCAATGCCTGACCCAGGTAGATGCAAAGAAAATCTCTGTTGAGTGAACGGAGCTCCAAGCATGTTTTCTGTGGTCCCTGAGCCTTTTTCTTTTGTCTTTTAGTGCTTTTGGTAAGCCTCAGCTCACTTCTGTCCTCCCAGGGCACGCTGCATGGCTTCTCAAAGCTTCCAGGCCTTTCAAGCTTTATAGCAAAGCCCTTGGCATTCCTTTTCTAGGTTACTATTTTGGTGTTCCTCTTATGGAATGTTCCCCTTATATCTATTAAAACTACTTTCTAAAAACAAAAAACAGTTGTGTGCAGGGTAGGGAGACTGAACCTCCTTCTCATCCTGAGCGTAGCCATCACCTTAGCCCAGGAAGAGGTTCTTGTGGGCAGGGGATGTGGCTCTGCCCTCAGGCTGGAGAGGGGCTCCTTGTCCATCACTGATAATCAGTCACTGGAAACCTGCTCCTAGGACCCTTGAAGTGACTGACTGGCTTGCAAACAATATTTTCTAACCAGTTATTTAAAACTATACTAAGATCCTTTTCTGAACACTTAACAGCACCAGCGATCATGTAGATGTTCTAACAGTAGGAAACACATTCCCGTTTGGGTTGGTATTCAGACACAACTAATGAAGAGTGGAGCTGAAGAATGGAAAAAATCAGGGGTGGTGGGGGTGGTTATTGTGCAGATCAGTGGTACCGAATTGCTGGACAGAGGTCCAAGCTAGTTCAGACAGAAGATTCTAACAGTGCATGGCAAAATGAGTAAAATAAAAACAAAGGAGTCGTTTTTTAAAGCTAACGTTCAATGTAAAAGAATACCCTTTCATTTCTTCTTAAGAGAATTTAAAAAATATTTTGACATATAGACACATACATAATTTTACATAAATGAGGGCATATAAATGATTTTTAAAGTAAAATTTAGAGTATTTTCTTTCACTTTTTTATGGTATTACAATGGCTTTTTTTTTAAATTATGAAACCCTGATAATAGCAGATAGTGGTGGGCATTTTGCTGCATGTTAGCTATGTCCATGTTTGGCAGAATAAAAGTTAGCAGTCTTATGTCTATTTCCCAAATTCTTTTAGATTGCCTACTTGTCCTTGAAATCCAGACACCTGGAAGCCCCTGGTGTTGATGAATTCCCCATGAACCAAGTTTAGCGGCAGGGGGTCAAATTTTCCAAACAGTCTTGTGTTCTGAAACCTACCAGGATGAGCCAGACAAACATTAAGAAAGGGGTTGTATACCTACACACAAGTCAGCAGTGGCCTGGAAATTCTCCCTGCTCTTGTCAGAAGTACCTGAACTCAGGATATCTAAGGCTGGGATGCACAGGACTTCCCTGCAGCCTTCCTTCAGTTCATCACATGTGAATATCTGCTATAACTTGATGCAATACTCTTGATTGGAATGACTTGACACATTTTATACAAAAATAAACTATGAATAGTATGTGGGGTTTTTAATTAAAATGAGTTTGGTTACCAAAAAAATTATTCATTTCTGGGCTTTATGTGTTTGAATTCTTATTTGAATGGTATGTTTTATAATATAAAACATTAATGAAAGTTTACACATGAATTAAAAGGGGTCAGGCATAAATAGTTTGATGCCCAGATTTTCTTGCTTTCATACAAGGATCCCACCCCTTCACCAAATTGTTTTTATCAAGTTTAGTCATCCAATTTCTTTTCATGAAGTGAAATCCTTTATACTCTAGTCCTTTAACCCTCTCAATTGTACCGTATTTACCCATAAACTTGTGCATTACATTTACTTGGAACTGGTCTGTTGTAGAATAGTGCTCCCTGCCTAGTGTAGTGGGTTAGTTTCAACCAGTATTTGCCAATGTTCACTGTGGTACAAGCACAGTTTTTCAGAGTGTCGTGACATCTGCTATAAGGAATGTCTCCAACTGCCAAACGGGACCAAGGCTTCCATGCTCAATAAACTTCCACCTGCCCTAGAGATGCAGTAATTTCCCTCCAGCAATCAGAGCACAGTCAGACCCAGATGTCTGAGTTTTCTTTTCGAAAATATGACCATTGTGATACAAACCCATTGGGTAAAATTTTAAAATAATAATAAAATTGTGGTTGATTGTTGTGAAAACTTCCTTACCCTTAAGTACTTAGTGCTATGTATGATCTGAGATTTCCTCTGGGGAGATCAACTTTTTTCCCCTGGATTTTATGATTGTTTATTTCCTGGTTTCCACAACCAAGTTTATTCAGAAGCTTAAATGTGAAACTGTTCTCAAAATTATGTATCTTTTCCTTGATTTCTCTATTAACACTTTGTGGAGTTGGCCTTGCCAGGTAAAGCCTCAAGGAGCTTTGAAGCTGGCCTGAGATAAAATGGGAATGGAGTGAAAATGTGTCTGGGTAGTACTCCTGCAATCCAACCCCACTTAGGCATCATTTCTCACTCCTTCGTCCTGTCTTACCCTACTCTTTTTACTTTGGAAGATGGAGTAAATGCACACACAGTGGGACAAAACTTCAAACAGTAAAAAAGAATACATAGTCACAAGTAAGTTTCCCCCTTTTGGCTGTCCTGAGTTCCTCTACGCTGGACTGTAACCAGTTTTCTATGCATTCTAACAGTCCACGCACATACCAGTATACAAACGCACATAGAAACACACACACACACACACACACATACACACACACACACACACGTGTATAGCTTTTTCTTATAAAATGGTGACATACTATACACATTGACCTTCGTCTTGCTTTTTTATTTAATAATATATCTTAAAATCTAGTCATATCAGTATGTATTGCTTCATTTGTTTTAGAAGACTATTCTTTGTGTAGCTATATTATAATTGACGTAGAGACTTCATATCAATGAATATTTAAATAGTTCCTAGTTCTTTTCTGCACACACACACAATAGTTGTACTGAATAGCACAACACATGCATTTTTGTATACAGCTATGAGTATATTTATAAGAGATGTAAAATTGCAGGGTCAAAATGAATGTCCATTTTAAATTTTCATGCACATTGACAAATTATTCTTTAATAAGATAGCTTCCAAATACACTCCTAGTGATAATGTTTGAGAATGCCTATTTGCCACACTTTAGTAACTTTTTGATATTTGCTAACATGACAGGTAAAATGTGATATGTCAATGAAGTTTTAATTTGCATCTTTTCACATATTTAAAATTCACTTTTTTTCTCTCTTTCTGTGAATGTGTTCATTTTTCAATTAGTTGTTGGTCTTTTCATGTTGATGTGTTTGCGCTCTTTATAAAAAAATTATCTTTTTAGATATCAGGCAGAAAACAAATGATATTTTCCCAGAAAAATTTAATTTGTATGTATTCAAATGTATTCGGTTTTTGGGTTCGTGTCATGCTTTAAAAACCCTAAAAGCCCTTCTAGATTAATTTTTAAATACCAAATTTTCTTCTAAAACTTTTATGGTTTTATTTTTTGCATTTAAATTCCTGATCCGTTTTGGAATTTATTTTGGCATAATGAGTGTCTTTCTCCCTTTATTTTAAAGGAAAAAGAACATTCCCCATTGTGGCAGCACAGGGTCAGGGAAATAGAAATACAGAGTTAAGTGGACAGTTACACCATCAGTAGGTAACCTTCCCTGACCAGTGGATTTATCTCCCTGGCTCTAAGCTTTTTGACAAATGAATGTGTTGATAGAATGATGCTCCCCAACATCAAGGAGTTGGATGAAGGAACCACCTTGGAAGGGCCTTCTCTTTCCTATCGGATCTTACTTGCAGAATGCTCTTGAGTCATATGGACCTGGGGCAAAACCTGGCTTTACTCTTGTCAGATGTGATGAGTTGTTTTATCTCAGCCTCAGTTTCTGTATCTGTGAAAGTTAAGGACAACAGTTCCAACACATCGTGATTGTTATGAGTTAAATGAGAAAAAGTGTATGATATTTCCTGGCACAGTGCCCAGCATCTAAAAGCTGCCCAATAAATGTGCATTTAATCCTTAATTTTCCTTTTATTTTTTTCCACTTAAGTTTTTCTCATACCAATAGAAATCAACACCGGTTGGAAATCACAGCCCCAGCTTCCTGTTTTGGCCTTCTTCTCACAACTTAGTCCTTTCACCCACTCTTCTGGTATCTGGGACCCTGGCCTCTATACCCGTCAGAACTCACTGTGGAATCATGTGGACTTTAATGTGAACCACTAAGCTTGAACCTGAAATTACACCTGAATTTCCCCAACCTCAGGCTTTCTTGTATCAATACTGCCATCATTGCACTGGTTCCCTGATCATTTCCTTGACTCCAGCCTTGCCCTTCTTTCCCAAATGCATGCTAGAGCCTGCTGCTAAATTGGTCTTCCAGAAACAAATCGGATCACAATGCTTTCCTGCTTAAAGGCTAAAACCCCAGTGGCTTTGCATGACAGACAGTGCCCTCCATGATCTCCCTCCTGCTGGCATCTGGAGCCTTTGATTTCTTGTGGATTTCCTGAACACACTATTAATTTTCCTGTCTCAGTGACTTTATCCTTGGCATTCCTTCAATCCAGGATGCATTTTGCCTTATTTTTTAGTCTAGAAAATGCTTATTCCTCAAGAGCCTACTCCAGCTTCCTCCTCCTGTGTGTTTACACACCCTCCCCTTTGCCCTCTGTCATTACCTTGCTTTTTCTTCTGCCTCTAACCAAGGAAAGTGGCTACTCCCTCTTTGAGTCACCACTTTATACATACACCAATCACGACACCAGCTGACACCTCCATTACTCCTCACATACTATGAAATTATTTACACACGTGTCTGGTCTTCCCTTGACTGTGAGTTCCTTGCCATTGAGGACTATAGCTCTATTTACTCCTATTGCATGTCCTAGCACATATTAAACACTAAAATTATTTGTTAAACATATTAATCCATCAATATCCAGACATTATCTAGATTTCCAGGTAAGGAAGTAATTGTGTTAGGATTTCCAGACTCTGGAACATATCATTTTCAACTAACACTGAGATACCTCAAGAAAAAATCTTTCATTTTTCTTTTCCTTGTCAACATTTCACCTGTCGTTTGGTATTTGATGACATGAGCTTATAATAAAACAATAAATCAATATTGTGCTTAGATAGAAAGAACACAATGCCTTCAAAAAAACAGTGCTAACTGTCAAAGTGTGATTCTATAAAATTGTTTGGGTTTTTTTTTTTTTTTTGCATTACACAGATATGAAAATAATAGCTTGAGGTCCTTTTGGCTAACATTGTGCATTTTATATTTTACTGTGAGATGTCATTTTTGTGAAGTTGATTTGTGGTTATCTACTTGGGAGTAAAAAGTCAGAAACATTGGTTACAATTCTAGGAACTATAATTATTGGTTTAACTTAATTTTTGGAATCTAGAACATATTTAAAAGTAACAGGCCAGGCGTGATGGCTCACACCTGTAATCCTAGCTCTTTGGAGGGCTGAGGTGGGCGGATCACTTGAGGTCAGAAGTTCGAAACCAGCCTGGCCAACATGGCGAAACCCCGACTCTACTAAAAATACAACAAATTTAGCCAGATGTGGTGGCAGGTGGCTGTAATCCCAGCTACTTGGGAGGCTGAGGCAGGAAAATTGCTTGAACCTGGGAGGCGGAGGTTGCAGTGAGCTGAGATCGTACCACTGCACTCCAGCCTGGACAACAGAGTGAGACTCTGTAAAACAAACAAACAAACAAACAAAAAAAGAGTAACAATACTTTTAACCATATGGCTGTTACTGAATTAGTTTCATAATGTATGGAGAATAACAACAAATACTCTTTCAAGCTAATCTACGGCCATAACTCTAAACAGCACCCTGAAGAGAATCTGGAGTTTAATTTTGACCGTCCTTGAATTGTACATGTTCAGAATGGCATGGATTAAGGACATTTGGGTGCTGATTTTTATATTGATGAAAAATTAGACTGATGTATTTGTACATATGTGTTCATGGTAAATTTCCAGTGACAAACCTGGAGATGCCTTTTGCAGATTCTAAGGGAGTGTTCTTTCTTTTGAACAAGTGCTTTATCTTGAGAAAAAAATACAAGGAGCAGGAAGGAAGAATGGACACCCACTTGGGCAGCCCAGTTAGCTGAACCAGTTGTGGAGTTTGGTGAGTTGATACATCACAGTTCAATCATGCCCAGATTCATAAGCAACTTTCACACGAGAAATCCAAAGACTACAATCCCAAAACTAGATTTTTGTGATAAATGCAGATTAGATTAGCATTATATGTTCATAGCTACTTGAAGTGCAAGGACTAGACATAAGACCTACTGAAAATGCTATTGTAGTGTGAAGAATTGGTCGGCAAGTAAAAATCAGAGTTTTATAAGTGACTGCGATTATTGTTACCTTATTATCCCAACTTTTTGCCTTTGCTACCAATTGTACTAAGTTTACATAATTCACATGGCGTTTAGATGTACAGACATTCAAATCATCTATTTCTACCTGAAAGACCAATAACTCCTCCTCTAGAAATAAAATTGCATTATATGCAAGTGAGATAAGTTGGAAATAAATCATCACCTGAGAACACTGAAGTTGGGGCGGGTTGGAGTGAGGAAGTTGCTATTTTGAGGAGTACAGGGCTGATAGCTTTAGCACTATTTGCCAAGAGAGACTGGAGCATTTCTCATAGGAATCAGAGAGCTAAATAATAATGGTTTGACTTGTTTCATGTTCTTTTTTCCCCCCACTGTCTTCTTTTTTCCTTTCTGTATCTTCCTCCTCATTCCTTATTCTCTCATCCTTCCCTTTTCATTTTCCTTCTTCTTCTTCCTCCTCCTCCTGGAGCCAGAGTTCACTTTGCCTAGAGGCACCAAGTGGGCACTGCCTTCTCCACCGATGAGTCCCCTTTGTAGAGCCAGAGTACATCCATTCAGAGTGTGAAAGTACATTCACTGTGTGTGGTTGATAGTACATTTCACTCTATTCTGGAACCTTAAAGGAAATCACAGTGAATGTAAAGATCACAGTCTCAGAGTTAGACAAATCTGGGTTCACACCTCTCTCTCCACTTAGTATTTGCCACTAGTAACCTTAGGTAAGTTGTGACTCAGCCTCGTGTGAAAGAGAACAGTGATCCATCCCTACCTGAAAAAATGATTGTGACAATTAAATACAATGATAAATTTCAGTATGTAACATAGCAATAAAGCATGTTTGATTAATACTGTTTTCTTTCTTTATGCCGTGTCACATTCAAGTATTATCTATTTCTCTGTTCCAAACACTGCAGTATGAACTAATAGCAGATCCTATTGTTAAAGAGTTTATAGTCTGGTGGGGATGGCGATGTATATACAAGTAACAATTTTGCTGATGTATACACAAGTAACAATGTTGCAAGCCACTGGGTGATATATGCTGCTGGCCTCCAGAGATGAGGGGATGGTCCAACTCTCTGTGCCTCTCCAGGTACTGCCTGCTTCAAGGAAGGATTCACAAATCTGGTTGATCAAGTTCCAAGGTCACATCAGTCAGTTTGCTGTGTGTTCAAAGGTTTTGCATATGGAGACAGAACTCTCTTTTCTTCCTTTTAGGTTGAAAACAGTGGCCCACTTTCCCTTGGGGAGTCACTCATCTTATACTTTCTTTGGCATTTGCACTTTTTTTTTTTTTTTTTTTTTTTTTTTACAGAGTTTAACTCTTGTTGCCCAGGCTGGAGTGCAATGGCACAATCTCAGCTCACCGCAACCTCCGCCTCCCGGGTTCAAGCGATTCTCCTGCCTCAGCCTCCCTAGTAGCTGGGATTATAGGCATGTGCCAGCACACCCAGCAAATTTTTGTATTGTTTAGTAGAGATGGGGTTTCTCCATGTTGGTGAGGCTGGTCTTGAACTCCCGACCTCAGGTGATCCACCCACCTTGGCCTCCCAAAGTGCTAGGATTACAGGCGTGAGCCACTGCACCTGGCCTAGCATTTGCACTTTCTTTCATTTCACTAAGCATCCCAGAGTGTGGTAAATTTCAAGTGTAAGTTTAAGGGAGAGAAAACAGACCCATTGGGTCTCTATCCCTGACCATGTCCCAGGTTCCAGTTCCCATGATTCTGCTTTCGGGAGTGCCAGCAAACTCTGGCTAGCAGAGGAGAGAGCATTCTCCTCCTTGCTCATCTCAGTGAGTCATTGTCCTGTGCCTTTATCTCCCTTGGCACCTCATGGGGCTGTGGCCAGGTGGGCAGTGTCACAGGCAGGATTGGGGTGCTCCCAGTCACCTGACCACAATACGGCCTCAACACCACCAAAATTCCAACAACACTGCTAACACATATCTTTAGAAACATACAGTCAAAGTACAGAGATATTCCCAGGAAAGGCAAATTATATCCAGCAAGGGGCATGGCAAGGGTTGAGTAGGCAGCTCAGATTGACAGGGGAAGGCAGGAACTTGGCCTGCGCTCAGGGGTCGGGGTATGAATGATCCAGTGACTCTGGTCCACACTAAATGATTGTGAAGTTTCCCCCTAGAGGAGGAATGCATGTGTAGTCCAGGTGTAGGCATGGTATCTACATTTTAGCAATAGTTACTAATGTTTTGTTCCATAGCTACTCTTTTTTGACATCCTGGAACATAAGGACTATTTTATTTACCTCTCAGAATAAAGTTTGCAGCAGTAAGGTCTATTCTTAGTGCACCTAGTTGGGACCCAAGATAATAACACCCCCCGCCACACACACACACCCAAATTTAAGTGCCTACTCTGTGTTTATTTCTGATCTTTACAACAGCCCTGGATGGTGACTATTACCTCATTTTACAGAGGAGGAGTTGAGGTTCAGAGAAGTGAAGTGGTCTGTCCAAAGGTGACAAGTTGCAGAACCATGGTTCAAACTTCAGATCTGTGGCTCCAGTGCCTTTATTATTATGGCCTCTGCTCACAACTTTGCCTACTTCAATCCATGCAAAAGGCCAGCCTGTTTTGTGATAATAATACCTGTGTCCATTGTCTGTCAATTGTTTACTCAGGCAGGCAGCAGGGCACGTGCCATTGAGTTTCCCTGTAATAGTCATGGCTGGGCTGAATGGGTACATCCTCTGGCCATTGCACATCTGTGACCTGCATGACCCATTGGAGGGGGAGGGGGCTCCCACGTCTTCCAGGGATAATGACCCCACTCCTGGCTTCATGCGTGTTTTGTCCTCCCTCTGTATGAAGTCCCAGAAAGAGGTGGTACTGGAAGACAGGATGATCCAGTTCATTCCTTGTCTTTTCTGTCACATTTCCGTGTCTGTCCTCTTGCCCATGATGGTAGATCATAATATTTGTTCAACTTCTCTCTCAAGATGATCATAAAGATCAAATATGATTATGGATATAAAAACAACTTCTGAAGTTCAAATGCTAGTATTATGGTTTGTGTCAAAGAGAAACTGGAGGAGGCATTGTGTCTCAATATTAGTAGCAGAAGCATTTCTGAGGGATCCACAGAGAATCATACATAGCTTTTTGCCTGGATATCAGCCCTACCCCTCAGTATCCTTTCCTAGAGTGCAGTGGAAAAGCCCATCTTGACTAGAATTCAGCTCAAGTCAAAGGAAAAACCCAATGGAAAATGACTTCTAGATAAGCTGAAAAAATAAAATAAAACCCCCAAAGTCCTTAGCAGTGATTCAGTTTTCCTTCTGAAAGAGAGAAAAATTATTCTACTAAATGCCAAATTCCCACTACACCTCTCTTCGAGTGGGAGGGGCATTGAGACCATCACAGTGCACCATCCTCAGCCAGAAGCACCTTTCTTGAGCATGCCAGGTGCAAGGTCCTGGCAGATGTAGCTGAGGGGCACCATGGCAGATGGACCCCTGGTTCCATCTCACCCTACACTTCCCTTTGGACTACGTGACCAAGTTTGGGGACCATCACCCATCCTTCCTAACCCATCTTGGTTAGTGCTGCTGCTGCCTTCTGCTGACCATGTCCTTCCCTTTCCAGATGGTCTGTCTTTCCTGCTGCCTTGGACAAGCTGATCTGAAATAAACAGCCAATGTAGGGACTTTGCAGGCAGAATCACCACCTCCATCTTCAGTGGGCCTGTGATCATCTCAACAGATTGGTCAAGTCAGTGTGAGGAGAGGAAATGGGCTTTATAATTTGGGTGCCTGCGCAGACTTTTATTGCTATGTCTTTATTGGCTATCTTTGTTGCCAAGGTAGAGTTATATCCTCCCAAAATATAATGGCAGGCTATTCCACTTTGTTGTTGTTTCTTCCTCAAAGTATTAGACTCCCTCAAGACCTCCCACCTCTATCACTTCCAAAATTAAGGTGAGTAATTAGAGAAATATTGGTTTTATCGAATGACTATCAAAGAAAAGAGACACTCCTCCTGTTATGCAATACGTTGGTCTAGAAAATGGAGCATATTTTTACATTTAAGTATTTTTATGGCAAATTTAATTATTTGAAATACACTTTGAAATCTCAATGACAGCAAAAAATACAGAACTTCTTTTATGATGTAAAGTCACATTTATTGATATAGATGTATAGATATAGATATTAGATTCTCTTAGAGTACCATACCTACATTCATGGATAATTCGTAGCATCAAATGCTGGTAGTAAGTCATTGACCCTCAAATGAGAGCAACATACAAAATAAAACCCAAATCTAGACGACGAGTTAAGTTCTTCTGAGGCACATAAGCCCATCAGATTACCTTCTAAGTTTTCCAAGAAAAAGCGATACCAGTAAACTCAGTTCTTACCACCTTAACCACACTATCAATGCCCTAAATTCCCCTTAATTTGCACTGCCATTGAGGCCTGACACATGTCATTCAACACTTGCTCACATGCTGTCATTCCCCCCTCTTGCTACTGTTGTTCTCAGAGCCCAATTGGCCTCCGAGCTGTGTTAGGATGAGATCATGCCTTATTGTCCCTGTGGTCTGTGTCATGGTGCTACAGAGTGCTGCATCCAGGCATCTGGGCTGTGTCCATTAACATCAAATTTTTATTCTGCTACATAGAAATATAATCCAGTGGTTCTCAAATACTTTGCCCACAATCATAGAAAAAAAATATAGAAAGAAATATATTTTGTATGGTGACCTAGTGCATACATACATATACATATTATACCATAAACTAGTTTCACAAAATAATAATTATCTTTATATATGAGATGGACCTTGAGCTCTGATATTTTCTATTCTATTCCATTTCACCCTGTGACCTTTTATTCTATTTTAATATACTGGATGTGACATTTAAAATAGATTTCATGACAAACTAATGGGTTACAACTATCAATTTAAAAAACAGTACCAGGATATGTCTGGAAAGGTTTATCCCCTGCCCACACCAGAGCCACTCCCTGGCAGCTTCTCCTACCTCCTACACCACCTCTATGTTCCCAGGTGAGCTTGTGCTACCTTCGGCTTCATTGTGGATGCCACTTGGAATGCCTGATGCCTTCAATAATATTCTGTCCCCAGCAAACAGATGAATGGCAAAGAAAGCGTGAGTGTGGGGAAGCCACACTTCCTTTCACTTCTGCATTTCTTTTTTCCTCTACGCCACCTCAACCACAGGTGGTGCTAGAGGTAGACTACACTTCAGGGTTGGGGAGACCTGAAAGGAATTTAGACGTTCAGTTAGAAAAGTTTATCAATGCAAGCTTCACTGACTATCATCTTAATCCGAGGGAGTGCACCAAAGAAAGTGAATTTCTTCACGTGGGGTCTCCTTATGGACAAATCTCAATGCCTAGCCATGGCCTCCATGACACACCATATAGTTCCCAATACAAAGTTAGTCAGCCTGGCCAGCAGATGCTGAGAGCTTTTAAAAATACCCATGCACAGAGCTGCACACCCAGAGATTCACATTGAACTGGCTGGAAATGGGGCTTGGACATTGGAATTTTTGAAAGCTCCCTATGTGTTTCTTTTTTTTTTTTTTTTTTTTTTAATTTTTTTTTTTTTTATTATACTCTAAGTTTTAGGGTACATGTGCACATTGTGCAGGTTAGTTACATATGTATACATGTGCCATGCTGGTGCGCTGCGCCCACTAACGTGTCATCTAGCATTAGGTATATCTCCCAATGAAAGCTCCCTATGTGTTTCTAATGAATTACCAGGGCTGAGGAACATTGGGATTGATTGACCTGACTGGGGATCTTCAAGAGGGAAGTCCAATGGGGGGCTTTTCAAGATGTTCTCACCCCGCTGAGGTGCACAAGAATTCTTCCTGAGCACATAGATGTGAGCTATGGAATTAGACACACAGATAGTTCTCCCCAAAACAAATAATCATTAGAGTCAATGAAGTTTACATACATGTTAAGGAAGAAAACTGTCATAGGTAACATAATATGAACAGCCCCTTTTGTTATTATAAAAAATTGTATTAGCCTCCCTACCCTCACCTCCTTATTCAATCTCTACTTCCCAGGCTGGAAATTTAGACCTTCCTGCATAAAATGGATTTTAATCGTACAGCTACAGCTCTCTAGTTGCTTCAGCTTTGGAGTATTTTCTTCTCTGTATCTTAGGTTAGTGTTTCTCTAATTTTATTATGCACAGGAATCTCCTCAGTTCTTGCTGAAATACAGTTTCTGATTCAGTAGGTCTGAGAAGGGGCTCTGGATTCTGTATTCCTAATCAGCTCCCAGGTGATGCTGTTGCTGCTGGTCTACTCTTTGAGTTTAGGCCTTAAAACAGATTGGCTTCTGGCCACAGATCCCCTACCTGACTGCTATAAGCAGGTAAAAAGCTATGTGGGAGTTTGTGATGGTTCCATGAAGTATACTCAGAGACCTGAGGTCGAGGGAGAGGGAGGGATTGCTCCTCTGGCTATAGAGAAGCTTCTTTCAGCAAATTGGCCTTCCGAGTCAGGGCCTTTTCAGCCTCCGCAGCTTGTGGGAGGGTATGGGGCTTATTGGAAAGGCCCCAGTTCTCACTGTAGCTGAGACCTTCCCTCTTTGTCTCCCCTTGGCTGGTTGACTTTGATCTTGGATCTGATAACATCAAAAGCATCATGGTTTAGGCACCAGCATCTTTAGGATTGGAGAGTTTAATAAACCCAGGGAACAATCACCAGTGACTACATAAAGAGCCTACTTCTTTATAGTAGCAACCTAATGGCTAATTTACATAAATATATAAATGAAGAAATACCAAGAAGTTAAAGAAAGCAAAGAACTTCTAAGCAGAAAAATGTGTATTGCTGTTCCTTACTAGAATGTGAAGATCCAATTTGACACATTTGGCTCCCTCTGGATTTCCTTTAGCAGTTAAGATCCTGGCTAATTTATTATGTTGTTACTTTCCTATTCAGTAATTTGCTAAAACCACGTCTTGATTACATGTCTTCTTTTCTGATACCCAGTCAGCCTCCTATCTGATGAGGCTCTCTTAGCAAACCCCTCCACTCCTTTCAGCTCTTCAATGGAGCCTGCCTTGGCCACAGATACCCCACCCCCACAATGTCTTTTTATCAGGGAGCTCAATATCCTATCATTTGAGCTCAGCTCTTTCTGGCTAACTTCCTAAAGGATCTATTAGGATTATAAAGGACAGGATCATCTCCCTCAACAAAATCAAACATGGTCCTCTAAGGTCCTCTCTAAGGAAAAGGGGAGAAATTTGCCTTGCGACAAAGAACTGCTCAACTTCTCAGCGCTGATTTTTTTATGCTCTCTTCTCTCCTCGCCTGCCGAGAGCCATTTTCCTGTTCTGAAAGCTGCTGCTGCTGACTGCCTACCCCTCACCACAGGTCTTAGATGCTGCGTACCTCCCTCTTAACATTCTTGCCATGTGTGCAACCACAGGTGAATCTACAATCTGCTCAGCGCACAGCTGAGAGAGGGTGGGAATATTTAAACAAGCCTTTACTAAAAGCCAGAGCAGTGAATCTCAAACTCATATGTCTAAGAATCCATGGAAGGATATTAACCGCTTTAATATCAGATAATAAGTTCCTAAACCCAAAGATTCCGTTTCAGTGGGCCTGGGATGGTTTTGAGTGATTCTGAGCAACATGGTCCGAGAATTACATTTTGAGAAACACTAGCGAAGAGATTTTTTTAAATGAGGAAAAAAATAAAAAGAAATAAACTGAGAGAATAGCATACAACTAAATGGGATCAGTTTGTAAGTTTGTGTTCTGAAGCTCTAAGATCCCATTACGTCCTATCTCCAGGAAAATGGAACATCAACCTCTTGGGCATCCGTGACATATGCATCGTACCCCAGAAGGTATCGCCTCTTCCTCCCAGAGTTCACATTCTAAATAGGCAAAATAAAATCAAATGACCCTAAGCATTCTCCTCCCAAATAACAATGAGCTGCTTAAAATCTTTTCTGGAATGAGAACTACTCATATAAACAGATAAGTAGCATAATTTGTTTTATTTACTTGTACCTTAATTGCATGCTGTGTTCAGCAGGCAGTGGATCAGATTCAAGAGGCTTCGTAATTTCCCTTTTCCTAGTGACAAAGGTGAAAAACTGATCTCTACACTTAATAATGTTTGTTTTGGGGTGAAGGAAATGGATTGACATTTCAGAAATAAATGTATTACTTGGAAGTTGCATTTTAATTTAGTTACTTTTTTAAATTATGGTCTTAGATTCTGTAAGTTTAGTATATAATTGAAAATAAGGAAATATTCTATTTTTGTTCAAGTATAATCTTAATACAAGGAAAAACTCAAATAGCCTGGAATTTTAGATAATGAAACTTGAATTTAAAGCAGATTGATGGATTTATGGCTGGTATCTATCTCCGAGGTTAACATTGTATTATGGCCTACAAAGCTAAAGTGTTTTAGTTTGAGGGTGTTCCATTTGAGAACCTTGGATTCAAGGCAATGAGAATGAGAAAAGTGTTTGTATGACTACATTTGGCTGGGACAAATTCTGTTGGATGCAGGGCTGATAAGTTAGCCCATGTGCTATAGCAGAGCATTAGCCATTCAGTTGTTGAATAGTGAGGACAGATAGAGGGACAGGATAGTAGCTGGGACTTTGGTGGCTGGGGACAGCTTGAGGCAGAAACTCTTTCAGAAGCAATTCAGAACTGATTCAGAAGTACAGTGTTTGAATATTTTCCATCAACTCCAATTTGCACTAGAAATGGAGGAGAAGAATGATCAATTCCAGCCTCTATATGAAAGAAGAGAAGGAAAAGATAAGAAAAAGAGAAAGCAAAGTAAATAAATGAGGATGTCTTACGCTGTGCTACTGAGCAACACCTCACTATAGAATACTGAATTGAAATAAATACAATTTTGCTCAGCTTAATTTTTGGAGCCATCTCATTGTTCTAAAGAAACAAATGGGAGGAGTACAAGCTTAAATTAGATGAATATTTAGCATTTACCTGAAATCACAGCAATATGTATTCATGGCTATCATGGTCTGATGTGTAAGTTTTCCGTGTTCATACAGTTAATTATATTTTTTGGAACTACTCCAAAAAATGTAATTAACTATATGAACACGGAAAACTCTTCCATCAGACACCTATAGGGAAATGAAGAAGAGCAAAAAATCTCTTCTTGCAGACACCTAAAGGGAAATAAAGCAAATTAACTACAGCTTAAGCCCTATTACTTTTGAACTGGTAGGAGAAAAACTCAGAGGAAATAATGTAATTTGTATGTATGAAGTACTGATGTATATGTGGTAGGAGAAAAACTCAGAGGAAAGAACATAATTTGTATGTGTGAAGTATTGATGAATATGTGGTCTATGACAAGTATGGTAAAATGAAAGTCCACAAAGAAATAAATTAGCAGAAGCATCATGTCTCCCAACAAATATGGAACCACTACACTTCACTAAAGAGAGTGGCACCTGGTGGGAAGGGGCATAGAATTTGTAACTGGCCAAGATTAAAGTGCAAATCATGACATTGTCTCTTAAATGCTTTATAATCAGGAGAAAACTTATTATGTACCAGTTTTTCTTTCCTAAAAAACAAGTATCATAAGCTTCAGGTTGCTGTGAGGATTAAATTAAATAATATGCATAAATTGTCTTATTCGTAATAAGTAATCAGTGAAAGCTAGCTACAATAATCATAAAAAATTAAGTAGTCAAATATGGAAGCATCTAGGAAAAATCCAGAAGTTGATTAATTTTATGGAAATTTTTTTTCCATTATAGCCTTTGTATTTATTTATCAGATGAGTTTTCAGCAGATGTTTGTCACACATCTTGCTCACTCAGTTCTGTTCTTGTCAGCATGCCATTGTCAAAAAACTTATGAGTAGAGTGATATTAGAGCAATAGAATGAATCCACCTCTCTTACTGAGATAGTCAAAGAGATAAAGAACCTAAATGATATTATTTTCTTTTCAGAGTGTATTTGCTTATAAGTCATTTCTGGTCTGTGGCATAAATATGTGAAGAAAAAAACCCTGAAATATAAAACATGTATTTATTAATTTATTACGCTTAAGGTTAAAAAAGGTAACACAAATTTTAATTAGTTTAAAAGACAAAAAGGAAAAGGAAAAAATGTTTAGCCTCAAGTACCAGATAAAGACTCTGATCCAGTATTTGTGTTGAGACAAAGGAAACTGTAGAGAAAAGAAAAATAGAGCAGCAAACACTGAAATAATCCCAGAAGAAATGAGATCACTGGTCACATCCAACTCAGCTGCAAATGCAGCTTCCAACCCCAATAATCAGCCCTAACAGGTGAGTTGAGGGCTTTATTGCTTGCTGTGTGAGGAAAAAGTTACCTTTCTGAGCTTGAGTCCTCTGAAGACTCTAAGAAGACACCTCTGTCTTTCTCTCATGGTTTTGCCATCAGTGAGAACCTAAATCATTGGAAGGAGCTAGAGAATCAATAAGTTTGGACTTCTTCAGTTCCATATTATAAAAAACTCATCCACCAGTTAGCACATTTTATTCAGAAATGTGCCCATTATAGTATGTTATTGCCCCTGAGAAAATACATCCAAACAGTACTTAAAGAATCTGGGGAAGCCCAGTCATCAGGTTGTTTGATAGACTCACATTTCAACTAATTGGGAGAGCTTGTTCATCATTTCTGAGCGGTATTTTTCTTCCAAACATCATTTTCAAGCTCTTCAAAGTTGTACCCTTCAAATTTTCTTAAAATCCACTCATCTTTGTGTACTTCAAACTAATTTGGTACTTCTGTGAGTTTCCTATGGAAAATTCTCTAAATTCACACAGTATGGATCTGGCAGGGCAAAATCAATGAAACCAGAAACGGGGATTAGTTACAAGGATTCTTGTCCATTCTCCATTCATTTTTAACTAGGAAATACATATGAATCATCTAACAAGGGTCAGGCATTGTTATACACACTAGGGAGATAGGGAGAACAGGACACACAGGGCCCCTTTCTGCTATATGCAAGCAAACAAAAACAGACATAATAAAATAATGTAGGCTAGGATAGGAGATATGAAGGGAAAAAAACACCAAACAAACCAAGGGGTTTAGAGGGAAAGTCACAAGAGAGTGGCTTTTAGATAGGGTGATTAGTGTGGTCTTTTGGAGGCTATGACATTTAAGCTGAGGCCTAAAAAGGAGGGGATAGTAAAGAGTGAGTGGAAGAACATCCAGACAATGAGAACAGAACATGCAAAGGCCATGAGTTGGGAAAGAACTTCGCTTGGATGCAGAAGAAGCAGACCAGCAAGGGTCTATTGCAGCATTAAGGCAGTAGACACTAGTGATCAGATCAGGGTGGTGGCAGGAAAGGTTCAGGGCAGTGGGTGGAGTTGAGATATATTAGGGGTGGGACTGACATTTCTTGTCCGTGGATTGGGCATGAGAGATTGAGAACCAGGACTCCTCCCAGGTTGCTAGCCTGAGATGCGGGGATGGTGGTGCCATTTACTGAGTAAAGGAACAGGTTTTGGAGGAAAAAACTTGTGTTCCATTTTAGACATGTAAGGTTTGAGATAACTGCATGACATCCAAGTGGAGTTATAAGACAGACAGTTCTGTACCTGTGTCTGAAGCTCAGAGAGGGGAGTGCTCTGATCTGAAGAAATAACTGGGAATTGTCAGCCTAAATTCAATATTGTTATTGAATCCATGGGAATGGATGTGATTTCCCAGGAAGCATGTATCTAGGACTGAGGCCTGGTTTGAGTGAATGTAAAGAAGCCTCTATATATGGTACTCATCTTTGATGGTTCTCTCCATTCCCAAAAGCTCAGCTGAATAATTAGTATTTAGGGAGAATCCTCTGGACCCTCTAAAATTTTTCTCTGGACTAAGCCAGGCCACTGACTGTATTTTGATGCTGTACCTGAACACAGAATGGCTTTTATTAGATCATGCTATCAGCCTATACTGAAGAACGTTATAAGAAATCACGCAAGAAACATCCTGGTGTTTCGCAGCAGGAGCTACTGTTTCCCCTACTTTACAGAGGAAACTGAGACACAGGGAAGTTAAGGAACACACGCTTAGTTATGCAGCTTCTGAATTTTCAACCACTTTATTATATCACATCAACTAACAGAAATGATAATCAGTCTAGAGGAACCACTTAATTTGTCCTTCTGAGGTTATTTAGGGGCAAGTGGAAGAAAAAAAGTAGAGAAATCTGGAGACAGTGCATTCACATCATGTTCCCACCACTGATGGACTGAAACAGAAACTGCCCTTCCTGTCTCTGGCCCAGCCCTATGTTGGAAAGCCAACCCATAAACAGTTCAGTACAACTCCCAGAGGAGGTATTAGCAAAGTTTCCTGTGTAAATACCTGTCTGCTTCACAAGTACTTTCTAATGAGAGGAAGATAATCAATAGCAATGAGGCAATAGTTGGTCACCTTCTATCTTACCACTTCTACTTTTCTATTTTTCTTTTCTTCCACCTTACCATTTCTACCAATTCTCCAGCTTCTTGTCTTCTTGCCTTTCTCCTTCTTGTTCTTTGAGACAGGGTCTCACTCTGTCACCCAGGCTGGAGTGCAGTGGCACCATCACGCCTCACTACACCTTGGCCTCCTGGGCTCAGGTAATCCTCCCACCTCAGCCTCCTGAGTAGCTGCGACCACAGGCAAGTGCCAGTAAACCCAGCAAAGTTTTTTTGTATTTTTTTGTAAAGATGGGATTTCACTATGTTGCCCAGGCTGGTTGTAAACTCCTGGGCTCCAGCAATCCACCTGCGTCAGCCTCCCGAAGTGTTAGGATTACAGGCATAAGCCACTGTGCTCAGCTGTTTTTCTTATTTAATTTTCATTTTCTACTGAGTTCTTTTCTCCCCTCTTTAATTCCTTTTTCTTATTTCCTATGAATGTTTAGCCTATTGGTGTTCTCTAATCTGGATTTTCTTCTTAACCTAGGACAGATCTTTTCAAATTTTGTTCATCTTTTTTCCAACTAGTTTCAAAATGCAGAGCTGAGTGTTCTATTTTACATATACCAACATTTGTATGCATGACTTGTTATTTTTATGCTGTTGTTACCTGTGTCCTTTATCATTGTATTCTGAAAATCCATAATGACAAGTGATCATGTCAGGATAACTTTGGTTCAGTTCTGAGCACATGAGTACAGATGTTTAAAACATGTCAGATAAATGAGATAAAAAGCTGAGTTGATCAGATTAGTTAAGAGAAAAGGCCAGGCACAGTGGTTTATGCCTGTAATCCCAGCACTTTGGGAGACAGGGATAGGAGGGTCATTGAGCCCAGGAGTTCAAGATCAGCCTGGACAATATAGTGAGACCCCATCTCTACAAAAAATAAAAAATTAGCTGGGCATGGCAGAACGTGCCTATAGTTCCATTACTTGAGAGGCTAATGTGGGAAGTTTGCACCACTGCACTGTAGCCCCAGCAACAGAGTGAGACCCTGTCTCAAAAAAAAAAAAAAAAAGAGTGATTATTTTCCTCACAGGGAAAAATTCTTCTCCAAAAAAGAAGTGCTCTGAATATATGTAGATTTTTGTTTCTAGAGTGTTTTACTTGACAAGAGAGGTCAAGAGAGGAAAAATGGAATTCTAAATTGCTTCATAACCTTTGCCTCCTGAAGATGAGCAAGAAATAAAAATAAAGCATTTCAGAAGTTAAGACATGACTCCATGAAAATGTGTTTTGATTCACCAAAATTTTCAGGAAAGCATTGCTTGTGTAATGCCAGAGATCCTATATCACAAAATTCTGGTTAATCATTAAATAATATCTTTTTAAATTAAATGATTCCTAGTACTTGCTGTGTCCCTGGCACTGGGCTAGGTGCAGGGGCAGCCTCTGCCCTCACCCAGCTGTGCAGGGAGTGTGAGAGCAGGGCTCAGCAGCTGAGACACCGTGTGTGAAAAGTTTCCTGTGAGATTTGCACAGTTGTCATGGGAGGGACGTAGTGAACGGAAGGAATCAGACAGATTAAAAGATAGTGCGGTGGGAGAACAACCTAATTTGGGCATCATCCAGTATGGAAAGGAAATGAAAACTTGAATGCAACTAGAAAGATATCATAAGAAAGACTGCTGACTTTTTCAAGTAATCTCAGAGCAAACACAATGCTTTTGTTATTCTCTTGGTTGGCCACACTGAGTGTGTCTCACGCTGAATCCATCAGGGCAGGTAAGCAAAGAAATCAAACACGGAATCTAGTGAACAAAAGAGTTGGGGCTAAACAGACAGCTCTGTGATAACAAAGGGAAGCTCCACGTCAGGGGTTCATGTGAGCTTCTTGGGAAGAGGCAATAGAGACCTAAAGACAGGCGTGCATGGATGTAGGCTCTCTCTTCCCACTGCCTGGCACGCTGGGCTCCACCCAGTCTTTCAGCATCCACTTGATGTTAATTAAGGCTCCAGTTCCTCTAATTTAGTGCTTACTATCCAGTTGTTCATTGCCCCCCAATTTCTTTTTACTTTTTAATCTTCATTTGGCATCTAACTGGCAGTGCAAACTTCTGGACTCACACAGAGATTTCTTCCAGCCTGTTTGGAGGTGGAGAGGCCTGGGATAGTGGGTTCTGGCAGAAGCTCCACTCAGTCGCTAAGTCTCCTCACTGGTCCTCCTGACAAATGAAAGGCCTTGAGATGGGTAAGAGTCTTGCCTCACCAGCTGAGCTGTGCATTCTTTACTTCTGGATTTACTTTTATTTATTCTAGTAGATGTGTGAAACAGCCTCAGGCAATTCAGGGTCTCTCTCCCTGCCTTCCTCTGGTCTCTCTCCCTGCCTCCCCTCTTTTGGGGAGAGTCACACAGAGCCAAGGTGAGTTTAGGGTGGGCCACCCTTGCTCCCGCTTGGCTTTGAGTCTTCATCCATGCAGGTCCATGCCGCCCTATCCCACCAGTGGGGCCTCCTCAGGCTGTCTCTCAGGGCATGTTCTGAAGCCCCCTGCACTGTCCTGGGACACTGCTGAGCTCTGTGAGGCTGGCTCAGGGGCTGCTACCCAGGCTTCCTGCAGCCATTTCAGCTCAAGCCCGCTGTGAGGCTTGGGGCAGGGTCTGGAGTCGGAGGTGTCAGGGAGCACACTGCGACTGTCCTGGGCCACACTTCCGCCCCTAGCTCACCCTAGAGTACCTGCCAACAACCCGTCTCCTGTGGGCTCCTCCCGGGGACCCGCATCAATGTCTAGTTCTCTTCCTTCCTCTGGCTGCCTCCCTTTCCCATTGTAAAGACTGCTGTTATCTACAGGCAGGGAGGATCCTGCTATGCCTGATCAGATTCCTCCAAAGCTATCAGGTATGCCCAGAGCTCTTTCCCATCAACTCTGAAGGTGAACTTCTGCATTCTGTGGTGTCACAGCCGCTCTAAGCAATGACAACTGCAGGAATTATAAGGGACAGAGCCTCAGTGAATATGCCATACTATATTGTCCTCACAGAGCTCACACAGTTGAAAAGGACTTTGGAGCTCATCCACTCCCAATCCTCAGCTATGTTTGGGTCTTTCTAGAGTATCCCATACTTTAATGGCAGGAACCTTACTCGGCCCTGGACAGCCCCTTCAGTTGCTGAACAGTGCCATCTTTACCAAAGTCTCCCTGTGACATCTGGACCTCAGTCAGGTCTGTCCTTGGCGTCACACTCGATGGGTCTTCTCCATGTTCCTTTGATGCTCCTGGATGCTCAGGCCCCAGCTGAGCAGCCTGGAAAGGAAAGGACCCCCAACCACAGGAAAAAGGCTTTGGGCAGAGGGTGTCAGCCTGGGCCCAGCTGAGCCATTCCTGCTGCCTGCCCTGTTTCCTGGCAGACCTCTGCCTCAGGGATTCTGCACAGTGGGAAGTTCGCTACCTGTCATCGAGCCCATCTGTAGGCTTCCCTTGTGCTGACAGTGCAGCCTCTGGCTTCTCAGCCAGGAGCAGCACAGATGCCTGGGCTCACCCCACACATCTAACATGCCAGTGGATCTGGCATTCTGTACTCACACATTTGACAAAAGTTCCTTAGATTATTGTAGCACATACCAAAGGAGAGAACTCTGCTATAAGTGATTGGGAAGCAATTTGCCAATTGTAAAATTAAATTAGTAGTAGAGGTAAAATCTGTGCATTCAGTGACAGTTCTTCATTAGCAGCCGACTGTTAATCCACAGCTTTCTATCAAATGAACTGGAGCTTGAGTCTTCAGGCTTTCACTGATACCTACCTTTTCCTTTTCTCTCTCCTTCTCTCCATCCTTTTCTCCTCCTCGTCCTTCCTTCCTTTCTTAAATGTTTACCGAGTTCCTATGTGTACAGGCAGTGGGCTAGGTACCAGATAGAAAATGATGAATCAGACCAAGACCCTGGCCTCAAAGAGCTCACATTCAGACCAGTGAACATATTAAGTTTTGGAGGTTGTATCAGTTGTCTATTGCTGTGTAACAAATCACTTCAAAATTTAGCAGTTTCAAGCCACATTTAATGTCTCACAGTTTCTGGGCACCAGGAATCCAGGTGGCTTAGCTGGGTCCTCTGGCTCAGGGACCCTCACAAGGCCATACTTAAGGTGTTGGCCTGAGCTGAAGTCATCTCAGGGCTCAGAGGTAGGAAGAGCCACTTCCAAGCTCATGTGACTGTTGCCAGGCTCCTCGCTGGCTATTGGCCAGAGGCCTCCCTCAGTTCCCTGCCACATGGGCCTCTCTAGGGAGCAGTTCACAACAGGGAGGCTGGCTTCCCGCAGGGTGAGCAAGCCAGAGAGGGCGAGCCTGAAAGCAGCCAGCACTTTTTTGTGTGACCTAATCTCAGAAGTGACATCTATTATTCTTGCGACATTCTATTTGCTAGGAGTTATTGGGTCCAGCCCATGCTCAAAGGGAAGGGGTTACAAAAATATCTTAAACAAATTGCACTGCAGAAGCTATTTGTGTGACACGTGATTAATGAATATCAGGACATGGGGGATTTGGGGGCATGTTAAAGGCCCCCCACAGTAGAGGTATTGTCATAATGTGTGTGTGTATATATATGTGTGTGTGTGTGTGTGTGTGTGTGTATATATGTGTGTATATATATAATATATGTATATATATGTGTGTGTGTATATATATATATATATATATATGTGTATATATATATATGTATATATTTTTTTTTGGACGGAGATTTCTCTTAGTACCCAGGCTGGAGTGTAATGGCGTTGGTGTGATCTCGGCTCACCGCAAACTCTGCCTCCTGGGTTCAAGCGATTCTCCTACCTCTGCCTCCCGAGCAGCTGGGATTACAGGCATGCACCACCATGCCCAGCTAATTTTGTATTTTTAGTAGGATGGGGTTTCTCCACGTTGGTCAGGCTGGTCTCGAACTCCCGATCTCAAGTGATCTGCCTGCCTCGGCCTCCCAAAGTGCTGGGATTACAGGCATGAGCCACCGTGCCCAGCCCATAATATCCTTAAAGACATTTAAGCCTCAAATCACCGGGCCCGAACACAGCAAATTAAAAACATCAATTACCCTTTCTTTAAGATGCCATAAGGAAGGTATGTGAGGAAACTTCCATAGGATTAGACTAAAGCCCCAAATAATAAAGATGGTTCCTTATTCCTGTTTTCCTACTTTGCTAAAAGGTACACTCAGATGCTGTCTCTAATGGAGAATTGGGATAAACTTCACCAGTCCTGCTTAATCAAGTGTATCTCCCCTCCAAAAAAAAAAAAAAAAAAGGAAAGAAAGAAAGAGACCAGTGCCAGTGAGACAGGTAGGGGATATTCAACTGTCCCTATTTCGTTCCAGAAAAACTAAGGCGTTACAACTTGCAATGTATCTGGTTTGACTCAATATGTTTTGTATTCAAGTTTCCAACCAGCAAAATTTGTGACCTTATTAAGAATACTAGTTCATACTCAGTACCCAAGAGAAAGATTTCCATTCCAGAATCTAGTCTACTAGCTTGGTTATTATTCATTTATAGTGTCAGATCAGAGAAAGATTGAAGGCATTCCTAATTAGTTGCCTTGGGATATAACACATTTGAAATAATATCAATTGATATTTCAGTGTCTGTTAAGCCTGATTTATAGGGACTTGTGTTTCAGTCTAAAAGATTAATCATGTGTCACACAAATGGATCCTGCAGTGTAATTTGTTTAAGATTTTTTAAAGTATATTCACATGTACCATCATTTTTACAGAAACAAATACAGATTGGAAATATCTAAGTATTTTATAAAGGACATATGATACTTCACCAAAGAATCCCATTATTTTAATTAACATAATTTTCTGACGTTGACGTGAGACCCACATGTGTAGATTCTAACTCAGTCTAACAAGCATAAGTGCTTGCAAGTCCTCTGAGAGAAAAGTCACAGGCCTGAGTCTGAGTTAAGGGAGATGTCCTCATTGCCTGGCCAGTTTCCTCATTGACATTCAACACTCCATTTGCCTGCTTGCAAAACAAAAAAGTTAGCCCTGCATGTTGACCTACCTGAAAGGTCTTTGTTAATTGAAATACTGCTGCAAATTCATAGTGGGTTTTTTTTTAAGTACAAAGACAAAATAAAGCCAAATCATACTTATAACTCAAAAGTTAGAATTGTTTTGCTAATTTTGTAAATGAGCAAATTTATCTTCTTAATCAAAATTCAGTTTGGAAATATTCCATATCATGTACAGGTTTCTAATACTCAACTGCAGCCACTTTTGAGGGACTCGATTTTGAATCTTCAGAGTATCAGATATTGTTTTTCCTCCCATCCCATTATTTTATTATTCTAAAGTGCTTGTAATTTCATACTAAAGAAAATGTGACCCGAGGGCTGGCCATGGTGGCTAAGCCCTGTAATCCTAGCACTTTGGGAGGCCAAGGCAGGTGGATCGCTTGAACCCAGGAGTTCAAGACCAGCCTGGAGAACATAGGGAGCTCCTGTTTCTACAAAAACTAAAACACAAAAATTAGCCAGGCATGGTGGTGTGCACCTGTAGTCCCAGCTACTTGGGAGGCTGAGGTGGGAGGATTTCTATAGCCTGGGAGGTCGAGGCTACAGTGAGCCATGATCATGCCACTGCACTCATGCCTGAGTGACAGAGTGGGACCCTGTAAAAAAAAAAAAAAAAAGAAAGAAAAGAAAAGAAAGAGAGAGAAAGCAAGCAAGAAAAAAAGAAAAAGAAAGAAAGAAAGAAAGAAGAGAAATGTGACCCCAAATGAGAGATTACTGGGAAGAAATGCTTGGAAACCTGTCATAATGCATAACTTATGGAGGAATGAATGTGAACATAAAAACTTTCATTCTGCAAGGCTAGTTTCCAAAAGAAACACATCAAGTAAGACCAAGGTGAGACCACAGAAAATAACTTAAATTCTGTTTTCATTTTTTTTTTCAAGAACTTATTTAAGGTTTAAAGTTTTCTTTGACCTCTACGGGGGCAGGGATCATCCACCCAAGTTGTTGATGGGACAATAGAACCCCAAAGAGGGGCGGTGACATCAGCAGTCAGGTACCAATTAAACCCACGTGCTCTGATTTTTTCCTCACTACGTTTTGTAAACCCAAGAGCCTCCTATTTTTCAAATTTAGAAATTAAGCAACTTTTGAAGCTCCCTTTCTCTGGGCTTTCTGTACAAATAATATACTAAAATGCAGCACAAGTTAAATCTACAGTTATCTTGGGGATTTGTCATCACTGGCTCCACAACGTACACTGTGGGTTTCTAAATAAACTTCCCTTACTGGCTGCACAAGTTTCTGCAGAAGTGTCTTTTAGTAGCCTAAAAAAGAAAGGCTGGAAGAGCAATGTTTCTTTTGAATTCTCTAGCAATTATGAAATCCTAAAGAAACAGGTCCAGGTTACAAGAGAGGGACTGTGGTGTCAGAAGTAAGTCCTAAGAATAATTACTCTAGTTGGCTCTGTCTTTCCAGAGTTACAGCAATAGGGAGTTCCTTGAACTTCCCACTCAACTGGCAGATGCCTCTGGCATGTTGTGATGTGGTGGGTGTTTTATTTGAAATGGTGAAGTGAAAGAAACAAACAAACTCTCTATGGCCAAAGTCACAATGAAATACAGATTTATGCATGAGCATGTACTCATACCACACATTCTCTCTCTCTCTCTCACACATACACAAACACACATGTGCGCGCACACACACACACACACACACACACACCCCTGTTCTGAAACTCGATTATCTTATCAAGACTGGATAGATGTCTGGTGCTTCTTAATAAAAGTGTTGAAAGTTTCCACAGTGAATTTGTTTGCTGGTCAAAAAATAGGCTCATACTGCAATGGGTGGAAACTTTCAAGTGGGGACAGTTAGAAAAGGAAGTCATAATTTTTGAGCTGTAAGAGAAAATTTTTTACGAGACCCTCAAGAACTCAATTTCTTGCTTTTTGTATGACAATGTAATGTTTCACATACTTAATGACTGCATGACATGTACTACAAGATTCTGTTTTTTCTTTATGTGATTCCACCTATTAAAAAAGCCACCAGAGCCTATCTAATGCTTGGAATACTGTTTCAAACTTTTAAATGATAGAGAGTGCTACAGCAACTTTCTCCGATAGAAGTATAATGAAGCTACATGTGTAAATTTAAGTTTTCTAGTAGCTGTATTTAAAAAGTCAAAAGAAACAGGTGAAATTAATTTTAATAATACATTTTATTTACCCACTGTATCCATAGTATTATCACTTCAATATGTAATCATATATCATGATTCAGATACCTTATCAATATATCATAATGTAAAAGGTATTATTTTATATTTTTATACTAAATATTATATATTTAATTATATATTTAATAAATACTATAGTTTTTATACTAAATCTTCAAAATCTGGTATTTTGTACCTAAGGAAAACTCAATTTAGATGCTAAAGTTTTATGAGAAATCCTTAATCTGTACTTAGATTTCATAAAATTTACTGTTGAAAAAGTTGATTCATGTTTCCAAGTTGTTCCAGACACAGTTAAAATAATTTTTGTGTGTAAGTTAATTAAAATTAAATAATATTAAAAATTCAGTTTCTTAATTATGCTAACGAATTATTGTTGTTTTGAGTAAACAACAGCCACCTGTGGCTAGTAGCTACCTCATTAGAAGCACAGGTTTACATCAATGAATCCTTTTCATCTTTGAGCCACCATAGATCTCACTGGAGATGGATTTATTTTAAAAGATTAAAACTTTTGGCAGAATGAGGCTTGAGAATTTTTTTGATTACTTCGTATCATCCCTCCACTTGAAACAAACCACCATCACCAACAACAAAGCTAAGGTCATGACATAATTTGGGGTGGTCATTTCTGTCCTTCCATCAGCTAACAGCAAGAAGGGAAGGAGAAGGGGAAGGGAGGAATTGTGCTCTGAGCCATGCTGAGAGGACAGCAGGGAAGCCAGAGCAGGAGCCCAGAGGAAACCTGCTCGCTCACCAGGTCTCCTCTCTGGCCATGGTCTTCTAGTCTCCTCCCTCATCTTGCCTCCCAATCACTGCAAACAGCCTTGCAGCAACTTACATCTCTGCAATTTCCTTGAGAGTCTTTTGGGAAAGGGTAGAGGTTTTCAAGAAAATTAGAAAACATTGCATATGCCTGTGGAAATTATTATATTAGTTATCCCTGGTAGGGTTTTTCTCTTTCCATTTTTTTTTTTAATTGAAGGGAGAGCCTGAACTGGCTCTGGGCTGGAGTTCCAGCTCCCTTTCTTCCCACCTGCATTGCCCCATGCCAGAAAACACAGCTCACTTTCCCTATCAGTGAAACATGGTTTTGATGAAGGTTAAGTAAGTTGGTATTTAAAACATCTAGAAGCATGTCTGATGAATGGAAAGCTCTCAAGAAACAGTAGAGTTTATTATTATTGTTTTACACTATGGATTCCTATAAAGTTTTTCAGCAGAGAACTGTATAACTACTATATATAAAATATGAATATTTTAAGCACAGCACATCCCACAGTGCACAAGGGACTGAATGTCTTTTATAATTTGGCAAAAAGCATTTATTTTTAAATAAACCAATATTGGGCTTTTTAAAATATGAATGTGCCTCACAGCACCATTCTAGTTTTATCCTGAAGAGGTGTATATATTACTTGCAGAACTTCTTTCAAAATCATACTGTTTGAGTCATTCTGTTGGTACTTATTAAAAATTAATGTGGCCCCCTGCATTGCAAAAGAAAAAACATGATTTTTTCCAGTGGTCACTCATCTGCTTTTCTCTATTAGCTTATGCTTTTTTCCTTATTTTTTAGCCCATTTCTCCTCTCCTCAGCTCACCAGCACCTTATGATATGATAGTCCTCAGTCTGTGGCTCAGAGGGGACATCAGAGGCCAAACGTCCATGAGTTTAAGAAAATGTGCAACAATCTACACCTTGTCCATCCTCCCCCATAACCCATTGCCACTGGTTTTGAAAGGAATTTCAAAAGGTGAAGGCCTATGACTAAGCAATCATTTCCTCCCAGTTTATCATCTCAGATCGGTTGACTGTTGCTGCTTTGGGACTAATAAGATCAGTGACCTTAAAAACCAGCATCCAGGAGATCAAAACTGAGCCAGGACACCAAGAGAACAATGAATGATTTGCTTATGTAATGCTGATGAAATCATCACTGTGGTGGGTATGCACCATTATGTGAATTTATGTCATCTGTAAGTGATCAGGTTAGCTAGAAGGTGGGCATCACCATGTTATGTGATATGTACGGCATGCCATTATAGATTATACTTTGGGGCAAGATCCTGAGATACTTAATGGATATTTAGTTGCAATGAGCTTTCTATAGATTTGTCAGAGTTCCAGAAAAGTGGAACCGGAAATGCTATATTAAAGGCAATGGTGGTATGGTAGAAAAAGAATCTTAGAAAATCCAAGTTTGTGTCCTATCCTCCCACATACTAGTGGACCATTTTACTCCATTGGAGCCTCTATTTCTTCACATGTGAATGAGCATCAAAATAGCTATACCATGGTGTTTGTGTGAGGATTAAACAAGATAATAAATGTGGTTTTCTAGGACTGTTCTTAAGCTTCAGTGTTCGGTTACTATTCATTTCAAATTTATGTAATTTTATTTAACCAGATGAGAAAATGTTCATAATTTATTGTTAAATAAAAACAGTATATTACCATATTCAAAAATTATGTAAATTTTGTAATCAACTAGTCACATCATTGCATCGAGCCTGAGTTTCTCCCAGCTCTGGGGCTCTAGATACGTACATCCAGCTGCCCATTTATCATCTCTACGTGGATCTCAGACTTCACATATCCAAAACCAAACTCCTAACTCCTGACTCACCATCCCAACCTAGCCTGCCTTTCTGTAGCCTTCCTCACCTCAGTTAATGACAGATAATTTTTCCTCATGCTTCCAGTCAGGAAAGTCTAAACTTAGCTGGGCACACTGGCTCATGCCTATAATCCCAGTGCTTCGGAAGGCTGAGGTGGGAGGATCGCTTGAGGCCAGGAGTTTGAGGCCACCCTGGGCAACATGGCAAGACCCCCTTCTCTACAAAATAAAAATAAAAAATTAGCTAGGCATGGTAACATTTGCCTGTAGTCCTGGCAGCTCATGAGGCTTGAGGAGGGAGCATTGCTTGAGCCCAAGAGGTCAAGGCTGTAGTAAGCTACAGTTGTTCCATTGCACTCAGCCTGGGTGACAGAGCAAGACTCTGTTTCTCTCCCTCTATTTAAAAAAAAAAAAAAGAAAAACCAAAATGTTGGAATCATTCCTAATTCTTTATTTTATCTTCTGCCTAACATCTAATCTGTCAGCAAATCCTGTTGACTCTCCCTTCAAAATGTATCCGAATTCCAGCTGCTCCTCACCTCCTCCTCTACTACCATCCAGCCCAAACTGCCATCTCTCGCCTGGGTTACTGCCACAGCCTCCTAACCGATCCTGCTGCTGTCTCCCTTGTCCCCTTGGCCCACTTGCAACACAGCAGCCAGTGATACTTTTTTAAACCTGAAGTCATTTCACATCACTGCTCTGTGTAAAACCCTCCAATGTCTTCCCAGTACACTCAGAATCAAAGCTAAAGCCTTCACAATGGCCTAACATAGCCCTACATGCTCTGACACTTCAATTCCCCAGAGCTTTACCGCCCTCATCATTCTTCTCATCTCAGCTTACTCTGCTCCTGCCACACCATCCCCCGGGATGTTCCTCTAACAGACCAAGCCCCTCCTACTCCAGCGCCTTTGCACTTGCTACTCCCTTCCTTCTCTTCCCTAGCCATCCACGTGGCTGTCTGTTCCCCAGTTTCAGGTCTCATCTCATAGGGCAGGTTTTCAGTGAAGCCATCAGCACCGGCTCCCTATTCCACATGGCCACCCCATTCCTACTCCACATACCCCTTCCCTGCTTCATTTTTTCTCATGAAGCTCATCACCACCTGACTTTATCACCCCTTGATATGTGTGTGTATATATGTGTATGTGTGTGAATAATATATACACACACATAAAGGTATTTATTGTCAGCCACTCCCCACTATCATGTATGCTCCATGAGGGCAGGGATCACTTTTTCATTGCGATAGCCCTACTGCCCAGAGCAGTGCCTGGCACAGAAAAGGCTCTCAATAAATATTTTTAGAATTTTTTATTTTATTTTATTTGAGATAGGGTCTCTCTTGGTTGCCTAGGCTGGAGTGCAGCCTAAGCAACAGAGACAGTGCACACGATTATAGCTCATTGGAGCCTTGACCTCCTGGGCTCAAGGGATCCTCCCACTTCAGCCTCCCAAGTAGCTGGGAGTACAGGCTCATGCCACCACACCCAGCCAATTTTTAAAATTTTTTGTAAAGACAGGGTCTCACTATGTTGCCCAGGCTGGTCTCTAACTCCTGGGCTCCAGTGATCCTCTCACCTCAGCCTCCCAAAGTGTTGGGATTACAGGCGTGAGCCACTGCAATGAATGAATTATTTGTCTATATTTATTCAACAAATATTATTAACCCCTCACCCTGTGCCAAACGTTGTTCTAGGAACTTAAAATACAATTGTAAAAAAACTAGACAAGAATACTGTTCTCATAGAGCTTATATCTGTATCTATAGCTCTATATCCATCTATATCTATATATCAACATCTATATGCACATCTACATATATCTATCTAAGACTGAAAAGTGTACAGTGAAAGGATTATGGCTGATTTTTCATTATTGATGCTCTTCTATACATTCTAAATTTTCTAAAAGCGTAATTTTTAAAATTTCTAGAATGACGTGATTATTATTGTAATGAGAAACAATTGTGTAAATAGGAATGAGGAGTGAAGCAACAGTTAAATGCAAGAGAAAACTTTGACATCTATACTGTGCTCATGTGAACTTGATCAACATCTGATTAAGTATCACAACTGTATATCACTGCTGTTGTTGAGGCAGTGTGGCATTGAATTGAAGAGCAGGATTGCTGCAGACAAATTGCCTGGGTTTTAATTGTTTACAGTTACATGACCTTACTTAGGCTATCTAGCTCAGTTTCCTCATCTGAAAATTGGAAATAATAATAGTATTGTTATTACTAATACTAGTTCATTGGTTGATGTGAGGATGAATTGAGTAAATACATGTAAGATGCTTAGAACAGTGTGGGACACAGAACTGATAATCAATGATAAGTACTATTATTGTTTTTATTGCTATTATAGTTATCTTTATTATTATTGAGTGAAAAGAAGGGAAAGTTGTATTCTCTAGACCATTACACTTAATTATGAATCTACTGGCTCCTGGAAAAAAATACTGTTTATAATTTTATTCTCATATACAAATTTGAATAAGTTATCTAAAGTATGGTCTTCTATTGGTAAATTCATTAGGAATTAAACAACAATTCTGAGAACAGAAGCAGTCAACCCTGATGAGCCCAGCTCAGTTCTCGGAACTTTCTGAGGCATTGTCTGTGGCAGCAGGTTTTCTGGCCATGTGGAGAAGGGAGTCAGGATGCTGCCTCCAGAGCTGCCACAGAAAGAGCAGCGGAAATGGCTTAGTGTGATTGGCACTCCAGTGTGAATGCCTGGGTGCCCAATGGGAAGTTAATTATATTAAAGCTAAAGAAACCATTACATTGCCTCAGAAAAATAATTAGTTTCACCCCAGATCACATTTGAAATTAATGACATTATTGTGTATTAGGTAAATACATATAATTCTTTGCAAAGCATATTCAAATGCCATAGTTTGACAAGTGGTTATGCCTTATTACATCTAACCTTGAAGGTTTTAGTATTTTGGTTAGTCATTTATTTATTCATTTGTTTTTGCTACTCTGACTGTATGTCCAGCCAAAATGGATTATGTTATTAATTGAAAATATTTTAATTGAGCATTTATCGTACTCATTCACAAATAATCCAATTAAATCTGATCAAGCATATTGCTTAATGCAGGAATAAGTGTAAGACATCTGCAAATTCTGCACTTTGGCAATCTTTTTTTTTTTTTTGAGACAGCGTCTTGCTCTGTTGCCCAGGCTGGGGTGCAATGGTGCAATCTCAGCTCACTGCAACCTCTGCCTCCTGGGTTCAAGAGATTCTGTTGCCTCAGCCTCCTGAGTAGCTGGGATTACAGGCGCACACCACCACACCCGGCTAATTTTTGTATTTTTCAGTGGAGATGGGGTTTCACCATGTTGGTCCATGGTGGTCTTAAACTCCTGACCTCGTAATCTGCCTGCCTTGGCATCCCAAAGTGCCGGGATTACAGGCATGAACCACCGCACCTGGCCTCAGCAATCTTATTTATTATAGTTAGGGATGTTTACAAGGCGACTACATAAAATGGTGCAGAATCTCAGATTAACCCAACCCATTTTCTCCCAAACTGATGACTAGAAAGCTCTAAGACAAACTCCATGATGCTGGATCATACCATTTCCACTGTAGCCACTAAACGTTAGTGACAAATAAGTTCAGTGCTATGATTTAGGTGTGTTGTGCTTATGTACTTGATAATTGAACAACCTTTATTTCCTCTATTCCACACAATACTTGGCACTTTCTCAAAAATCTTTCAGTCACTACTACTCAATTCTTGTCATATCAAGAGAGACTGCCAGGGTAGGGTGGCATGCCAAGGAGGGCATGGGATTATCAACCTGAAGGAAGTTCCAGAGGTAATCTGTCCCATTCCTCTGGATTCAGACTGAATTGTAGAATTAAGAGTACAGATTTGCATAGACCTTTACTCTCTCAGAGCAATTGAGATATATCTATGATAAATGAGGTTTATTTGAACACTAGGGTAAAGTGATTAGTTCTAGTTAAGATCAGTCCATTTTTCATGTCAGAAATTCTCTCTTCAGACCTCAGCTAAGCATGAAACCAAGTCCTTTGATGAATATCAAATGATGATCAGCTCATAACAACATATATTAGCAATTACTCTGAAGGAGGTGTCCCTCACACAGCAATGGAGATGCCTCTGTGTGGTTTAAAACTGCAACACAAGGCCAGGCACGGTGGCTCACACCTGTAATCCCAGCACTTTGAGAGGCCGAGGCGGGCGGATCACCTAAGGTCGGGAGTTCGAGACCACCCTAACCAACATGGAGAAACCCTGTCTCTACTAAAAATACAAAATTAGCCAGGTGTGGTGGTGCATGCCTGTAATCCAAGCTACTCGGGAGGCTGAGGCAGGAGAATTGCTTGAACCTGGGAGGTGGAGGTTCCGGTGAGCCAAGATGGCACCGTTGCACTCCAGCCTGGGCAACAAGAGTGAAACTCCATCTCCAAAAACAACAAAAAAACAAACAAACAAAAAAAACACCTGCAACACAAATAAGCACAGACACTTGAATGGGAAAAGAGACAATATTCAAAAATCAATCTCATTAAAAGTACTTGTACACTTATTTTCAGGGAAAAAGTGGCAGAGGGAGGTCCTAGGAGAGATGACATCCAGGAAAAAGGTAATAGCAAAGCTAAATATCAAACACAACCCGTTACTAGTGAAGATGTGGATTGTCATCTCCAGAAACGAAGTCTAGCATAGGTATTTGAGGGACTTAGATCCAAGCTGGGGAAAGGAAAGAGGAAATTTAGTTTTTCTAGGTGTTTTTTGTGCCAGAGACAGAACAGGGCTTAAGAGTTGGTCTTTGGACTAACTTGGCATGGTTTAAAACCTTGTTCTAACTCTTACTCACTGTGTAACCCCAGTCAATTTGCTTGACCTCTTGGTTTCTCATTTTAAAAATGGGAAAAATGGAGATGCTGGTAGTAATAGTACCTACCTCATAAGGTGGTTGAGATATTTAATGACGGAACATGTGTAAGTTGCCTGGTAAATAGATAACTGTCAATAGTGTTAATTTCTATTTTCTGTATGGCGTAGACGTGCAAGAGGCTCATCTTCCTCTTGACTAAGGAGAATGCTAATTGCCACTGAACTTCTCTTTAGCCTCATAGAATGTTAACATTAATAAGGCATTATAGTGCCTCCAAATTCTCCTAGCTTGTTGCACCCCCTTTCCAGTGTTTGCTCTTATACACCAGTATTTTTCACAGTTGTAATCATGGTGATTGCACGCTTTCATATTCATATACTTTCTTATCATTTACCTTTGCGTCTAGGCTCCTGCTGGGCTGTGTGTTGTGCTCTTTTGTCTGTAGTGATTTGGGGACAAATCAAACCCTTTTGTCTGGAAGTCCTGAGCCTCTTCATCTTGAATTTTTGCTTGCTATTGCTCATTATCTTGCAAAGCATTTGGTCCTGGCTTCAGCCTTTCCAAAATGAATTCAAATAAACAAGATTCTAAACTCCAGGAGTTTACAGCCTCATACAATCCAAATGGATGCAGATCAGACATAATCAAGGCAAACAGGTTTTTAAAAATTGCAGAAATGAAATTGTCAGACTGCAGAAGTCTAAGAGGTAAAGACTGTGGCTTGCAGGGGTGGGCTCACTGTTTAGAAAGAATGGGACCTGAAGGAAAATGTTCTTCTCCTCAGCCTTTATCTTTTCTCCTACACTTGGCCCTTACACATAAAAATTAATGAAAGAAAGTAGAAGTTTTGGCCCTCAAAAAGTTGATAAAAATTATTATAACTAATGCACAAATATCACAATATGTGCAATATGAATGCAATCTGGCATTTTCATGACTACTGAAGATGGGAAATGGCAAACTGATGGTTTGCAGTTTCTTTTTTGAAACTGTATGTTCACTCCTTCTCTCCGGTAGAGTTTAAAACAAATGATGGGATGAAAAAAGAGTGAACTTTGAATAACTGAACATATGGAAGGCTGGTGCTAGAAAATAGTGAAGCAAGAAAATCTGGAATCATGCATTATATGGCCATTTGTCATCTGTCTCCTCCACTGGAACTGTTAAGGACATTGTTTGCTTTGTTTATCACTGTGCCCCTGGCTCCTAGAAGAGGACTGGGCCATACTAAGTGCTCAATAATCATTTGTTAAGGAATGAGAAAATAGAGGACAGAATTTTGACCCCTAAGCTTGTGGGGCTTGATAAAGTCAGGCGTGATGGCCCCCACTGAAAAGGTAGCCATAGCGTGGAGCTCCCAGCTCCCAGCCACCATGATACCCTTTAAGGTCATTTGAGGGATAACCAAATCAGGAATTGAGAATTTCCTGCATCCCATCCCTTTAAGACAAGGATAATTCTCCAGCCTGCAGCAAAGACTGCTGCATCACCACCTAAGCCATGTTTAGAGCAATAATTTGTAATCATTATCCAGTTCATAGGGGAATCCAGTATCTCTGCATCTTAATTTTGTCTTAATAACATTCAAACAGGGAAACCACTTTGCTCAACAGTGACCTGTCACGCAGTTATAGGTTACATATGTCTTATTTTAAAGGACTGCTGCATTTAAATTTAAACCACGTAGCTCCCAAGAATAATATTAGCTGCTGAGAATAGGCATAAAGTTAACAGAAGGAAAAGACCTGGTCCCGGGACTATTGCAAAAAACCTGCACTAAAAGCAGAAAGTCATAATATTGTCAAAATGGCTAATCTAGTACCTGGGCAGGTTGATTAGATCCTTGAATTTGAATAGAAAATTTCAGAGAGTTTTGTAGTTCATAAAAGTCCTTTGCATGAATAATTAGTGCCGCTAACAATTCACCTCCCTGCAAGTGGCATCTCAGAGTAATCTACCTTTTTTTTTTTTTTTTTTTTCTGAGGCGGAGTCTCGCTCTGTCACCCAGGCTAGAGTGCAGTGTTGCAATCTTGGCTCACTGCAGGCTCCACCTCCTGGGTTCACGCCATTCTCCTGCCTCAGCTTCCCAAGTAGCTGAGACTACAGGCGCTGGCCACTACGCCCAGCTAATTTTTTTTTTTTGTATTTTTAGTAGAGACGGGGTTTCACTGTGTTAGCCAGGATGGTCTCGATCTCCTGACTTCATGATCTACCC
This sequence comes from Homo sapiens, assembly GCF_000001405.40. Classification (NCBI taxonomy): domain Eukaryota; kingdom Metazoa; phylum Chordata; class Mammalia; order Primates; family Hominidae; genus Homo; species Homo sapiens. The sequence continues at coordinate 156,367,428 of NC_000003.12, forward strand.
GCCTCGGCCTCCCAAAGTGCTGGGATTACAGGCTTGAGCCACTGTTCCCGGCCGAGTAATCTATTTTAACACACATCCTTTATTCACAGAAAAACCTGTTTGGAGAATATGAAAAAGCAATCTCCCTCTATCCTTCCAACCAAAAATTGATAATTCAAAAATTGCAGCTGGTACTGTTTTAGTAGCTGGCAATTTTGAGGAGACTTTTCATTTTTCTTAACAAATTGCCAAATGGAAATGGCTATAGCAGCAACATTGTGCAGGACTGAGAGGGGCCCAGTGTTTAACCCCTTTTCTTTCCCCTTCTCCCTGCCTTGCATGCTGCAGGCAAATAAGCCAGAAATGCAAAGGAACTCTGTCACAAATTCATTTACAAAGCAAAGAGATCTTTTCTTTTTTTCTATTTCTGAAATCGGAAGATATTTTAAAAAATACACAAGACAAAAATTTGAGGTTGCAGAATTTCCCTACAGGATCTCCTTCCCTATCCCAAACTCCAAACAAACAATGTCCCCTTTCCTCCTCAAAGCTGCTTTCAGGGTTTTGTTTGTATATATGTTTGATTTTATGCAATTAAACCTAAATCCTGTTTGTGAAATGAAAGGCTCTAGGATGTGCAGTTATCACAGAAAAGATGGAATGGATAAGGTTGCCAAATTTAGCAAATAAAAATACAGAATGCCCAGTTAAATTTGGATTTCAGATAAACCGTGAATAATTTTCCAGTGTGTCTTCCATGCAATACATTGGGCATACTTATATTAAAAAATGTATCCGTGATTGATCTGAAATTCAAATTTAACTGGGCATTCTGTATTTTATCTGGCAAACCTGGGAGGGCTGGGAGGTGGCATTCTGAGTAGGGAGCAGTTCTCTGTGCCCCCAAAATCTCAACGAATGCATCTGTGCATAAAGCTCACCTGGTGATCCGTTCAAAGGGGATGATGAGCAACAGTTTCACTCTTTGTCACTGTTGTTTAGAGGAAGTTTCACTCTTTGTTTTCTTAATGTTTTTTAGAGACAGGGTCTCTCTCTGTTGCCCAGGCTGTAGTGTAGGTGCAATCATAGCTCACTGCAGCCTCAAACTCCTGGGCTTAAGCAATTCCCTCACCTTGGCCTCTCAAAACATCACCCTTTGTTGTTATTTTCAACTGTTATTTGCAAATAAAGCTTGCCTTGGAATAGCAGCATGGTAGAATGGCATCAATGTGCCTGGGATATAACTCCAACTCTGACATTTATTAATAAGTGTGACCTCAGACTCATTCATATTTAGTACCAGAGATGATATATACCTGTTCTGAATACTTCCCAAGTTGAAGTAAGTATTAAAAGGTAAAATAAAGTTACTAACACAGTGCCCCGTGTACAAGATGACCACTCAATGTTATTCCATCTCCTGCAACGCTTTGTCCCTTAGTAAAGGAAATGCTGAAATAATTATAGCCCCAAGCTCCTTGGTAAAGCATGGATGCATAGGTTTTGGCTATTGCTCTTTCTTTGCTTGTTTCTTTAATACGTTCATTGATATATAATTTGTATGTGGTAAAAGGCACAAATCTTCAATGTACAACTTGTTAGTTTTTCATATGCTCATGTAACCACAGGCAGGTCAAGATCTAGAACATTTCCACCCCCACCCACTGCCTCCCTAGAAGATTTTCTCATATCTGTTCCCAGTCAATATCACCTCTCCATAGGTAACCACTATTCTGATTTCTTTTACCATAAATTCATTTTCCCTGTGCTTAAAATTCACAGAAGTGGAATTTTTCAGAATGTATCATTTTAAGTCTGGCTTCTATCATATATTTGAAATTCATCCATGTTTTCATGTATACTAGTAGTTTGATCTTTTTCATTCCGGTATGATATTCCATTGTACGAATATACCACAGTTTATCCATTTTATTGTTGATGAACATTAGTGATGTTTCCAGTTTGGGGTTATTATAAATAAAGCCATCATGAACATTCTTGTATGTATCTTTCTGTAAGCATATGTATTCGTTTCTCTTAGATATATAGAAATAGCTTGACTGGGTCATAGAGTTCTCACTCTCTCCAACCCCAGGTGGATCAAAAGCACACAGTTTGCGTAGCAAAGTTGCAAATATGTTTTTTAAAGGGGAGAGAAGCAGCAAAATAAGAAAGGAAAAAAGGAAGGAACTGCTAGCCTATCTCCCTCACCAAACCTCACATACCACTGTAGGAAAGTCTCCTGAATTTAGGGGAAGAGATTCTTTGACACAGTTCAGAAAACAGAATCCAAGAGAATCTTGGGCCTTATATACTTAGCCACATATAAATGATGTACTTAAGCTTAAACAAATGTCACTTAAGAAAACTGTAGTTTCTTCTAACATAAAATGCATGTTCCAATCTTGTCATTTGTTTATCTTACACCAATCTTAATGATACTTTTGTGAATTCTTAATTTGCTCCAACTGTCACATCATGGAGATTAGTTCTGAGACATAAAAAATACTTCCCAAACAAGTCAGTTTTTAAAAGCCAAAGATACACTAAATGTCATTAACGTTGCTTCCATTTTAGAAAGAAATAGAAGACTAAATTTCATGCACAATAAAATGTTCATAAAAAGGGACAATATAATGCTTTCACTTTCCACCCTCTGGACAGTTTGTGCCTTCTGCTGCAATTTCCCAGTATAGGTCTAAAATTCTCCCTCTTGTGTTATGACAGTGAATACAGCTACATTTTGACACTAGGATAAGAGAGGAGTTGAGCTTCAACTGGATCACTGCATGCAAACATGCTCCTCTGATGTCAGCACTAAAACATACAGGTCTGGGCATTCTATTGTTGAAGCTACTCAGGGAAGGAGGTTTATGGGACAAAGTAAGGGAGAAGCAGCAGAGCCAACCAAAGCAAGAGCTCTTTCAGATAAAGTGCCAAAAAGTTAAAAATGTGGTTGTAAAGTACAATCACTTATAAAATAATGTGAAATGTATTATCCTGCCTGAAATTTTTTTAGCACTAAGTGAAATAATCCATAATACCAAAAGTCCAGTGCCAGGATTATAAAATTAAGCCTTCAGAGAACATGTTTATAATGCCCCAGGACACTAAGAGGGATGAGGGTTCTGATGTGGCATTTGTTCATTCAAAAACACATCTTAATGCAAACTGATGTATGAGACTGAATCAGGTCACTGGAAAGGGAAGGGGATATGATACAAAAGAAGTCAAAGGGTTGGCTCCTGAGCTCCACAATGGAGGAATTAAAGCCCTCCCTGGATTGTATCTCTCCCACTGTTGTGCCGAACTTCTGTTAAACTCAATAGGGAAGGCACAGGTTAAAGAGGCCAAAGAGACCCAGAACCAGCAAAGGAGACGTGGGGTTTTATTAAGGGCTCACATACAGGGGAGAGATTCCGTGGTGGCAGGCTGGGTAGGAGAACCGCCTTACACATGGAAACGATCCAGTGGCGGCAGGCGGCACAGGAAAACTGCAATGGCTTGTGAACATCATGCAGTTCATATAGCCTTCTCACTCAACAACCTCCACCTGGCATCCTTCATTTAACCCAAACTCAAGGCCTCAATTCCTTGGATGGTCCTGTGTTCCATGGTACAAACCAGGGGCTCAGATGTTTATCATAGATAAGGAATGAATCTCAGCATTGGCCACTTCCAGATTTTCCAGCATGGAACACACATTGAGAAGTATCTGCCATACAGAGTCATTCTAAGGATATGCTTAGATTATTGTTTTTAGGTGTCTTTCCCCTACACCCACCATCTGCCCTCAAGGGGTCAAGGAAATTGCTTAGAGAACAGTGTGGGCTTGGGAGGCAGTGGGCCTAGGTTCAAATCTTAAACTTGTCACCAGCTCTGTGACCTTGTGAATATTAACCTCTTGAGCTTCAGTTTTCTTATGTGAAAAAGAAGCTACCACAGGGTTATTGGGAGGGTAAAGTCAAACAGCAAAAAGTTCAACAAATGTTTGCTTCTAACATCCCCAGCCTTCCCCTGTTCTATTTTTTCTGCTGAAATACCCTGAGCAGGCCAGTGCATCATTTCTTCCTCTTGAAATTGTCTTGACTGCTGATATCGTTTTTTCACTTCCTGAGACATGATTCTATTTAGAGAAAAATAGGATACTGCAGACTAGGGTCTAAAACAGGTTTTGAAAAATTACAGAAATGCAATCTTAAAGGAGGGGGCTCAGGGTACATTTTTTTCATGTGAAAAAGAAACCAGAGGAATTGGGGCTTGAATGTACTGCAGTGATCATCAATTTTAGTAAAAACCAATTAAATCTCCCCCTCAGTTTTTCAGTATTTTGCATATAAAAATACTCGGTATAGCCAATAGATGTTGAAATGAATTACAATGGTCAGTCTAACTCTGCATGTAATATAAGCAGAGCCCAAGCTAATTTTCCTCACAAAAACTACTTTAACAACCAGAAGGCAATAAAATGAGGATTATGAATCCATAAATCTTTGCTCGTTACAGAATACTGAAAATGGTTCCAAACTAATTTTATTGTAGCAAACTGTTGATAAAACCTTGTGACTGGTTTATTTTTTTGTTCATTATAAGCAAATAGTCATCAGCCGTCGCCCGAGACCACATGTGCAGTTACAGATTAATTACTTGCAGCGTCTCTGGTTTAGAGGACCTTACTGGTCTCAGGCAAACCAGAGACTTAAAATTATTTATTAAATAATACAATGTGAAAAGGGAGATTGGATACAACATACTGTGCAACACAGAAGCAAATTAGGCAGAGAGGAATTTCCTCACGGAGAAAATAAAATTCTGAGAGTAATACATTGAATAGTAGGATATGGTGTGGTTAAGGGCGTGGCTTTGGCCTTAGCACTGTGGCCTTGGGTAAGTTACTTAATATCTCTATCCCTCAGTGAACTCAGTTGTAAAATGAGGATGATAATATTATTCACCTCATAGGGTTGTTTTCAGGATTAAGTTTAAAACAGTGGTTCTCAAATTTAAGCCTGCATCAGAATCACCTGGAAGCCTTGTTAAGACAGATTGCTGGGCCCCACCCTGGAGATTCTGATTCAATAGGTCTAGTGTGGACTGTAGAATTTGCTTTTCTAGCAAGCTCCCAGGTAATACTGATGATGCTGGTGGACAGGGTGCTACACTTTGAGAACCACTGAATTGTACAAGTGTGGAGTCTGAACAACTCTGGCACATGGCAAACACTCAGTAGGTGTGAGCTATCATTTATAAGCTTTTGCCAGGAGCTGGGTTTGCCAGGTAGAGGAAGATGCTTCAACAAGAGGACACTGTAGACAAAGAAACAGCGTGATGTTTCAGAGATAAATTGGAAATTTGGTATAGCCAGAATATACAATGCCTTGGGGTTAGGGAATGCCAAGGTGAGGCTGTGAAAGAATATTACAGGATAGTTTGTGAATGCTTGGGAATGCCACCGAAACTTTAAATGATGACTTGATGAACACTTAGGGCTACAGCCTCTCTCAGGTCCTCTCTGTTTTGAGACTTTGGCTATTGGAGGACTGGCAGAGGCATTGGCACATGCCAGACATACAGTGAACATTTACTAAATGCTTCTGGGCTAAATGCATGTAAGCAGAAAAGGTAAAATTATGTGTAAATTATAAACGGCATTATAAAATTATGTGTGTAAATTATAAAGGGCAGCAGATGACCAGTTAGCAACTTCCTAAATTGGAAAACACAGGCAGCTCTGAGCTTCTTAGGTCAAACACAAGATTTCAAGGCAGCTGAGCAGCTGAAACTGTCTTCTTTTGTTATTTCATCCCAACACAACAGGGCAAATCCACAAAGCAATCTCATCTACTGAAAAACAATTACAGCCGGGCCAGGGAAAAACACCACAAAAGGCTTGGAAATTTCCTGAGACCAGGGTATATGAAATCTAGACAGATTTAATCACTCTTATTGCAGCCAGTCCTTAAATGGGGAGCTTAATCTCATTTTCATTTTCCATAAAGGATAATTTGGAGAGACTTCACAGAAGTGAAGAGTCAAGGCCTCTCAGGTTTCAAGAGAGACCTCACTGTTTTTAAAAAAGGAAGAAATGCGAAATGAAGTTACAGAAGCTGAAGTGCATTTTAAATGTTTATTATCCTGTAAATACCCTTTTAACAGGAAATGTAAAATGTAAAATAGTTGTTAATCACAGGATAACAAAATACTTTTTTTTAAGAAAAAACAACCCACAGTTTGTAAGATAAGCTATGTTTTCAGTCTATATGGCAAAATTTATTTCCACTTTTTCTATGTCTCTCTGAGACTCTGCATGGCCTGGGTAAGAAGAATACCAAAAGGCTAAATGTAAGGCCCTCCACGGCCATCAGCCTTGTACCAAAGGCCCTTTCTGACCTGCACTGTGGTAGGCCCTAGCAAGCAAAACAAAACAATTGATCCTACCTCAGGTATTGGTCAGAACAGGGGATCATAATGGTCTGATCCATTCAGGCCAGGCAAGGGGCTGGCTCCCCAACTGTGTCTGTCCTGTGTGAAATGGGGTAGCTCATGAAAGATCTGGAGGGAAGCAGGTTAAGAGGAGCCAAATGGCCAGGGTTAGATTCTTAGCTCTGTCTTCACTGGACAAGTCGTTCAATCTCTCTATACCTCAGTTTCTTCATCTGTAAGATGAGGGTGATAATAGCACCTACCTTCTAGAGTTATTGTGAATATTAAATGGGTTAGATCTTACATGTCCTCTACTCCATAGGGAGTGACCAGGCGCCAGCTGCCTGCCAACTGGGTGGCCTCAGGAAACTCACTTAACCTCTCTAGGTCTCAGTTTTCTCAGAAAATGAAAGAATAGGATGAATTTACCTCAGAGAACTTTCCTGTTCTTAGACTCTTTGATCCTGTGACTCTGTCCTGAGTGTCTATTGTGAGAAATAAAGGAATGGAGAGGAGCGAAAAACTAACTTTGGTCTCCTCACTAATTTTGGCCATGAATTCCTGAGCTATTTCAGTGTTGAGCCATACCCTAGAGCACTTTATTTGCTTGGGAAGCTTGATTTGTTCATGGGAGTTTGCACATACAAAGTGTTTATTTGTCAAACATTATTTTTTAGAAGGTACACCAATATTGAGGCTTAATTCCTAGCAATAGGTAGTTCCAGTCCAAAGCCTTATAGAAATTGGCTTATGGAAATTGCAGCGGAAATAGCAGCCTTGGTGGTTGCATGGGTAGAAGCTTCACCTTTGCCCTTCCCACTAGCGAGAGGTGGTAGAATGCAGAGGTGAATGGCACAAACTTCAGTTTCATTGAGGCAGATGTGGTCCCATGCCCAGCTCTGCCACTTATGGCTGTTCGGCCTTAGTTAAACCTCGCTTTCCTTATGTATGAAGTGGGGCTTAGGAAAGTAGGTATTAACAATACCTACTGTAATAAGTTGTTGTAAAGGTTAGATTTTAAAAAAATACAGATTAAGTGCCTAGCACGATGTTCTGAATATAAATGATTAATAGACGTGAGTTCTCATTATAGAAAACACAAAGAAATTTAAAATGTTAAGCCAACATCATTCTTTGATATAAATATACAAGGACTATATTCACTATGTAAGTCTCCCTCACTTCTTCCTTTATTGACCACTGCACTGACATTGTTTGGTTTGGTTTTATGTTCAGAGTAGGTCAGTTAAGGTAAACGATGATAAAATAACAATGCCTTGCATTAGACTGTCGTGATTTATAAAACAATTTCACATGCATTATCTCCTATATTCATAGTCCAACTTTCTTCAAACAAGAAAATTGACCCTAGTTAATAGAGCTGGTGAGTGACAGAGCAGAACGTAGAATGCAGTTTTCTTCATCCTCTCTTCCTTGCAAAAGGCCACAGTCCTTCTTTGTAGAGTTTATGAAGCTCATCCCTATGCAGCCCCTCACTCCCAGCCACTTTTGTGGTGGAAGCTGGGCTGGTGTTATTATCTCCATTTGTTAGGTAAGGAAATTGATGCTCCGAGAAGTTTAACGACATTCCTGATGTTGCAAAGCTGGGAAGGGGCAGAGAATAGACCAGAACCTGCTCATTTTCTAGTGACACAGACAGAAACATAGGTAAGCAAATCAAAACAACGTTAATACATGTTATAATTCTTTAAAAATGAATTATAAAATGGTGTTTGGTCTCAGAGGCAAAAGAAAATAATTGTGTCTGTGTGGAGGCACATGTGCATGTGTGTGTTGTCCAGGGAAAGTCTCTCAAAGGAAGGAATACTTGAATTGATATTAGGAAGAAAAGTAGGCAGCAAAGTGGCACCTAAAGAAAATTAGGCAGTGGAAAAACCATATGCAAAAGAACAGAGGCACAACATAACTTTGCCAGTATGGGAGGAAAGTCTGTATGCCTGGAGTTAAGTGTCCTACATATTGAAGATTTCTTCTTTTTTTTGTGTGTGTGTTGGAGTGCCACTCTGTCACCCAGGCTGGAGTGCAATGGCACAATCTCGGCTCATTGCAACCATCCCCTCCTGGGTTTAAGCAATTCTCCTGCCTCAGCCTCCCAAGTAGCTGGGATTAAAGGCGCATGCCAACATGCCCGCCTAATTTTTGTATTTTTAGTAGAGATGGGGTTTCACCATGTTGGCCAGGCTGGTCTTGAACTCCTGACCTCAAGCGATCCACCCGCCTTGGCATCCCAAAGTGCTGGGATTACAGGCGTGAACCACCTCACCCAGCCTTTCATTTATTCTTTTAACAGTTATTAACTGAACATCTACTATGTATGGGGCTTTATGCCAGCTCGATGTCCCCATAACCTGGTCCATAGGGTACTCAGAGGAAGTTGGAAATTCCCAGATGGAATTCAGAAGCAAGAGAGAGGCAGTGTGAGAGCAACAGTGGAAGGCACTGGAGTAGATGAAGAAGTCATGCCCAAGAGGAAAGAATGGTGAGAGGAGGGAGAGGAGCAGAGGATGAGCCATGGAGTCCAGCATTTAAGAGACAGACAGAAGATGCAAGGTCAGCAAAGACTACAAAGCAAAGTTCAAAGACTGAAGAGGACAATTTGGAAAGAGAATGAAAAATGAGGGCAAGGCCAACACTATAACACATAGTGGAGTGAAAAAAAGCAAGGACCAAAAGTCAACCACAGGGAAAAACTATTGGGAGGTTGCTGTGGTTTTAATAAGCACAGTTCTAATGAAGTGCAGGGAAAAGAAGCTAGATAGTTGTTGTTTGAGGAATAATACAGGGAAAGAAGGGTAAAAAAGAGGTAAGCCCCTGAGATCGGATGACTTTCAATGAGCTTGGCTGGAAAGAAAAGGGAGAATCTGCGGGTAGTCAAGAGCTTATGGAAAGGCTGAAGCTGCTACCAAGGGAGGGTTGTTTAGTTGTGTTTTAAGAATGCAAGAGACTTGGGCTTATTTTTAATCTAGAGGAAGGAGTCAATGAAAAGGAAGACCCAAGGCACTAAAGTTGAGAGAGAAAGTAACAATGGAACAAGGACTTGAGGAGATGAGATCGAGGACACAGGTAGATAGAAGGAGGGATATGCTTTTCCCATTTAGGAGTGGGACTCTTATTTTGTGTCAAACAGCAAAAAAAAAGTAAAATAAAATAATTAACCATTGGTTTTCAGAATGAAGCAATTCACTTAAAATAAGGCAAGTTAACTGAGTCATTAATGGAAAATTCTAAGGATGTATCTGGTTTTAAGGGCAGCTGGATCATGGACATTAGGGTTTGATATTACTCCATTTCTCAGCTCTTCATTTCTACTTGGCTTCAAAGACATGGAGATGCTCAGGAGGCATTCTCTTCGCATCTGAAAAAAAATTCTCAAAACTAACTCTTATTGGCTACATTGGATCATGTACCCCTTCCTGACCAATGATTCCAGCTGGAGGGAAAGAAGAGCAGGTTGGCTTGAGCAGGTCACAAGCCTACCTGTGAGTTAGAGGAGGGATGAGCCCCTCCCGAGCCATGCGAACCAAGAGCCAGGGAGCTCTCAGGGAAGACCAGGGTGCTGCTCGTGGAAAACTGGGGAAGAATGCCAGGCCAGGGAGAAAACAGACCAATGGTTGTATACTGCCACTTGTGACAAGGAGATAAGGATACTTCAGAGGAGAGGGCACTGAGGAAATCCAGGCTGGTGGACTGTATTGTGTGTGAGGTGAAGGCCTGACTTGTCAATGCTTAACGAGCTCTGCAGTCACTTCACGGATCCCAGCACTTTCTCCCCCAACCTCTTTTCCTCATCGCCACCGAAGAAAGGAAATGCCTATTGTGAGTTGGAAAGAGGTCCCATGCAGGAGGTAAATACCTGCAGGTGTGATATGAGAGCGATTGCTAAGAAAACTTTATCCAAGCCCATCTGGGAAAATAGCTTTTCAAGTTCATTACGAAAAGAAAGGCCCAGTAAAGCTTCCATAAGAACAAGCTTAGCTTGTGGAAAGTGCTGAGAAAAGCTGATTTATTCTCGGTGTGCTTCCCTATTTTTATGGGTTGCCTCAACTTTTCTTCAGACAGGAACGATTGGTTCCAATAGTGTCACATGCAGAGAGACACTGTCAGTGTAAGTCTCCGGGGAGGTGCTATGGAAGGTGTGGTATGCATGGGGAGGAGCCCGCCTGACTTTCTGAAGAAGGATAATTAATGTGTATATGGACATGCAGGGAGCCTTTATCTTCAGAACACATTTCAGAAATGAAAAAGCAAACAAAGCGGGTGATGAGGAAAATGGATTTGCTGTAACTAAGGAACAGACCTGGGTAGAGAAGTAAAGACGAGAAACTCAGCTCTTCATCATTAGAATGCTCCAGAGTCCAGAGCTTAGGAGCGGAGATCACTCCTAAGTGTTTGGGTCTGCAAACTAGGACACCTAGTTTATACCTAGTCCCAGAACAAAGGGTGGAGGAGGTAGGATTGAAAGCCACTATTTGGTGGAGCTTCTCTGACCCTTACAGTCCACCCAGAAAAAAAGGCAGACACCTCCAGCCTGAAATTTGGAGGAAACCTTAGAATTTTGCCCCTTAAACTTGGGCACTGAACTATGCATGCATGGTTTGTTTTCAGAAAGCCTGTTTCTTAAGTTGGCCTATCTATCTCCCCTTAGCCCTTTTTGGCCAGTTCACACCCTTCCTTCTTCCTCAACCTTTCTCTGAGCATCTATGTTCAAGAAATCCCTCATCCCCTCCTCTGAACTCCAGTGGTGTGTCATTTATTCAACGTTAAATCAGGTCCTGCTTCCCTGTTTTCCTTTCTATGTGCACTCACTTCATCTCCCCAGTGTGGCCATAGAGTTCTGGATGGCGGGCTTCATGACTGGTTCATCTTGCGGTCTCTAGAACCCAACATAGTGCCTGGGTTGATACTCCAAACATGTTTATTGGTTGGGTTCTCTCTTACCTTAAGGTGGCTCCAAGCCCAGGAACGAGGAGGGTCAAGAGCCAAGCTGGACTCAACAGAAGCCAGGAGCAGGGACCCAAAAACAGAGGGAGGAGGGTCTACAAAAGAGAAAATGGAATGTCCCCCAGTGCCTCAAGCTGGCATGGGAACCATTCCAGGAGTCAAAGGCTGTCTCTGACAGTTTCTGCTGAAAAATCCCCAGAGCTGTGGGGGCTCTTGCCTGCAAGGATCATGCTTTCTGTGGGACTTACAGCCAACCAGTTCCCTAGGAACAGTTTGAGGGGGATTTGCTGATTCATCTGTTTTAATCCCTCTGGGAAGAACTCTGTGAGCATTGCATGGCAGCAGCACTCTGAAGGCAGGTGACGATCCCGCTGAGAAGAGTCGGGATCCTGTCTGTTTCTGAGCTTGGTTGATTTAACAAATATATACTGGGGCCCTATTATGTCTGCAAGCTCTGTTCCAGGTGCTGGGGACATAGCAATAAACAAATCCAACAAACATCTCTGCCCTTGTGGAGCTTACATTTTAACTGGGGAAGAACAGATAAATAAGATGAGGAAATCATGTACTATGTTAGGTGGTGTTAAGTGCTATACATAAAGATAGAAAAGGAAGGTGGATGAGGGTGTTGGTGTGGGAATTGTATTTTTTAAAGGGTACTCAGGGAAGGCTTTCTTGGGAAGGTGACACATGAGCTGGAGGAGGTGAGGGAGTGAGCCATGTGATAATCTGGGGAAGATTTCCAGGTACAGGGAACAGCCTGTGCAAATGTCTGCAGCAGGAGTGTGCCCAGCATGTTAAGAAAAAGCAAGGGGGCCCCTGTGGAACCACAGAGTGAACAAGGGGAGAAGAGTAGAGCAGGTCAGGGAGATAGCAGGAGCCAGACCTTGTAGGCCTTTGCATGGAGGGAAATGGGACTTCACCAGCGGGTTTTGAGCAAAGCAGTGATGGGATCTGATTTGTGTTTTAATAAGATCACTCTGGCCACTGCATAGGGGCTTAGGTTAGAGGCACAGAGACTCTTGGGAGGTGGTTTCAATGATCTAGGAAGAGGTGGTGGCAGTAGAAGTGGTAAGCAACAATTTTTTTCCAGACATACTCTAAAGGTAGAGTAGACGAGATTTACTTCACCATGCGGTGGATGTAGTGTGTGAAATGGAAGAGTCAGGACTAGTGCTAAGGTTTCAGCCTGAATAACTAGAAGGATGTGGCTGCTCTAAGTCCTCTTTCTGCAAGTTCCCTTTCCTACACCTCATAATTCTAGATATGGGGCTTCTCACCACAAGCACATGGAGGCTACTGAACAGTCACATTGCAGCAAGTTGGCTTTCTGCTCTCTGACCCCTCCCCATCCATCAGCTGAGGTCTCTAAACAAACCTGATCCTTCTCCAGCGCCTTCCCCTCTATCTTCCATTGCCAGGAAGAGAGCAGAAAACCAGGGTGACAACATGTGGCAGCTTTGTCTTCTTAGTTGGTTTGTATTATAGAAAAATATTCACCATGTTCTCCTCCAGTGTACCTTGATTTTGTGCATGTTTTGTTCTATACAATGACTGATATTTACTTTTGATAGCTATATGCATTCCTTGGTGTACTGAGCATTTATTTCGGAAGTCCTGAATGATATTTTGAAGCCTTTCAATTTAGATTTAAGAATACTTAAAACCTAAGCTCTCCAAAATAACACAACTATTTCACAAAAAACTAGCATTAGATTTCAGTCTCCAGATTGAACACATTTCTAGAGCACTTATCAGGTAGATTTCCAGGTAGAGGGATCAGCCTGTGCAAATATTTGCAGCAGGAGTGTGCCCAGCATGTTTAGTGAAGCCATTACTAAATTTGGTGAGGTTGGGAATGAGGTATAATTTCAAAGATGAATAAAATATAGCCTTAGGGAAATTAGAAACTAGGGAGAAAGGTAAAATAACCTACTTTTTCTTCCTTCCTCCCTGAAACGTATTAAACATCAAATAGGTTCAAGAATTACATAAGATGCTAAAGGCACAAATACACAAAATAGATCTGGTCCCTGATTTTGAGGGGTATAGTCTGCTGAGGGAGACATCAGCCTCCAACTAAACTCACTATAACAGGAGATGGAAAATCTTTCAGAAGAGAGCCATAAACAAAGAGCCACTATAATAGTGCATTAAATATTTCAAATTTACTAAAAGAGTAGATTTTAAATGTTTTCACCACAAAAAAATAAGGATGTGAGGCGATGCATTTGTTAATTCGCCTGATTTAATCATTCCACACTGTAAGCGTATATCAAAGCATCATATTGGGTCCCAAAAACATATAGAATTGGCATTTCTCAATTGAAAATAACACTAAAAAACAAACCAAAAAAGCGCCCAAAGAGCCATTAGACCACAGATGAAGGAGTATGGAGTATTTAAAGCTGAGTCTTGGGATTAGGGAATTTTGCAGATAGGTGGTGATATCTGAACTGGCCGGTTAAAGGATGGACATTTCTGCAAAAGGAGAAAGAACATTTTTGGCTGAGGGAACAGCATGAGATCCTCCAAAGTGTGTAGCAGTTTTAGAGAAGAGTCCCAGTAGAGGATACTGAGGGGATTCTGGTGATAATGAGGAGATTAGGAAGTGAGCCAGGGCCATGTGGTAAAGGAAGTGAAGCCTCCAGTGTAGAGAGAATAGAGCATTCACTCCTTCACCAAGGCTGGGGTCTCCTTGCCCACAAGCAGATGTTCTAACATGGGTGTCTTCCAAGTGAACACAGTCAGCAAGAGCCTTATCACAAGTTTCTTTAATAGGCTCTTCAGGGAAATTTACAGAACTTCTCACTGAACTAAATCAGTGGACATTTTGAAAGCTGGAAGGCAATTATAAGCTGGGCCAGAAACACAAAATGAGGAAAGGATCTTGTGGAAAATGGAGCTGTTTCAGCAGGCAGGAAACACAGGGAAGTGGTTCTAACACACTACTACTACCTAGTTCCTTCTCTGCTCACCTCCATATCCTGTGGCCCCTGGAAAAGATGAGACCTGGGTAAAACTGGTAATACCTATCCAGTCATTTGACACGTGAAAGGTTCCCAAGACTCAACTGCCACATTAGCCTTGCACAGATGCTTAACATTTCATTATATTTACTCTTTTAGCTGCAAAGAAAAAGATGAAATGCAAACTCTTTTGAAGGAACAGTGCAGCTAAGTTGAAAGAACACTGGATCAAGAATCAAGAAACCTAACCTCATTTTTACTTCACCTGAAGAGCTGTGTGGCCCTAGGTACAATAGGGCCACACAATTCATCTGTAAAGTTCCCCAACACACTGCCCATTCCAAAATCTTGGGGAAATTTAAAAGCTATATTCATTTCCAGGTCCCATCCAGATCTACTGAATCATAATCTCCAGAAGTGAGATCCAGAACCTGCATTTTCAGGCTGGGTGAGTGGCTCACACCTGTAATCCCAGCGCTTTGGGAGGCTGAGGCGGGTGTATCACCTGAGGTCGGGAGTTTGGGACCAGCCTGACCAACATGGAGAAACGCATCTCTACTAAAAATACAAAATTAGCTGGGCATGGTGGTGCATGCCTGTAATCCCAGCTACTCAGGAGGCTGAGGTAGGAGAATCTCTTGAACCCAGGAGGTGGAGGTTGCAGTGAGCCAAGATCACACCATTGCACTCCAGCCTGGGCAACAAGAGAGAAACTCCGTCTCAAAACAAACAAACGAAAACAAAAAACAAACAAAAAAACCAACCAACCAACCAAACAGAACCTGCATTTTCTAGTCTTTTTGTGATACTGGTTGGTGCCATTTACCGACTATTTTTTGTCCCACTAGCTTCTGGGAACCAAGTAGAGTTGCATTTTGTGGCCCCCTTGTGGTGAGGTGGGGCCATGGGAACAGTTCTGGCCACTGAGTGGGAAGTAGAAGGGGCAAGTGTCTCTTCCTGACTGGAGCATGGAATTGCCAGACTGAGACTGTCCCAGGTTGTTTTTCCCTCTGGCTTTGCAAGCAACCACTTTGGGATCTCCAAGTGACCACCATAAGCAGAGCACCCTGCCTACCTGCAATGAAAAAGAAGCCTGAGGGCTTGTTACATGTCGCTGAGGTGTGGAGCTTGTTAGCGCAGCCTAACCTAGCTTAGACTGACTGATAACCATCCTCTGGTGATTTGTACACAGTCAGCCTGATGCCAGGCTTTGACAAACTCGGGCTAGATGATCTTTCGGGTGCTTTCTACGTCTGAACTTTGTTGGTTCTGTAAACAGGTTATTAGCTATTAACTTCTGGTAAGATGCTTACTGGCCATCCGATGGGAAAAGCCCTTGTCAGGTCTTTCTGAGAGCTGCTCTTGCAAAATAGGCAGTGTGAAGAGATTAGATTGGGGATGGGGGCAGGGCAGAGCTCTCAGAGAGAGCAGCTATATAGTTGGGAGCAAGGAGTAGGTACATTCCCAAGGGTCAATTCAAGTTGGCCTGAAAGCCAACTTGGCAGCTGGAATTTCTATTTCTACTTTTAACAATTCAACATTTCCTGCCACTAGAATTTGTATATAAATGAATGGG
This sequence comes from Homo sapiens, assembly GCF_000001405.40. Lineage (NCBI taxonomy): Eukaryota > Metazoa > Chordata > Mammalia > Primates > Hominidae > Homo > Homo sapiens. The sequence goes on from NC_000003.12 coordinate 156,383,337, forward strand.
TAATCTGCTTCAGGGGTTTTCATCCTGGGTGAAGATGGTCCCTTAAAATTTTGCTTGCCTGGAAACCCTTTTGTATGAGGCCTAAACTCCTTAGCACTGTAATTTAGGCCACTTCAATCCACTCTTAGGATAAATACCCATCCTGATTTGCCCAGAATTATCCCAGTTTTGCACTGAAAGTCTGGCATCCTAGGAATTCCTCAGTTCTGGGCAAACTGGGACAGTTGGTCACCCTACAGGCCATTTTGTTTCTTTCTAATAACATCACTGTGAAGATAAATTCTCCTCACCCCACCCTGATACTTGGCAAAGTTAGGTTTCAAGCTCTTCCCATGTGCTCTGGCTCAAGTCAGAAAAAAATAAAACCTCAACAGCTTCTGTTCTGCAGAAAGAGGTTTACAGATTTCAATATGCTAGCCAAAAAGAAAAAAATTATTCTCAGCTTGATTCTTTTGCCAGCTTGATAGGCATCGGCAGAGATGGGTGGTTTCCAACAGCGTTTTTCGCCCCTGAGCTGGTTTTGAGCCTCGCAGCTCTGCCACTTGACGGCATCCAGGTTTCCAGACGCTGGCAGGGATGCTACAGTCTGTCACCATCAGGCCTGCTTTGAGTTTTTCTGTTCTGACAGCTAGACAAGATGTCATTTGAAGGGTGTTTAGTACTTGGGTGGTTGTTTTCAGGGTGGGTGAGCCCCAGAGTAGATTTGATTCAGGAAACATTAAATGTTGGAGGCTGGTCTGTATCCTACTTGAAGAGTCAGATTAAAGGGTTGTATAAAATTAGGCACTTTTTATTCTGCAATTAAATAAGTTCACTGCCCTTTTGCTAAAAATGGATAATGGACAACTGAATGGCAGCTTGTTGGAAAATGGTGAAACCCAGAGTGGCTAAAGCTGATACAGCATTTGCTTCACCACCGTCTTTTTACAAGATATTATGAAGTGACTAAGGAGAGTATATTCAACTTTCAGAAAATACTTCTGAGTGAACTCTTTGCCTGAATGTCCTTCTACTCTGCAGCCTAGTAGCCCGATAGTAAAGAATGATTTGCTGAAAAGCCCGATTTTCCCTTTCTTCATCACTCTCTTCCCTCCTTTAGCTCTCAAAAAGTCCTGGGTCTCAGACCAAAGGTTGTTCTAGAAACAACTTGCTCTTGGAGAAATGTACCAAAGGAAAATGGAGTGCAAAAGCAAAAAAAGTCTATTTCTAGGGAGACCAAATTAGGAAGAAATGAGAACATGAGATATGAGTAGAAAGAAAGGAAGGGAAATAAGGACCTTTCTAGAGGCAGGGATGGTTCATGTGGTAGGCAGTCATTAGGTGCCAGGGAATATAGTTGAAGATGTGCTGGGATAGGCTTCTTGTTTCATATATTCACACTGGCACAGGAACCGCATCAGAACTTGTACTATTTCTTCTTTTAGATGAAGTTGGGTCCTCCTCAGAAAACTTCCATTCTGTGAAAACTCCCTTGGAATGGATTCCTCAGAGAGGTTTTGTTCTTCTGGCAGGAGAAGGAGGGCACCTGAAGGGGTAGGGGCACCTGGAAGGTGAAAAAGCATGGGAAGGAGGGTAAAGGCAATGAATATCATTTTTTCTACTTCAGTACCTTTCCAACAGCTGGCCCCATGGGAAGGAAAAGAAAACAAGAAAGAGTAAGAATAAAATTGTTTGGATTGGACTTTTCTCCTAACCAACCTCCTCATGAATTTAATCTCAGTAAGATTTGTGCAAGTAGAGTTTGCCTTAATGTCATTTATTTCTTTAAGACTTTGGCTTTTCCTGCCAATGCCAAAGTGCCAGTCAGAGTACCTTTAGGGCTTTCTAAATCTGGGGCTTTGAGGGAGACATCCGTGTTTGAGAAACATGTGCCCTAAGGAAGCTCAGAGATGAGGATGATGATAAAAGTGCTACTTTGGGAATCTTGTCTGCTCCAATAAGCCACATCACTCACAGTCTCCATGGCCCCCACTCCTTGTTTCTAAAATGCCTGGTTGTTTAGTGCCTTCTAGATCTTTAAGTCTATTAGCTTAGAAAGAAGCTTATCAGAGAAGAAACCAGTCTGTGTTCTGCTTTAGACAAAAGGAGGATCTTGTTGGATGGAAGAAAAAAAAAAAAGCATCCAAGTTAAAGATATACATATTGCCTACAATAAAAATAATTATTTTAATATGCTTTTCAAAAAAGCATATTTAAAACATTATTTCAAAATTAAATAAAATGTCAGATATGGCACAGTTACCTAATTTAGAAGAAACAAAAGCAAAATAAATTATACTAAGAGAAACTTTTGTAGAATAATATTTTAAGTAAAACCAGAAAAGGAAGTTTAATTTAGGTAATAACTTTATAAATGAACACAGCAAAATACATTCTTGACATTTTTCTGAATGTTAGACTCTTTCAGAAGTTTATTCATTCTCATAAGCAGTGATTTCCCTGTGATTAGCTCATTAAGTATATCTATAAATTAAAGTGAGCACTTTCTATTTTGTGTATTTGTTGTATTCTGCAGATTGGATTTCAATTTTTTTAATGTAGTTTTTCTGATTATAAATCATGAAAGATTTAATCACCTCTTTAGGTCAAAGAAATTGTATGGCTCTTCTTATCGCCCTCAAGCTTCTAAGCAATGGGTATTTCAAATAATTCAATCATGATTGTTACTGGTGGAAGGTATCCAAGTTACCAGCAGTGAATCCATACAGGTCTCTAGCAGTCTCAATTCTTGCCTCCTCAGAAGAAATAATTTGACAAAGGGGCATAAGGCAGAAAAAGAGACCGAGGCAAACTTTAGAGTAGGAGTGGAGTTTTATTTTAAAAGGCTTTAGAACAGAAAAGAAAAGATACTCTTGGAAGAGACCCAAGTGAGTAACTTGAAGAACAAGTGTGGTGTTTAACCGTGATCCTAGGACTTTATACGCTGGCCCCTTTTCCATGATTCTTCCTTTAGGGTGGGATGCCTTCATGCGCAGTGCCCTCCTTGCCATTGACAGGTGAGCACACACAGTGTGTTTAGGAAGTTGCACAAATGCCCATCTGAGGCTTTCTTCCCTTTTCCAGTGGTGTGCCCTTGGAAGGTCGTTCTCTGCCATTATGTCTCTTAATGCACATGACAGGGAAGTTGCATCTCTCTGGCATCTGCATTCAATTGACACTTCAGTGCAACAGGTGTGGACCATCAGGAAATGACCTCTCCCTGGTACTGGCTGCCAATTTATCACTTTTAGAGAGGCAATGTGATAATTGCCAAACCATCACCCGACATTCCTACTGGGTGGGGAAAGAGCCCTTTCCTGCCCTGCTCATGCCTGTCTAACTACCTGTAACATGATTATCAATATAAGTGTAAAATTAGGTCAAATTTACTTATTAGACACAGGGCATTGTTTAAAGTCACCTCACCTCATCTCTGAGGAAATCTACCAATTTCTTTACCAAACTGGGGCCAGATGCTCAAAGGTTCCCTTACCTGATAATGGTGACCACCAACAGTCTTGGAGCAAATGGGAGAGGTCCCAAAGGAAAGATGAATCTTTGAGAACCAAAGCCAGGGCTGCAAGGCCCAGCTTCCCTTTCATGTCAGCTCCTTATCCTTTGCTGATCCTGGAGGATCTGAACCTGATTCATTCATTCTTGCTTGCTTGCTTTCTCTTGCTTGCTTGCTTTCTCTCTCTCTTTTTTTTTTTTTTTTTTTTGCCTGTATGCTACTCTACAATCTCTGTAGACTTACAAAATTTTCCTCTTCAAATTGAAAAGTACTATGCATTCTAGAAGGTTGGCTGGGTCAGGGCAGATGTGGCCAGGGTGATTGACACAGGGATGAAGTCCCAGGATTCAAAAGGGTGTGGAGCGGGGTGACTGCTGAAGCAGCCCCGGGCCAGAAAAAACAAAGAATGACCACCTTTGTGCTGTAGGGATTGCCCGAGGCCAAGCCAGGGAGCTGAATGTTGTGATCTAACCTTAGGGAATGAGTACAGAGCTGGACAGAGAGACAAGCCCAAAGGTTAGAATTGGCCTAGGGATAGAATAGAGATCAAGAGCAAACAGAAAGTGATGCAGGGGATTTAATGGGGTTTCATGTTCTCAGATAAAAATGCACAGTCCTATCTTTTAATCCAGTGGCATTTCCCATTATTTAGTATAATTTTAAAACATTTTTGTTGGCTGCATATATTCCATTATAGCTGTAGTGTAATGTCTTTAGCCATTTCCTTATTGTTCAGTTACAGTGATTGATTTTCAAGATTGATTCTCATTTTTAATACATTCAAAAATTAAAATGGAAAGGACAATTACTAGACAGATCTGTATTCACCAGTGTAAGTAGAAAAATATAGATTTTTCATTGTTAACAATATAAACATACTTAACAAGCAGGGGCAATCTTGCAGCCATTAGGGTGAATCAGTGTTTTAGACCAAGCAACTCTGAATGCTGAAAATGGTGTGAATGAGCGGGCACTCTTGGAGATGTGTGCAGGATATGGACTTATTTTTTTAAAATCCAAACCATTATAGAAGAAAAGAGTCAGAGATTTTTCTTAGAAGAATAAAGTTAAGACTAAATTAAATGGTAAAGAAAATTCACCGCGTATTTGTTATTGTACTTTTAAAAATTCTTCTCTAAGTTCAGGTTCCATTTGTTAATTTAAAAAACATATCGCTGCTATTTATACTGGGTTTCATTTCTGTAGAAAAGACATAAATGTCTTATGGTCAAGGTGTCACTCTGTTATCTATGCTTGGAAAAAGTCTGGTCAATTTGTTCATGAAGACCAAGGGAGGCATCACGGATCACCTGGCAACTGTTAATTGAAATATGTATGATATGGTAACCAGTGCCAGAACCCTGCAGACCCAGCAAAAATCAAAGGAAGTAGAACCTTGTATCTGGAGCTAATCCTATAAAAAATTTGCTTCTGAAATAGGATTGGAGTGAGGTCTTTAAACAGGAACCAGGATTGAAATTAGGTTCAGAGTTCCTGGAAGGTTGATGAAGGCTCTGAGCTGGGACTGTGAGAGCCCCTTCAAGGAGCAAAGAGCCTCACAGAGCAAAGAGTCTCGCAGAGCAAAAAGCAGTATAGCAAGGACAGTGTTTCTTCTCCCAGTCTGGTCCTTAGACATCCTAATAATATTCTAACACCACGTTTCCCAACACTCTGTGACCTTGAGCTGATTCTCTTCAGTCTGTCTTCTTGGGAAGTTCTGGTGTGAGCCCAACCAAGACTGCATCCCTGTGATACAAGTGTGAGTTACATCATAGTCTATTTCTTGCTAAGGCCAAAGTAGAGGAAGTCGAGGTAAATTTGCAAATGCTATTTGAGCCAGTGGCCATGGAAATAATTATGCTCACATTCTTCACAACAGAAAACGCAAGAGCATGCCTCACATGCCTCACATCCTGTGGGCAGCTCCACTCACAGTTCAAACTCTCTGCAGCATCTGTTCACCAGCTGCACAGCAAATCTCTTGAGAAGCCCACAACAGTTGAGGGCTTAGTATCCAAGCTCTTTGCACACCAACCTCCAGCTTTGACAAGTCTGTCCTTTCACGTCAGGGGCATTTAATGATTAAAGAATCTCAGCTCTCCTAGTCTTAGGGAGTTGGAAGTATTGGCAGATAAGAGAGACTGGGCTGTGATGGTGCAGGTGTTTTGGTAAGTTCCCTCCCACCAGATGTTTCACTGAAGCCTCCAGTTCCACAGCCACATGTCTAGTAAGTCAATTCTGAAGGTATATGATCTGACATCACAGCAAAGTAGTGGGGTCCGGTGGCACTGCAGCCTCTCATGACAAGCGAGGTCTTTGTAAATTTTCCCTGTGTCCTCCTCACTTGGCTCAGAGAATTCCCCTGTCCTCTCCCTTGCCTGGTCAGAAACAAATGCAGCCAGCCCAGGCCAGTTGCAGCTGCAGTGAAAGGCACAGTCCAATTCTCTTTAAGTTTTTCTCTCTGAAGAGCTTCCTGGTGACAACAGCACCAGAAGCTCCTCGCCTTGCCATGACCTTGGCTCCTTTTGCCTCCTTGGCTGTCCTACTCTCACCCCAGCAAGAAGTCAATTAGAGGAACAAGCAAGTCTGAATCTCCCAACTGCTCTTCCTAAACTAGCTCCTGCCACTACTGCATTCTTATGACCATATGCCTGCCACCCCAGATCCCATGTACAGGAAGAGATCTGTTTATGGCAGTGATTCTCCAAGTGTGTCCTGGCTGCAGCATCCATATCATCTGGGAACCTGTGAGAAAGGCAAATTGTCAGACCTCCGCCCGGATCTACTGAATCAGAAATACTGGGATTGATGCCCAGCATTCTGTGTTTAACAGGCCTGCCAGGTGATTTAGATACATGCCAAGGTTTGATAATTTGCATTTCGAACAGTTTTCTCAGATAATGCTGGTGCTGTTGATCTGAGTACCATGTAGTGAGAACCACTTATGCACTTGGGGAAATGGTTATTCTATACTAGTGGTTGGCAAACTATAGCCACTTGTCCAAATACAGTCTACCACTTGTTTTTGTAAATAAAGCTTTATTGGAATATAGCCACACCCATTAATTTACATATTGTCTATGGCTTTCTTGCTATAATGGCAAAGTTAAATAGTTGTGACAGAGACCATATGTCTTGCAAAGCTGAAAATATTTATGAAAAAGGGGTGTCGATCTCTGCTTACACAGACATATCATTTTTGGACAAACTACATACCATCTTGCCAAATGGAGTTTAGGCAAAGACAACAATAATAACACAAGGGGGAACTGGGCACTTGCATATTTTTTATGTCTGGAAATGAAAGGGCTTTCTTCAAACCTATGAAAGCAGCTCTAGCTGAGATCAGAAGGCTCTGGTAGAGACTGTTACTAGCAGTGTGCCTCCCACCCACCCCAGGTCTGAGGGATAGACCAGAGGAAGAATTTGCAGGTTCACAGGAATGGAGAGGCAGGAATGCCTGGGTGTCGGTTGTGTAGAGAAGAGGCTAATTTTTGGTAGTCTAAGCATTCCTTGACTTAGAAAAAAAAACCCTACTTTTTTTTATGGCAACATACTCATGACTTTTTCAGATCAACATGTCTGTAAAATGAAAGGTTGTATATCAAAGGCATATTTGATTAGTTTAGAGTCTTAAAAAAAGGAGGGAAAGTGTTTGAACTCTTTTCCTTGGCAGCTAAGAAACTCCACTTTTCTTTGTGGTTGGTTTCCTTCCTTCCTTCCTTCCCTCCCTCCCTCTCTCCTTCCTTCCTTCCTCTCTCTTTCTTTCTTCTTGAGACGGAGTCTCGCTCTGTTGCCCAGGCTGGAGTGCAGTGGCATGATCTCGGCTCACTTCAAGCTCTGCCTCCTGGGTTCACGCCATTCTCCTGCCTCAGCCTCCCGAGTAGCTGGGACTACAGGCGCCTGCTACCATGCCCGGCTAATTTTTTTTTGTATTTTTAGTAGAGATGGAGTTTCACCGTGTTAGCCAGGATGGTCTCGATCTCCTGACCTCATGATCCACCTGCCTCGGCCTCCCAAAGTGCTGGGATTACAAGTGTGAGCCACAGCGCCCGGCCTTTGTGGATTCTTTTTACAGTGATTGAATACACTTTCCCCACTCTTCCCAGTTGCGAGTGTTCCCAGAACAAGAGCAGTCTGTAAATGTCTAAAGCTGGGGAGTGTCATTAAGTCAGAACTCCAGTTTAGACGTATGGTTCAGTTTCTGATACTTATCTGGCAGGGAGCAGGACAGGGATATGCTCCAGGGGAGGGGTATTTAAGATATACAGATAATGGGAATAGCCATTCTGGGATAGCAGTCCCTGAAGGTCAACAATGTAATGTGGCAGAGTGGCAAGAAAGTTTCTGGAATTTGAATACCCAGGTTGAAATTTCAGCCCTGTCATTTTCTACTGGAGTGGCCTTGGGCAAGTTACTTAACTTTAACCCTCTGAACCTGTTTCCTCGTCTATAAAATAAGGATAATTATATCTACATCCGAGATTAACTAAAACTTGATAAATTCCTAACATGGTATAAGGGTACTTAATCAATATTTTCATTTGCCCCACTGGCCCATTGTTAAAAATTTTCCTTTTGTTTATGGTCCTTTCATTTTGTTATTTTAGAAAATTTAGCAGAACTCAGAAAAGAGTGACTCTTTGGCAACAAATTGTGCTGCTTTAAGAGAGCTAAAATAACTTCCCTAAATTTCAGGAAAGTGCTTCATTTATTTATCTCCACTGAGGAGCTGTCTTTGAAATTGCTTCTTCCTGGGTTTAATACCTCTACAAAATGTGGGAGGGAGAATTGTGGGCCAGAGGACAAGGATTCCAAGCATAGCCTATTACCTATGGGGAAAATAAAACGAAGTAGAAAGATGATTCTAACAGAACGGGGTTCCAGACCTGCTTGAGACATTGACCAGGCAAACATTTTTACTTCACATCTCCCTGAAAGTAGAGCAATCCCAACTGTATTTACCTGTTTCAAAAAGTCATGTGACTTAGATGGCACAGAGGAGGGGCAGAGTGATGGCACATGGGAGAAAAAGAGATCATCATTATTAACTAGTATTTCAGCCTCTGTAGTTTGCAGATGCCCAAAAACTTATGGATCATTAAAAGAAGAAATGTTTTGATCTCCAGAAACAAAAATAGGTAAGAAATACATCGATTAGCTTGGAGAAGAGAACCGAAGTGTTCTTGGTATAAAGCATGATTTCTCATTCGGGCCCCACTCACAGACACCTCCTCAGAGAGGACTTCCAATCCACCATCTGAGGTCTCTCCTTCTCTCCAGCCATTCTCCTACCCCTACTCCTGCCCCTGCCACCAACCACTGTAACATCATTTGAAATTCTATGGTGTATGTTTCTGATTACTTGTTTATTGTCAGTCTCTCTACCCAGTAGGAAAAACACCTTTCCCTTATTCACTGCTGTATCCTCAGGGGTTACAGCAGTATCTGACAGGCACTCAACAAGTATTTGATGAAGGAATGAATAAATTATTCCTCCCAAAATACTTTTTAAAATCTGGCTAGAATTTGTGTCCTATTGTAAAAGGTAGATTTCAAGCCAAACTGACTCAGTAGTCTCTCATTTCAGAAAAACTCTCTCCTATTTCTGGGCTCAAGTTTATCACTCACTTACTAATTTCTGATGCTTATGCTTTCTACTCCTAGCCTTACTGTACTGGTTCAGTCAATACAACATTGAATATAATGATAATAATAGCCTTCTTTTTCTTGTTCCCAATCTCAAAGAGAAAGCTTTTAACACTTCACCATCAAGTATAATATGTGGTGTACAATTTTTGAAATATCCTTATCAGATTAGGGAAAATCCCTTCTATTCTTAGTTTACCAAGATGTTTTTTGTGATGTATGAATGTTAATATAAGCAAATAATTTTGTGGCAACTATTGGAATGATCAAAGGACATTTTTTCCCCTTATATTATCTAACTTTAAACCATCCTTACGTTCCTGATGTAAATCCAACTGGGTTATGAAATATCCTTTTCACATTTTGCTGAACTTAATTTGCTAATATTTTGCTTTGAATTTTGGCATCTATGCTCATTAGTGAGATTGGTCAGTAACTTTACTTTCTCATAGTTTCTTTGTCTAGTATTAATATCAAGGTTATGTTGACCTCATAAGATAAAGTGGAAGTTTTCCCTGTTTTTCTATTTTCTGGGAGTTTGTGTGGGATGGCTGTTATTTTTCTCTCCAGTATTTGTTAGAATTTACTACCAAAGCCATTTAGGCCTGGAATTTTCCTGTGCTTCTGTCAGAGGTTTGGGAAGCAGCAGATCACATTGGAGTTGGAGGATCACCCCCTCTAAGAGGGGCTCCAGAACAGACTTGCGCCAGGCAGGATGGTGGGAACTTGTCTCCCAAGGAGACTGCCTTAAAGGAGATGGCACTCATCCAGATGAACATGGCTGAACTTATTTGTAAGGAGGCATTACTTGATGATCTCCTTGGAGTTTTTACCCCTTACGTATGTCTATTCTTCAGAGCAAACACATCCCACTCATCTCACTTCTGCACCTTCTCTAGCCACACCCTCTCTTCAGGATGCCCTCCTTCTCCCCCAGTTGCTGCTGAAATGCCACCTGACTGCCAGGTCTCACTTCTTCTGTATACCCTTCTCTTACTAATCCAACCCCTAGCAATGATATGCACCCCTCAGCTTTTTATTCATTCCTGTGCTGCTTCTTATAATGATTATATCAAGTCAAGATTTCTGTCTGACAACCTATAGGGCAGGCTTTTTCAACGTGAGAGTCCTGCTTCCTATGCTACTATTCTTGCATGGCACATCAGTGAACACATACTCTGTGTTAATAAATGCTTATAAATTAAATAATATCAGCCAGTATATGACAGATTAAGTGGCAAGGTATTACTTCTTCCTCCATTCCCTCTTTCTAGGGAGGGTTGAAGACAGGATGTTCAAAATAAAATAGCTAAATCTAGTTAAGGAATATGTGATTAATCTATTCATCTGCACAAATTGGAACCTGTCTTAAATTGCCAAGCTGAAAATGGTTACCACAGCAGCACCAGGAAGAAGATGCTAAAGATAAAAGCCTTTTTAAAATATCTTTAATAAGTTTCCTTTGGCAGCTGAGAGAAATACCATGGGTTAGGGAGAGACCACAAATGCAGGAATTAGATGACCTGTGTTGGGGACCTGACTCTGTCCTTCCATTTCTTCTCTACAAAGTCACTTAACTATTGGAGTGTTAATTAAACACCATTAAATGAGAACAATATGTACCCTGCCCACTTTAAATGAGAATAATGAATATAATGGGTTCAAATGAGACAGTGCTATACAAATGCACAGTTGTCTTACAGAGACAGGATTTGGCTTATGCTGGAGAAGAGAAACCTGGAAATACAAACTCCATTTGTATTAGCTTCACCATCTCCCCTAGAATATCCTAGAATGGAGCTCAGCAGTACTGAGGGAACTGGCATAAGTCAAGTGTTGATTCTGCCATGTTCTAAAAATGGGCCCACAAGAGTGAAGTCTATTTTCAAAGGTAGGGACCAGAAGTGGTGGGGGAAGTTGGGCTAAGATAGAAATGAAAAGCCTTGGAGGTGTTTCAGCCTGACAGCTATCACACAATGTTGACTCTGGGCAGAGGAGAGGTGAACAAGGACCTCTTCCTCAGCTGACTTGTGCAAGGGAGGCAGCTGCCACCACAACCATTTGTCAACTCCCCATCACAATTGAACATAGTGAAGACAAGCTCTGTGGGGATAAAAGAAAAAAAAAAGAATGTTTGAGGCCAGATCACCTACAGAAGTTCAACACGTTTGTCCCATATAGATGACGTTAAGCTGTTCTGCCTTCATGTTACCCTCAGCACATGTCCCCAGGCACAGTTGCTGCATTTATCCTAGTAACTGCCGATTAATTTCCAGTCTTTGCATATTTTTGTTTACCAGCTTTATTCTTCTCTCTTCAACTCTGAGAAAGAATGTACCAGGAGTTCTTGCTCCAGTGTTCAATGCAAACTTGGAAATGGTCCAGGATATAAATGAATGTAATGATTAATGTGTCAATCATCTAGTGTTATTGAAAGCAGCTCATTGCAAACGTGGAAATATTCTTAAATAACCAGAGATGATGATTTGTGAACTTCTAAAATGCAGGCTCTTCTTAGTATTGTGCATTCTATTTCATATAACCTTCAGACATGAAGTAGAGCTTCCCTAAATTAATTTTCTTAAGTTTCTTTGGTCAAACTATTGAACTAATAGACCTGTGCTCTTTAATCCCAAGAGTGTTGTGATCGTTTTTCCAGACAAGTGCTCACCATACATAGTACAATTTTCATTGATCAAAACAAATGGCTTGTTCTTCTTCTTGTGTACTTAATCAATAAATTTTCAGCTGTGTTGTAACGTGCAGTCTCAAAATCAGACATTGTTAGGGCCGGGCGCGGTGGCTCACGCCTGTAATCCCAGCACTTTGGGAGGCCGAGGCGGGCGGATCACGAGGTCAGGAGATCGAGACCATCCCGGCTAAAACGGTGAAACCCCGTCTCTACTAAAAATACAAAAAATTAGCCGGGCGTAGTGGCGGGCGCCTGTAGTCCCAGCTACTTGGGAGGCTGAGGCAGGAGAATGGCGTGAACCAGGGAGGCGGAGCTTGCAGTGAGCCGAGATCCCGCCACTGCACTCCAGCCTGGGCGACAGAGCGAGACTCCGTCTCAAAAAAAAAAAAAAAAAAAAAAAAAAAAAAAAAAAAAAAAATCAGACATTGTTATTTGTGAAGGCCATTGGTTCCAACGTACTGTTTTCAAAAGGAAGCTAGTGCTGCAAATTTTATTGTTTTATTTATTTATTTTTTCCTCCTAAGGGAACAATGGATTCTGGATTTATAGTGAACATTTCCAAAGCAGAATGCTTCATTCTGGGTAGCTCGCTCTCTTTGGATTTAAATATGTATTCTGAAAATGGTATGTGGAGAACATCTAAAGACCAGCCATAAAGGGACAGATTTATGACTGTGAAGAGACAGATTCCTCCAGTGCACGGGAAAAGCAGCCACCTTCCTTACTATTTCATACGTTGTTACCGTGTGTAGAAAATACCTACTCAGTCCTGCCCAAGATTGGTGCTTCTAAAAGATAGTGAGACCAAACTAAATTATTACTTCAAAGAAGTGTAGAAGTCGAAACAATTTACTGGTGACTGGTAATAAGAACGTTAAACAATACAGTGACCCCAAAAGGTTCTTGTAAAACCATCTGGCTGTGTAAACCTTGTTTTAGCTGACTCTGAAAGGCTTAAGAACACTCCTGTTTGGACAGGACTTATTTGTTTTTCTTCTCTGAGGTCACCTTTGATCATCCTAATGGGTTGACTGGCCCCAGATGATTTTTTTATGCATAGCTAGCACTAACCTTGCTATTTGAAGGTAGGTAGAGCTAGCTCAGATAAATGTTTTAACATATAGACTATGCAAGTTCTAAAAAGAAAATAGAAACAACATTTTGTTTCCATTTTTAATTTAAAAACTATAAAGTTAAAATGCAAAATATTAATATCCAACAGGGCAGCCACTTTCATCCTTCTATACTTAAAACACATCTTTTCAATCAGTACGAGTCATTTCTTACCAAGTTCTGCTTATATGTGGCCTCACTTACCAAAGAGCTCAATCATGACACATCATTATAAGTCAACCAGATAAATCATTCAATAATTCAACTTATTCCTCTCTGCCTCCAGTGACTCCATCCTCTTCCACCAATTACTGGACCCAAAGAACATCGTAGAGGGCTTAAATCTTTCTGACAAATACACTGTTTAATAAAGCCTGTTGCTCCTACTGCCTCAAATTTTCTGGGTTAGCTTTATCTGCCTGGGTATATATTTGGCAGCAATATTCATTTTTCAACATTTCCAATGACAATTAATTATTCTAAAACTGGGGGTGGACCACAGTCATGGAATCACTCAAGAAGTTATACAAGCCATGCTGGGGAAACCTGAGTTTCATGAGGATTTTGTTCTAGTGGCTCTGGCATTCACATAACCAGTTACTTCAGTTCAGATGCGTTTCTTCTTAATTAGGACAGGCGATGTAATGACACAATCAAACACATATGGTAAGAATCATAAAACATTTGGGCTTGCTGCTGGCTCCTGCTCTGGTATTTACGATTGATGTGTACATGTAAAAATATTGGACTGAGGAGTAGTAATTGCCGCTGTTCCTTGAAGCAAGAGAACACACTTGGCTACCAGAAACTGCACAGGGTAATCAGAGCAAGGCCTCCTTCTATAAAGTATTTGAGAACTTCATGACATCATGAGTAAGGCAGAGTTATGTAAAATCCCCACTTCAAAACTCACTAGCTAAGAGACTTTGAATCAGCCACTGAACTTCTCTATGATTCAGTGTTCTCCTCTAAAAAATGGGGGAGACAGCAACTTACATGTGTTGCTTATTGGGAGTAAATGGGGTAATATATGTAAAGAAATTGGCCCAAGTTCTCTGTAGAAAGAGCATTACTGTGAGTACCTGGATACCTACCATGCAGATTTGAATCTCTTTATTTTGCAAATGTCTGAACCGTCTGCACATTTAGTATATACTAACTGGAAGAAAGACCTCAGGAATGGCTCATGTGGGAAATTAAGCTGTCTTTCTGAAGAAATGGAATTATTGAAGTTTTCAATGCCTTTCTCCTATGCTATGTGACAGTGCTCCCTGCCTCCTGGGAAACTATAACAGTTTGGCTCACAGTCTATGTGAAGATGCATATGTTTCCTTCCCTTTTTTTTTCATAGAGACATTAAAAATTACTTTACTTTGGTGTATTAAGAATCCTGCCCACACAAGAATTACAACCTCAGCCCCCAGGGACCCATCCTTTTACAGGGTAAATGGAGCTTCTTTGTTCCTTATATCCATTCTACTCATTCTTTTTGCCACATCTGTCATGATCATTGAGAACCATTACCACACTCATTGTGTGTGTATATCTGGGGAAAAACAACTAATAATTGATTGTTTACATAAATATATTTATTCAGCTCCCTAATTAGAATGTAAGCTCTTTGGAAATAAGAGCTTTAGTGTATGGATGGTTTGTACTATAGTAGATATTTTCCAATTGCTTTCATTGTGTGCCTTAATCAGGAAAACCAGGCACCTCCAATGAACAAATATTTATTTTAAAAATATATACATGTACCACTATGCTCATATTACAGTAACTATAAAGTTCATGTCCTTTGCAGGGACATGGGTGAGGCTGGAAACCATTATCCTCAGCAAACTCACACAGAAACAGAGAACCAAACACCACATGTTCTCACTCATAAGTGAGAGTTAAACAATGAGAACACATGGACACAAGGAGGGGAATAACACACACTGGGGCCTGTCGGGGTGGTGGGAAAAGGGGAGGGAAAGCACTAGGACAAATACCTAATGCATGCAGAGCTTAAAACCTAGATGATAGGGGGCCAGGCGCGGTGGCTCACGCCTGTAATCCCAGCACTTTGGGAGGCCGAGGCGGGTGGATCACGAGCTCAGGAGATCGAAACCATCCTGGCTAACATGGCGAAACCCGGTCTCTACTAAAAATTCAAAAAATTAGCCGGGCGAGGTGGCGGGTGCCTGTATTCCCAGCTACTCGGGAGGCTGAGGCAGGAGAATGGCATGAACCCCGGGGGGCGGAGCCTGCAGTGAGCCGAGATCACGCCACTGCACTCCAACCTGGGCGACAGCGAGACTCCGTCTCAAAAAAAAAAAAAAAAAACCTAGATGATAGGGTTGATAGGTGCAGCAAACCACCATCAATGTATACCTATGTAACAGTGTATACCTATGTAACAAACCTACATGTTCAGCACATGTATCCCAGAACTTAAAGTTATATATATATATATATTTACTAATTAAAAAAATAAAGTAGAAATTTTTAAAAGAAGGGATTAGAGATGCAAACATGAGTGCTCCAAATATTTTCTTCCCACACCATAGTGGGTTGTCTCCTGGAGCATATCCATCCTATTTTGGAGATGGTTGTCCCCTAGCACTGAGGAACAGGCCAATCTGTTTCAGGACTGAGCAGCCACACTAACCACCCAGTTGTGTTCTGCCATGATTGGCCACCCAGATGTGTTCTCTCATTGCTTTTTTTTCTCCCATCAATCTCCTACCCACCAAGCTCTCTCTCTTTAATACCTCCCTCTTCCATTCACATTGCCTTAGCAGGTGTTTGGGGCAACATTTGGGCATTTTTTACTTAGCTTACACTCATGATTATTTTATTGGATATAAAAGATACACCAGCAGCCTTCATTTTCCCCTCATCCTAATAAATACAAGAATCTCCCAGGGGTTGCTTATTCCCAAGGAGCCTGCAATCTGTCTGGTGTTTCAGTCGTGTTAGGTGTGCTGTATGGAAAGGCCACCCACAAAAATTGTGGAAAACGTTCTTTCTAGAAAAAATAAAAACAGTTTGTCATTCCAGGATGCAGATGGTAGTGTCGTAAAGAGGTGTTGGGTGGGGTATGTGTGACATCAAGTCTGGGCCATTTGTGGGTTTCCAGTGAGCCCATACAATAGCTTTCTCACCGAATATGTGCTAGGAATCCCTAAGACAGGGTGTTCTCTTTAGAGAGTTTTTAGTCTTCTTAAATATGAACTGGGGAAACTAAATTACAATGCAAGCAGCTGGCATTGACAGGACATGGCAAAGTTATTCAGAGGAAGGTCTGTGTGTCCAGCCTGAGTCTTGACAACACGGCCTATGAGATCAGAGCTGCCCGGAAGAGACAACCAAATTGCTTAGAGATGGAAACTCATACTGAACAGGGTACTGAACACACCCTTCTAATGCTGCTGGAAGCCATTCTTGATGAACTGAATCTGCTTTGAAAGGGTAGACCACAAAATAAAACTTCAGAGGTGGGCAGGTTTTATCACTAGAATTTCCATCATTAAAAGCAGAAAAATAGAAATCATTCCATTGTAAAATAGCTTGCAATCATCCACTTCAGAAGCAGTATAAAATTACCGCACCACCTTCTCCACCATAACTCTTCCTTTGGACTTTTGACTACCACCATCTAGTTCAGTTACCAGCATTCTTGGTTATTCTGCACACCCCACTGAGGTCATACCACACCCTCACACGCCTTCCATATAAGGGGGTCCTCTTTATGGTGGCCACGGTTCTAAACACCTGAGAGTTGAGATGAATCCACAATTAGTTTTCCATGTGATTTCCAAATGTGAGCCTTTCATTTGTTTTCAACACTTCCTAGGGGGGAAAGTAAGATATCTGTCAGTGATATAGAAAGCAGAAGAAAAGATTACAAAAGTTTGATGTTAATGCTTTAAAATGTCTAAATTGCCTGAGGGTATTTCCGGGAGTGGTATTCCTTAATTTGCTAAGTGCACAGGCAATGTGTTTGGAGCCTGTAAAACCCTGCAGCCTGCAAAGATAACCACCACTGTGCCTCAGGTTCCTTAGAGAGAAAAAGCCCTTGTCAATCGAAGGCAGCTGCTCTAGTTTAGACTCTGATACTTTTTTCTTTAGATGACTGAAATTGCCTCCTAATTGATCTCCCTTCTTCCAATCACAGCCTCCTCCAATCCATCCTCCACACTGCTGTCAGTATCTTTCTGAAATGCAAATCGGATGTTACTTTATCCTTGCTTAAATTTTCTGATAGTTTTCCATCACCTACAGATTACATTTCAAATTAAACAGGATAATTCAAGCCCTTATCACTCTAGTTCTAATAGATTTTTCTAGCTTTGTTTCAGGATCCCAAGCTCTACTCTGACCCACTGGTTCATCTGTACAATGGTCCCTGCAATGTATATACAATGCACTTTCTTGTTTAGATTTGGCTGTCTATTCAAATTTACTTCTGACGTTGTCCCCACTTTTTCACCTAGTGAACACCTTCTCTCCACTCAGGTCTTAGCTCAAATCCTTTCTTCCTGGGAAGCCTCTTTCAAATACCATCAAGCAGAGTTTCTCACTCACTTCTCTGCTCCCATCCTACCCCCTACTTAGCTCTGTTATGTACTCACCATGTCATAGAATGATGTTTATTTACTTGTCCTCCCTGCCTCTATACCCTTAGAACCAGACACAGTGATGCCCAAAGGCTACTCAATAAATCATCCATGACTGACTGCACAGAAGAGAACTTATTGAACTTTTAGGTTTCCTAATGAGAAAATCTCCTTCTTGGGGGGTTTATATAATTCTTGTTTGCAGGTGGCCCAATCCTCAGGAATCTTGACATGGGGGATCTCAGACCTAGTCACCACTTCTTTATAAACATCTTTAATCAAATTATGGATTTTTGGTAAATAAACAGCCTCAAACTGAAGTAGAATGTAAACAGAAACAAGTGTCCTTCATTGCTAACTCTTCTTCTCTCCACATATATTGGGCCCTTTATACATACGTGTATGTGCAAACTTGCAAGTCCCGGATGAACCAGCTGCAAGCTGGGTTTCACCAGCAATTCTGCATCTGATCCTCTATGATTGAACCAGTCCTTGACATTGAAAGTGTACATCATGAATCACTGAATTGAGTCTTAATTATAGGATTTTTTCCTTTCTATTTTTATAGAGAGGCAGTGAAATTCAAGTTAAGAATGTCTCAGCTAATAGATGCTTCTTGGTGTTGAAATGTGGCTGTTCTGGCCCCTCGATGTCCAAGTTCATTCATGTAGTCCATGGAAAAGCCAAAATGAGGGTCTGAGTCTAGATTTCCATTCTCTTTGTCTAACAATTAGAACTCAATTTCCTTCCAGTTAATGGTTCGCTGCACCAACGCTACAGCCACCCAATGAAATCTGCCTTTTCTCTTTTTTCAGAACAGCAACAAAGGCCTGCAGCCAACTTTCCAAAGAACTTTGTCCAAAATGAGCCAAATTAAATTTAAAGATCATTCTAGAATATGTTCTTCTCTACATTTGTAAAAGAATGATTGCCTGGCAAGGCAGCATTAAGAGAAAAGGTCAAATTCTCTCCAAAGATTTCCAACTTTTTTTTTTTTTTACACTAGTAGTGTTTGGAGAAGCAAATTGTGGTTTGACTTTTTTAAAAAAACAAGAAAGAGAAAAGAAAAGAAAAAGTGTTACAGGGCGGGGAACATTTCACACTGGGTCCTGTCGGGGACTGGGGAGCTGGGGGAGGGATAGCATTAAGAGAAGTACCTAATGTAAATGATGAGTTGGTGGGTGCAGCAAACCAATATGGCACATGTATACCTATGTAACAAACCTCCACATTGTGCATATGTACCCTAGAACTTAAAGTATAATTTAAAAAAAAAAAGAGAGAAAAGAAAAGAAAAAGTGTTGTGGGTGGGAACATATTAAGAAATGCAACAATCTTAGCGTTTCATAATCCTTCGAGACCTTAAATACTATCAGAATCTAGTATCTCTAAATATAGAAACAGTATATTTACAAGTTAGTCTAAAGAATGTATTTTTCTGTTCACTTAGAGAAAGAAATGGGTCTATTCCCAACCTTCACATAAGCTGTCTTTGTAAACATATACTTTTGGCCTACCAGTGTTTTCATCGAAAATGTCTTAGGGAATTTTAATGTAATTATCATCAAACTGCCCAGAGCTAAATAAATAGGTTCTCAATAACTGAATCTACATTCCTCCAACACCTGCTATTTTAATGATAAATCTAGAGGTTTCCTTTCTCCCTTTGCAGAACAGATAAGACAATGATATGTGATTATTCAAAATGTGTTTTGTTTATCTGATAAAGATTGGGATGCTGGGATTTCCTTATCTGAGTAAGATCAATAGAGACTACAGTCCATATTAGCTTACCTCTGGCAGTGGCCTATGTAAAATGCCATGAAGGAAGGCTAAATCCTTATAATATATGAGACCAGCTTGTAATTATACCACAAGGAAACTAATCACTGTTGAAGGCTCAGTAGTCAACAAAGATTATTCTCTAAATTCCTTTGTTAGTTTTTTCCTCCCCCTATTATGGTAACTATAACTATGAATATTATTTCAGGAAATGTTTTAATATTTTGGTAGAATTCTACTAAAATAGTCTAGAGTTTTATTGTCCATTTTATGATTTGAAGCTTCATTCAACAAACATTTGTTGAGGATTTACCTGCCCCTGACCCTATGCCGAGCTCTGAAGATATAAATACAGATGGGATAACATTTACCTCTACTACTTAGATATGGGGAAAAAATCTATTTCTTGCTGATGGCGGGTGAGAAACCACTTAAAATATTTCATTCAAAGCTAATTCCATCTCTTCTGATTTAAAAGGTGAAACTCTCTATCAGGAGCCTCTCTTTTCTTTTTCCCAAAATGGTGTGAGGAAGTAGGAGAAAGTGTAGGAAACTTCCAGGCTGCCAGAGTGAAGCCTGGTCACCATGCCATGTTGCCCTTCTGGTCAAGCCATGCTAATGGGGAGCTTCCATCCAGGGCTTGGAATTATTCTGGGCATCCAAGGACCTGAGGAACAAGCACTAAGTCTGAGATTCCCACAGAATTCTCTGGTTATTTCTATTCTTTCTTTACCCTCTGGAGAGTTTTAACCATAGTGGGCAGGTAAGGGGAAGGGGTGAGCCCAGACAATTACTTCTGACTTATTTTTATCTTCTTTCCTGCAGAAGAGAGTTCTATTTTCCTTCTGATATAAGGCTCAATGACACATAGCTATTAATTAGACTTGATGAGGGTGACCATATAATTTATTATCCAAAATGGGAGGCTTTTTAAAACAAAAAGGGGAGCTGGGCATGGTGGCTCACACCTGTAATTCCAGCATTTTGGGAGGCCGAGGTGGGCAGATCATGAGGTCAGGAGTTCAAGACCAGCCTGAGCAACATGGTGAAACCCGGTCTTTACTAAAAATAAAAAATATTAGCTGGGCGTAGTGGTGCACGTCTGTAATCCCAGCTACTCAGGAGGCTGAGGCAGGAGAATCGCTTGAACCCTGGAGATGGAGGTTGCAGTGAGCTGAGATCACGCCATTGCACTCCAGCCTGGGTGACAGAGAAAGACTCTGCCTAAAAAAAAAAAAACAAAGGGAGGTGGTCCCATGCATAATTGTGTACCAAACAACAGGTGTGATTAGAGCCTGACCTGGGTTAACCAAGGTGCATGGCCTCCAGTTAGATGGGACCAAAATTCACCTACCTTACTTCTAGATTTAGGATTCTTTGCTTTATATTATAATGGCTCTTCCTAAATACAATGCATAGTTGATGTAGCAAGAGATTTCCCCTGTAAAAACGTGTATATTGGAGTTTAAAGACAAGTTTAAAGTGAAATTACTTCCTAGTACCTTTTTTTGGCCTGAATTTGAGTGAAGGTCTCAAAGCACAATGACTGCATAATAATTTTCTTTTTCACAAAACATTTGTCTCCACTTCTATTAAAAATATTTCTTAGTCTGTTCTTAGTCTGTTTTTTTTTCTTTACTGCATAACTGAGTATGCAGTTATGCTTCAACCGAGTTCTTAACAGTGTGAATAACTTGATTTTACTACAAAGTCTGTCCATCAGTCCGTGGAACTGAAGGCTATTGTTCCCCTTGACAGCATACAAATGATGGATTGTCTGTGCCCACTTGTTTCAGCTTATGCAGCAGCTTCTGAACGATTAATCCCAATAGTTATTATCATGGTAGTAACTAATGTAGGTAAAGAATCTAAAGCTCTGCAAACCTTTTCACATGCTTTATCTCACAAGTACTTTTTGTCAGATAAATAGGTTAAGGCAAGCATTAAATGTATGCACATTTTATACACGAAGACACCAGGGCTTGGGGAAGTTAAGCAACTATCCCAGCATCCCAGTGCATCCTGGTACGTCCCGGTGCAAGTGACAGGTGAAGTCCAGCCCTAAAGTCAGAGGTCCTTGCTGCTGATTCCAGCCTCCCACTACTATACTTCCCTTTCTCCAGTTTTACTTAAAATCTTTTTTTGGGAGTAGGAAGGAAGGAGCAGAGGGAGAGTGGCCAGAAATTACTTCATGCAAAACAATTTGATGGCTTTGATGCTGCATGTATCTGTTTTGGGAAAATGAAAAGAAAGGAAGGTATCAGCCGTAAAAGAGATGTACTTAAGATTCAGGAGCAAAGCTCAAGAGAGCTCAGTTATAAACTTTAGACAAGCCTAGAAGGCTCAGCACCTAGTAATGAATGGCAAGTTAACATTGCTAGATGGTGATAAACTCCTCTAACTGAGACTTAACTTAAAAATATGGCAGAAGAAATATGAACCCTGCTGAGGTTAGAAGCTCCCTCTACCTGTAAAAAGCAGGCCCAGTGAGGGGCTCCTGCTGAGCCATGCAATCAGTCTTGGACAAGAGCCTTTTATCCATTTGTCCAAACCCTGAGAAGTCACGGTCCCATCTTAGGCTCAGCCTAGGCAAGATGAAGCCACCCCAAAATATGTCTTCTATGCCTTCCCACCTCCTGCTCTCCAGTCTTCCTGATTGTTACTGCAGGGGCCAGAGCCCTCAGACTGCCAGCCCAGCCCTCTGTGTCCATCTTCACAAGGGTTCGTCTTACCCATAAAGTGGTCCTGCCCTGTCTCATCCCATTGCATTTGTGTAGTTGACCTTAGCAACTAAGAGGAGGTGGTTCTATTTTCTCAGTACAGTAACTTTCTTTTTCTCATCACAAAAGCAATATGTGATCAGAAAAAAAGTTTAGAAAACATAAGTATGTAAAAACTAAAAATCAACCACTATTTTACCACCTAGATGGACAACCATTATTTATATTTTTAGTGACTATTTTTAGGCTTTTTTATCTACGCATTTTTAAAGATCATACTAAAACCAAATTTTTATCTTGCTTTTTTTCATTTAACATGGTAATGCAAGCATTTTCTTGTTTTAATAAAATACTCTTTTAAACGTAATTTCAAATAGTTACATAATAACACATCCTATTGATAAAACAATTTGAGTCTCCTATTACTGAAGAGTTTTCTTCCTTCCAACCTTATAAATAACTACTATGATCCATATTTTTGTACATAAACCTAATTTCACATTTCTGAAGTTTTCTTTTAGATTGATTATTAAAAGTAGAATTATCAGGTCTTGACTTGGAGCTCTTGATTCAATATATGGAAGAAAAGAACAGTTTTTTTGTAAGCCCATTAGTATCTTGGTGAGAGTTATGGGACAGTGTATAGCACAGAGTAGATACACCATAAATGTTGTAAAAATGAATAGGCTTAATTCTATTAGGAGTATCTGCATTTTAAAAGATGAAATTTGTTAGCAAATGCATCTTACATTGGTATAAATTCAGAGAGCAATATTTATAAAATTGAAGAAATAAAAGTTATAGTGAATACAAGACTGTAGAGGAGAATGGGGCTTCTAATGAGCATTACCTCAATCTGCATTGTGAAAACCATAGCCTATCATGGTCAAAGTAAATGCAGCTCTTATGACATTCCCCAGCTCCTTGGTCAGTCAGTCTGCATGGCCTGGCATCACACTAGGGACTGGAATCTATCCTCAAGAAGCACGCAAGCTTGTGGGAGAGACAGATTTGCAGACAACACACAAAGAACCATGAGAAGGGCAGAACTGAGAGGTCTGAGCACAGCAGTGGAAGAAGTCACCAGCTCTTCCTGGGGAAGCCCCCTTGGAAAGGGGGATTTTGGAGCTGGATCTTGAATAAGAACATGTGAGAAAAGCACTCCAAGCAGATGCAAATGCAAAGACACATTCTTCCTAATCCAGAGAATCCTAGTGATGGGATGCTAATCTCCCCTTTCTTTCCCCACCCCAGTCAGCACCTTGTCATGTTGGTCACTTAACATTTTAGTGAGAATTGGTTACTCTGACTTTCCTCAGAGCAGAATTTGATGAAGAGAAAAGAGATAGAACCTGAGAACTGGAGGTACTTGGGATCAAAGGGGCAGGAGAGAATACCATTAAAAAGGAAAGGGGTACAGACGGGAAGTAGAGAGCCTAAGACAAGACCACTGAACTATTCCATAGGGAAAGGGAGATTAGGCACATAGAGCTGTACAACAAGGTGATGCCTAGGTTCCAAATACCAAAACCCTCACCAGTATGGGAGTGTGACCTGGCCCCAAGTGAAGGTTACCTAACCTAATCCACAGAGTATCAGTGTTCTTCTAAAAGTCCTCCAGCAAAGGTTAATCCACTCTCTGTTATACAATTCTATTTTATTCACTCTTCACATAGAGTCTGTAGCAGCTTTTGGATCTTTTCTGTCTACTCTGTCGTGATTGAGAGGGGTTAAGCTGGTTGCTAGCAACCTGGCTCCTATCTCTCTCTCTCTAATCTCATCTGGTCCTGCTCTCTCCTCACATACCAAACTCCAGCAGACTCACCTGCTTTCTGCTCATCAACCTTGTCCCTACCTCAGGGTCATGTTATCTCTGCTTGAAATTCTCTTCCCCAAGGTATTTCCAAGGCTGGTTCTGTCCCTTCCTCCAGGTCCCCGCTCAAATGCATCTCCTCTGTGAAGCTGTTTCTGGCCACCTTTTCTTTGCCTTTCTCCTGCATTTAAGTTTTCATAGCACCTATCATTCATTGAAGTTATTTCTGTGTTTACTTGTTTATCATGGGTCTTCCCCACTAGGATGTAAGCCTCATGAGTCAGGAACTTGGCCTGTTTTGTTCACTGCTATAACCCTAGCACCTAGAACAGTGCTCAATAAATATGAATTGCATGAATGAATAATCAACCTTTGAGATATGGTCTTTTAAAGTTTATGTCCTTAGCTCCTTGCTCATAGCAGCTCCAGTGTGTTCATTGAATTGAATTGTGCTGAAAGTCACTATTGATTCAGCCTTTTTAGGCAACGTTACCTCAGTTCTTCCAAGCGTTCCTTTCCATTCCCCTTCTCAAACACTTAACCCCACACCCCACAAGCTGTGAACATGATCTCTTCCAGCCACATTGCTCTTCCTATCTGCAATCAGCAGAGCACACAGAGCACACAAATAACTTCATTTTCTCCTCTTTTCAAAACTGCAAAACAGGATGAAATAAGTTCTGATAAATTTTGAACCAATGTGAGTTGTTAATTTCCTTCTGCTCTATTTTCTTACCCCGTTGTTTCTGGCTGAGGGCTGATGGGGAAAGGACTGAGATGAGTGACAGTTCACCAACTCCCACTACTGCCATGGCATCAATCACAGAGAGATTGTGGAAGGTGACGGGGGAGGGGGTGCAGTGGCGGGCGGTGGTGGCGGGACACGGAAGAAGCAGGGAGGCGCTGGGAGGGGGTGTGCATGAACTAGCTCAGGCAGCAGAAACTTTTATTTTTCTCCTTCTCTAGGCCTCCAAAAATGGCCGAACTCAGCAGGGACCCTATCCCACGTCTCAGGGCCCTTCTAGGCCTACTTGTTTCTCTAGGGAATAGCTAAGAATCGGGTCACTTCAGATGCACGGATCATGTGAAGGCAGCAAGGGGCAGAGGAAGACCACACACTTCAACATCACACCATACTCCTTGCCATCTCTGCAACCTGCTGGATGTGCGGGACCCTGGCGCATTACCTAACCTCTCGCAGCCTCTGTCTCTCTTGTGGATAAAATGGGAACAAGAGTGCCTACTCAGAATGGTTGCCTGTGCTTCTGTGTATGAATGGTGTATAAAAGCACCTAGAGGGCCGGGCGCAGTGGCTCATGCCTGTAATCCCAGCACTTTGGGAGGCCAAGGTGGGTGGATCACTTGAGGTCAAGAGTTCGAGACCAGCCTGGCCAACATGGCAAAACCCCTTCTCAGCTAAAAATACAAAAATTAGCCGGGTGTGGTGGGGCACACCTGTAATCCCAGCTACTCAGGAGGCTGAGGCAGGAGAATCACTTGAACCTGGGAGACAGAGATTGCAGTGAGCCAAGATGGTGCCACTGCACTGCAGCCTGGGTGACAGAGTGAGACTCCATCTCCATAAAAAAAAAAATAAAATAAAATAAATAACCTGAGTTCAGGTATAGGCAAAATAAAGTATGTGTTTATGTTCACCCATTAAGTGAAAAAGAAAAAATATATTATGATTGGTTGTACTTTTCCATTTCAAAAGTCAGAGACATGCTTATAGATGCTAACATTCTAATTAATGGATTCAAAGTAGATACAAAGCTTTACTCAGTTGTTCAGTTTGGCATTATACTGTCCAAAAATTAGGCGTAATTGGAGTTGTGACTCCAATTGTCAACATAACCAGCCACAGTGTAGGAAGCACCTACTTTACATAATGATTTTCACTCTCATTATATGTTGATACTAAAGTTGAAAATTGACTTCTTTAGGGCTGTGCCAAAGAATTCTCAGAGCACCAGCTACTCTGCCATCAATATTGGGCTCTAGCCTATGAAATTCTGTCATCTAAATCTTGCTTAGAACCAGTCAAGTCATTCAACTCGAATAAAGTATCAGTAGTGATTTTAACCAACTGGAATTAATTACTTTAATTTTCTGGGATGGATTAATTCACAAATGCATAAAGTAAGGTTATTTCATAGGATTCTATAGTTGCCATGCAGTGATTAATTAAAAATGCCTGAAGTCAATTAAAAAACTATTTGCAGTAGTAAAAATTCACCCTGGCCCAAGGAGGGGTAGCTTTGATTTCATTTTCAAGAGAATTTCAATCAGGTTTTATCTTAAGGCCCTAATGAATATATTCATCTGGTGCCTTGCTGTATCATGAGAGGACAATCTTTTCACCTTTCCTCCCTTTCATGTGTTTATGGGAAGGAGCTTTCCTTTTATATCAAATAAAATCAGGATTGGCACCAAGGGACTTCTGCATTTAGAAGGGCAATTCTCACTGCTGGTTGCAGGTATTTCCTAGTCACTATGAGAAGGCACAATGCCTGGCGCTCTAGTTAGACACCACTTCACTGCTGGTCACTGCACAATGAGATATATACAGTACCTTCACTTCTGAGACACAACAAACTAAAAAATGAAGAATAATAAAAAGATCAAAGTAGAGGTTCGAGAATAAAGATAAACTAAAACCAGAACTCTAGCCTGACCAAGCATTAGTCATTTATAACAGGGCTCAAAGTAGTCATGGGCCAACTGTATTCAATGTTATTCTTCTGGAGAGAAAGAGCATCATTAACTTCAAAGTCATTTACTAGCTCTTGATGCATCTTAGTAGCTACTGAGTAAGCATGTGCTGGATTAGAAAAGAAAACAAACAAAAAACAGAAACAAACCAAAACCAATGTTCTGGCAATGTGAGAACGTTTGTAGATAAAATGAAATTAAATAATAAAAGGATGTTGGCTTCAAGAGATCTTCAGTTTTCTTCTGCTTTTATTTAATTTTTGGGTCTACTGTTCAAGGCTTCCTTACTGCATTTTTTATTTGTCAACCCTAGTATTCAACTCTAGTTTCAGAATTGTTAACTCATAACCCGGTGAAAAACAAATTTGCCAGGTAGAGTACCGTGTTTGTGTATAGTTTTTTGTTATTGTTGTTCTTAGCTTTACAATATCCAGTCAAAAGACTGTTTCCAAAATTATTTGTCAGGTCCTTTGCCCCCATCTCCTTCAGTGTGGTATGCCATTAATCTGTAATACAGTTAAATTCATTTCTCATAGTCTGTATTTCATCTTGGGTCCCTCCAACATTCTGGTAGATATTTTTAAATTTGCATAGAGTGAAATTCACTTTTTGTGTTTCTACAGTTGTATGGAGTTTAATAAATGCACAAAGTCATGCTATTGCCCATTCAGAACAGTTCCATGAGCCCTCAAATTCCCTCATACTGCCACTTTGTAGTCAAGCTCTCCCCACCTCCAAATCCTGGTAACTACACACCTGCTTTCTGTCCCTCTAGTTTTGTCTTTTCTAGAATGTCATGTAAGTGGAATCATACAATATTGTAGCCTTTTGAGTTTGGTGTCCTTCACTTAGCAAAATGCCTTTAATTCTTTTTATTGCCGAGTAGTATTCCTTTGTATGAATGTACCCAAATTTGTTAATCCATTCATCCGTTGGCAGATATCTGGGGGACTTTCAACCTCTGGTGTTTGTGAATAAAGCTGCTATGAATATTTATATACACTTTTTTGTGTGTGAATGTAAGTTTTTAATTCACTTTGGTAAATACTTAGGAATGAAATAGCCGAGTCACATGGTATAGATTGTTGAACTTTGTAAGAAACCTTCAAACTGTTTTTCAAAGTGGGCTGTACCATTTTGCATATCAACTAGCAATGGAATGAGATTCCATTTGCTCTGTATCTTTGCCAGTACTTAGTATGTTTGTTTGTTATCTTACACTTTCTAATAAGTATATAGTGGTATCTGATTATGGTTTTAATTTATATTTTCCTAATGGTGTTGAGCATTTTTTTTCATATGCTTATTTGCCATCAAATGTCTTCTTTGGTGAAGTATCTGTTCAGTACTTCGGCTATTTTTAAATGAGTTTTTGCAGATATTTTCTTTCAGCATGTAACATGTCTTTTCATTCTCTTAATAGTATCTTTCTCAGAACAAAAGTCTTAAATTTTTCTAAAGTCCAATTTTTAATTTTTTAATGGATCATCTTTTTTATGTCATATCTAAAAACTTTGTCAAGCCCAAAGTCACACATATTTTCTCCCATTTTTTCTAGAAGTTTTATAGTGTCATATTTTACATTTAGATCTATGATCCACTTTTCATTAATATTTGTATAAGATGTGAGGTTTGTGTCAAGGTTCAATGTTTTTACAAATGAACAATTATTTCATTTGCCCCATGACCATTTGTTGAATAAACAATCCTTTCTCCATTTAATTACCTTTGCACCTTTGTCAAAAATTAGTTAACTGTACTTGTGTGGGGCTATTTCTGACCTGTCTGTTCTGTTCCACTTACTGTCTATTCTGTTTCATTTATATGTGCTTCACTCCTTTTAACATACACAACACTGCCTTTGATTACTGTAGCTTTATATTAAATCTTGAAATCAGATAGTATGAGTCCTCCAGCTTTACTCTTTTTCACATTGTTTTGAATATCTGAGTTCTTTTATCTTACCATATACATTTTTAATCACTTTGTTGCTGTCTACAGAGCATTTTGCTAGGATATAAATTGGGATAATATTTAGTCCTTTGATCAAATTGAGGGGAATTAACATCTTAGCCATATTGAGTCATGCAGTCCATGAAAATGATATGCCTCTCTATTTAGTTAGGTCTTTTTTCATTTCATTCTTCAGTGTTTTTTAGTTTTTAGTATATGGAGACTGCTCATATTTTAATAAATTTATAAACAAATACTTCATTTTGAGGGTGCTATTATAAATAGTATTACTCTTTTAAATTTTGAATACCAATCAGTAGTTTATTCCTAGGAATACAATTGACTTTTATATCTTGATCTTATATCTCACAAAGTTGCTAAATTCACTTATTAGTTCTAGGAGATTTTTGTAGATTCTTTGGGGTTTTTTTCTACATAGACAATCATATCTTCGATGAGAGACAGTTTTATTTCCTTTTTTAAAATATGAATGCCTTCTGTCTTGCCTTATTGTACTATGACAGTGAATAAGACAACTGAATTGTAATAGTCAATCTAAACATAAAAGAAAGAAGAATAAAATAATATCTAACTGTGGGCTCCACATCAGAGAGTTAAGAAAGGCTTCTCAAACTTTTATTGGATTGTTCATTTAGTCACTGAAGTATTGAGTCGCACTTCCATGGTGCTAAGTATTACGAGGAAGACAAATATAAATCAGGCTTGGAGTCTACAATCGAGTACTTTGCAAATGAGGAAAGGTAACAGGGCATGAATAATAGTGGCTACATAAAAAGAAAGTGGTAAGGCTGATCAGAGATAAACAGAGAGAGAGAACAAGATTGAATCTAGAGGCAGAAGAGCAGGCCAGGAGCTAGCTATCTGTCACAAGAGTCTGACCTAGTAGTGGCTGTGAAGAAGTCAGGGTGGTGCTGAAGGAAGCTGGCTCTTCTGGATTTGCTGGCTCTTCAGGATTTGCTGACTGGCTGTAGAGACCAAGGGAGAGGAAGAAGACAAAATATCCAGGTTTGAGCTTCATTGTTTTGATGGGGGCTGACCCACAGACTGACATTCTGAATTTGAAATATGCACTGAAGATTCAGATGAGGTGACCAGCAGGTGGTCTAAAGTGCTGGAGTTACTAGAATTAAAAAGTAGAGTCAAGCCTGAACATAAGAGTAGACCATGGTAGGATTCTCCCTTTCACCCTAGCCCCAAACTCTAAGGTTGCAAACACTTGGGACCTGGGACTTGGCCCTTCCATTGGAACAGTGACTACAGTTAACTGGAGAGGTAGAGGGACAAGAAGGGTCTGAGTGGGGATAGAAGGCATCCTGCTAAGCAGGTTCACGAGCTCCAGCCTCTTGTAAAATTAAAAGAAGTCCTAACACCTATGCTGGTTAAAAGAAAGGCCACAATGTTTACGATGTTCCTCCACTCAAAGCAGGGTTAGAAACTCACTTATGGAGGCAAGAATCTGTCTTCTGAAATAAGGTGAAATGAGTTGCCCCTAAGTACCAGGAGCAGAGCTTGGAGTCAATCTGTGTTTGTCTAATAACAGCTTGCACTTACAGAGCATTTACCATGTGCCAAGCCCTATCTTAAATGCTGCAACCCTCACATTGAATCCTCACAACAACCCTATGAAGTAGTTTCTATTATTATCCCCATGTAACAGATGGGACACAGAGAGGTTCCATACATTTCCCAAGGCTTTGCTGATAGTAAGTGATAGAGGCACTGCCGCACTATGCTGCATTTCACCACTGCACTCAACTGCCCCGTGTCTTCTGGCAAACCACAGAGCCTCCCTGGCCAAGAAGAAAGTCATAAGTGAGTAGCAATACTGTCTTTATCCACAGCAAAGCGATAGCATTACAGCACCCACTGTGAGCATCACTGAACAGCTGTTATGCACCCAGCACTGTGCTAGGTGGTGGGAATATGCAGACACCTTAGACACAATCCCTGGCCTCATGGATCTCAGTCTGGAAGGGGAAATAATCTCGTACACAATAACCATAAGATGCACTGTGATATATCGCACTCTGACTGCAGATGTAAAAGACATGGCACATAGAGAAACAGGCATTAATTTTCTGTTCCTCTGTCAAGGAAAATGAAAGGCAGACTAATGCATTATGGCTGAAAGCATTTACTTTTGATTAAGTGTATGTTTAAATATCACCCTCCTCCTCAGTCAGGCTCATTCCTCAGTCTCTGCTACATTGCTGACTTTGCTTTCTAAAGAGAAAGTGAGATATTCACCCACAGTAAATGGAATAAGAAAGATATAAGGCATAGAAGTCCTACCTCAGATTTTTTTTGTTTTTGTTTTTTTGCCTTTGAAAACTCATCACAGTGAAAACTAATTACAGCTCTCATCACAAAGAGAATGCCAGAGAAGGCTTTCCCTTCATTTTGTGGAAAGAGCTTTAAATAACATTACATAAAATACACAGGATCCCAGTTAATTTGAAATATAGTTCAAAATATGTAAAAACCAAATCTGTGATCTAGTAATACATACACTTCTTTATTAATGTATTAACAAGTTCTAGGTGTGGGTCAATTGCCACAATTTCCAAGTGGTAATGAGTGTAAATGGTGAGCGTAAATGATTTTTTGATGTCTTCAACTTTGAAGTGATACAAAAACACCTGCAGTTTTTGATGGTGTCAAAGTCACAAACAGTAACATGAGTACTTATGGGGTTTCTTGCCTACACTGAGAATGGAAGGATATGCTAACTTTCAGTTAAAAGGTGGTGAAACATAAAGATGTATTTTTCCCATTCAAGTTTATGTATCCGCAGATTATATGCCCTTGAGACAGAGGTTCCAGATTCTTCTGATTTAAGACTTTTTGAGTTACTGATGTCCAGCTTTTCTGCTGCCTTAGATGCTTGAGACAGGAAAAGCAAAGAGTAGCTCTTATTTAAGGGCTAAGTAGACATGAGTGGGCACTTCTCAAGCCCCACCTCCACAGAACACTCAAGTTTGTATGGTTATATCCATACAACTTTATGTCACAGCTCCATTTTCCCTGGTCTGGTGATCATGGAAACAGTTCTAAACACCTCAGATTTCTATCATTTCTCCAAAGTGCCACCTTCTTCTTTGCCTCTTTTATCTGTCTTCATCCTCTGATTCCCACTTTTTCTAGTGACTCTAGCAAAATAACTTACAATTCACATATAATAGATTCAGGCTATCTGCAATGTCTAAGCACAAATTTATCTAGGCTGGAAGATCATTAGGGCAACTGAGAGGATCATTAGGCCAGGGAAGTGGGTCTTGAAAGTCACAGAGGCAGCCTTCTACCAGATTTTGTACCCATACCAGAACCAGATTCAGTGTTTAAAATAGCGCTTTTCCTAAGAAATAAGAAAGGCAGAAAGCAACTAACACTAATTGAACACTGAAATATGCTAGGACTGGTACTGCATTTATATTTTCTCACTTAACTGTCAACAAAAGTAGTGTGCGATGATTACCTCCATTTATGAATGAGGAAAGAGACTTTAAAAAGCCAAGCAACCTGCCCAAGGTCACACACATCTGGTGAACACCATTTCTACACCTTTCCTCTCCTTGGCCCACTCAGCCCGGCTTCCCATCCGTGACACAACTGGAATGGCTGCCACAGAAGTCAACAGCCATCCCCACAAAGCTGAACATGAAGGGAATTTCTCCACCCCACTCGCTGCGCTCTATCTCATGGCAGACTTCAACACTGCTGCCCACTCACTACCTGCTGAAACCATCCCCTGCTTTGGCTTCTCCACAGACACTTTCCTGATCTCCATGTACACCTTTGCCGCCCCTTCTCAATTTTCTTTGCCGATGCAGCTTCCTCTCCATCATCTGTGGTGCTGGAGCTCCTCAAGGCCCCATCGTGGGCCCTGTTCACTAACAGAATCGGTTCCCTCAGCCGCTGACCCAGCCCATGGTGCCTGTTACCCTGGACACTCAGAAAATCCCTCTCCCCACTCTGAGTTACAGGCAATTAACCTTGGATGTCTCATGGATATTCAGTCCCCACGAGATTGCCCAAAGATCCAAAACCGTTGTTCCCCCAATGTCCCCAATGAACACTCTACTTCGGTGAAAAGCACCCCTCTTCACCCAGCTGGCCAAATCAGAAACCTGAGAATGGCCTGTTATTCCTCCTTTTTCACCCTCATATTCAATCAAAATACCAAGTCCTGTAGATTTTACCTACTGGGGATATCTGGAATCTTCCCCATCCTCTCCACTCCACTAAATCCGATTTCAAGGTAGCACCATTTCTCATCAGGATTAACTAAGCAGCCATCTAGCTCCTCTTCTTACCTTCCTTCAACCCATTTTCCCTGCTAACATCTTCCATTACTCCATATTAAGGTCAAAATCTGCAACATAATCTTTAAGGCACTGTTTTATCTGGCTCCTGCCACCCTATCAGACTCATGTAGAGCCACTCAACCCTTTGTTCTCCCCTCCTCTATTGCCTAGAACGTATTTCAGTTCCTCAATTACCCATGCTTCTTCCAGTCTCTGAGCCTTTGCACATGCTGTTCACTCTGTTTGAAATGCTGATCCCTGCTCTCTTTACTAAGTTTCTTCCTACTCTTCCTTTGGATCTCAGTTTAAATATTACTTCCCTAGAGAAGCTTTTCCTAACCACGCATATTAGGTCAGCTTTCTGAGGGTCCCAATTTTGTATTTAGGGCCTACTATCCTTTTATTTAATATTATA
Source organism: Homo sapiens (assembly GCF_000001405.40). Taxonomy (NCBI): domain Eukaryota; kingdom Metazoa; phylum Chordata; class Mammalia; order Primates; family Hominidae; genus Homo; species Homo sapiens. The sequence continues at coordinate 156,416,605 of NC_000003.12, forward strand.
ATCAAATAATTAATCTATTTAATACCTGTCTCACCTCCTATGACATAAGCTGCACGAGAGCAGCAACTATCTGCCACTCAGCCCAGGCTCACAGCCTAGTCTGAGGCCTGGTACATAGGTGAAATTTGGTACATCTTCTTTGACCTAATTAATTAATTATAGGAAAGTCTCTTTTTTCCACACTTCTCTAGACTTTTCTAGAAAGATACGGATCATCGGGTGTTTTATTTGTCCAAAGAAAATGAATAAGAACCTAGTCAGAATTTGCAATTGACAAATGACTTAAACTTTTAAATCAAAGAATCTGGAAGAATCCTGTTCTACTTTGTTGCTATTTTTAAAAAGGTAAGAATAAAAGTTTTGTTCTGCCACCTGTCAATGTCTGTCCTCAAAATGCCTGGCTAAATCATTTGTGTGCCTGGTGAATCCCAAATGAGTCATTATTTACTTACCAACAATGATGAACAGTGCCCTCATAAGAAAATGTTATTACTATTTGTAGCCACCTTCATGGCTGTCAAAATGTATGTTACCTTGTAACTATCAAAACCAGCTGGCTGGCAAATGAACATGATTTCTGCTCATGTACATTATTAAATGTGCATTTCTTAAAAAAAACAAACAAACCCAAATCTCATATTTGATTAGTAACTTCCAGGTAAGGCAGAGTATAATTCAGAAGGATCAGAAAGATGTTCAAATAGAGTGAGACAGCAAATGATGTAATTCTCTGACCACATGAAAACCAGGTCAAACCCAGCTTGTTTCTGCCAGCCTGACACAGCTGCTGGAGCCCCTTGCATATGCTTTCCAGCTGTCCCTGTTACGTCAACCTTTAAATCGGGGATTTTGCCCCATGCATATGCTTCTTGCTTGGTCAAATGCAAGGCACATATTTTTGCAAGCTACTTTTCTCAGCTGTTTAAAATTGTGAATAAGGTCTAAGATACGTACATCGAGAAACAAGCCATTTAAAACAACAAATTTGGGTTACGAATTTTCTGCTTTTAGCCTCTTTGACTTGTAAAGAAACTGTGAGCATCAGAGTGGCCTGCAAAACTGAGCCTAAGAGATGCTTGATTTCAGTTCTCACTACTCCAGTATTGCCTTAAAAGAAAAAAAAAAAAAGCCTGGTGGCTGCTCCATAAAGTGAGGCTAGGAATTACATTCAGTGCCTCTGCCATGGAACAAATCATTGTCCTGAAATAAGGTCAGCCATGTATTCACCGAGTGGAGAGTCTGCCTTCAGAAAGAAAGGGGAATCACAACCTTTGAGCTCTCAAGAAGCTATATCCCTTCTCCACATAACTCTTTACTGACGCTGTAGGATTTCCAAAATTTGACTGACAAAGCTAAGTGTTCTGTGCCTCCACATTGATGTCATTTGTTTCTAATATTAGCAGCAGAGCAGTTCAGGTTCACCTGAGAAAGAGGAGCTTTTATTTTGAGTTGAACAGGAGCAGATACTAAAAATGAACATGGTGAGACTTGTTTTTGATATCTCTGACATAGATAAAATAGTTAAACCTGTGCAGTGAAACAATTTTGAATCAAATGGAAAAATAATTCATTCTAATTGGCAATTTGATGTGCTTACAGAATTTTTATGTAGCCTCACTTATGGGAACACTGAGGAATTAAGAAATAGAATAATATCATATAAAGTTGTTTTTCTGCACAATGTCACATAAGATTATGAGGTATTTGTGAAAATTCTACATGAGTGAGATAAAGGTTCCAGGGTATGTGTTATAGCCCAGCATGATTAGTAAACTTGGTCATTATTTGATATTAAAGCCACACAAACAAGCTGCTGAACTCATTAGATCAAATGTGTCAAGTATTTGGGCTTCTATTACACATCAGATCTTAAGTGGCTTAGAGTAACTGGACAATAGCTACATCTTCACTTAGTACTGCACAAACATGGATAGAGACAGGAGGATGCAGACGTGCCATTTGGAATAGCAGAAATCATGTTGGGATTTCATGCCCTGAATTGGAGGTAGCTAGTTCCTCCTACCTTCTCCAGCTGCAAAGTGAGTGGCACCATCCTGTGTTGGGAGTGCCTTAAGTGGTACACGTCTCACAAAGAGACTTGCATCTGAGCAAAGTTAGAGCAATGCACACAGAGACCCAGATATATCTCATGCAGAGAAAATGCCTCTCACTTTAAAAGTGACCACCTGAATTTCATAACTGTTCTATCTAGAGGATGAAGGTATTTGGAAAAATAATTAAAAGTATTAGAGTTAAGGGAAACAAAAATATCAAGGCTTAAGGTGGGGACCTATCACCACTATAGCAGTATTAGTCTGTAACTGAACTTTTCTTACATTTTAAAATCTTGTAAGGCTTTCATTCCAGAAAGGCCATCTTGGGCGTTTAAACAGCAGTGGCAAGAAAATGGGCCATTAGTACTTGCTAGTTTGCAGTTTGTTTTTGCTGACAGTTCTCATGTTTGGTCTTCAAAACCCATAACAGAGTGATCATTATCTTCAGTTGCTGCCATAAGGAAAATAGGACTGCCATCAGGAAAATGGGTGCTGAGATGTTGCTAAGTACCCAGTGATATAACTTTGCCTTATTTGAGTTTGTTAGAACAATCTCTGAACTAGCGGGGCACGGTGGCTCACGCCTGTAATCCCAGCACTTTGGGAGGCCGAGGCAGGTGGATCACGAGGTCAGGAGATCGAGACCACCCTGGCTAACACAGTGAAACCCATCTCTACTAAAAATAAAAAAAATTAGCCAGGCGTGGTGGGGGGTGCCTGTAGTCCCAGCTACTCGGGAGGCTGAGGCAGGAGAGTGGCATGAACCCGGGAGGCGGAGCTTGCAGTGAGCCGAGATTGCACCACTGCACTCCAGCCTGGGCAACAGAGCGAGACTCCGTCTCAAAAAAAAAGAAAAAAAAAAAAAAAGAAAGAAAAGAAAAATCTCTGAACTATAGAGACTTAGCCTTAGAACTGTCTTGCTCTATAGAGTTTTCTACAAGTCACTTCTCCCTACTGAAAGACATTAAAAATACATGAAAACCCTTTTCTAGATCCTTTTCTCCATGATACCTACAAAGTTATGCAAATATAAGCCTGAGGAAGCCACCACCTCATGTGATCTCCACGGTAAGATGTATCCCATGTTACTGGAATTACATGTTGGTTTTTCTGTGTCCCTCAGTGGACTCTAAGCTCCTTGAGGGTACAGGACCATGCCTTGTTCTTCTCTGTATCTCCATGACTTTTTAAAAAAATTCTCCCTACAATATAGCATTTGCTCTAGATTCCTACCCCTTAAAATCAGTAGACTTTTGGACTACCAAGAAAAGTCTTTGTACATCTATTGATTTCTGAAAAACTACTAAATGAACAATTTCTTATAAAAATTATGTTCACTGGAGCAATCCAATTATTTTCGTCCCATTTAGTGGTTCAAAATATTTTCCACATGCATCTTTATGCAACAGTTTTCTTCCAGTTGGACATGTCCAGTTCATATGGGAAAATTTAGCACCATGTCTGGTTGGAGGGTAGGAGTCAGAAAGCACCAGAAATCGCTATGCCTTGCATTTGTTTACAGTATAACACTTTAGCACACATTCTCACGATCTGGCCCTACAAACAGTGATGCTATGCAAATGGCATAGACATCAACGCTACATCTTCCAAATGAAGAAACTCAACCCCGGAAAGAAAAGGGAGCAATTTCTACAAGGTCACCCAACTAGTTGTGACAACGGGTCAAAAGCCCGGGTCTTTCAACTCTTTGCATTTTTATGCATTTTTTATTATGTTGTGCAATTGAATGTGTTGCTTAGGTGGCATTTTATAGACAACATTAATAAGCAGAGGAAAAACATGTGATGCAAAAATGGGAGTACTAATTGCTAAGTCTAAAGAAACCAAAACTGATGACAAATCAAGGGAGAACTTGGGATAGTTCAGCTGTGCCACCAATTTGGAAGTTTTATTTGTGTTGTTTCCTTTGGTGTGGGAGCAAGAAGGGAAACTGTATTTTTATGAAAGCCTTTTATCAGAGAATAAGGGTGCACTTTTCTACAATGTTACAGTTATTTCAGCTTTGCCTGCTCACTTTGGACCCTTACACTAATGCTATGAGGCACCCTGTCTCTGAGAATTTGTTTTTTTCCTCTATGCTAGTCAGAAGACAAAAATGGGTTGAGTCTGGATTTCCACAAAGACTTATAGGCAAATGCATACTAGAGCTCCTAGTTCTATCCTTGTTTAGAAAGCAAAAATATATTTCTTTTCCTTAAACTTTTGGGAATAAAGAAATATCTGATGTTCCCGTGGTAATTTTATGTAATCTTGAATTAAATATATATACACACACACACATATATATGTAATATAGTTAAATATATATCTATGTATTATATTATAATATATTAAATATAGGATATAGTTAAAATAACCTAAAAGATAGTTTTATATTTGTTATTTTAATAATTCACATCCATTAGAATTAATATTCTGTTTTAGAAGTCAGTTTGTTAGTCAGTAAGTCAAAAATATTTATTAAGGCTCTACTTACCGTGTGTCAGGCCATTCAACACAAATCAGAACTGTTCTGTGACCTAAGTCTAGACCAGGATGGTAACTGAGGAAGTAGTGAGAAGTGGTCAGTTGACAAATAATGAATGAATGGTTGGTGAATAAGTTAAAGAAGTTTACCCTCAAGAAACTCAGATTCTAGAAGGAGAGAGAAAGCCAGTAAATGGGTAAACAAGTTAATAAAGAAGACAATATGAGACTGAGAAGCTGTGTTCTGTGAGGGACATTTTCTGTGCTGCGCCTGAACAGATTTTGAGCTTCCTGATGCCTGAGTGGCCATGCAAGGGAGACCTGTCTCAAGACAATATGCCGGCATCTGTGGTTCTGCCTCTATCAGGACTCATCAAGAATCTGCCAAAATGGAGATACAATATCCACTTATGCATGTACAGTTCCACCTGAGGAAATGATGACCAAGTGTTGCTTTGTTTTTATTATAGGAATCTTGGAAAATCAGGACTCAGAGTTTCTTGCTTGGGTCTTGGTAAGTACTGAGGGTGTGACCTGGGGGTGGGCTGGAAGGTGGGAGACTGGGGAGGGCACCAGGGAGTGACTGTGGTCTAGGCCAGGACCTGGTCTCAGATGAGGAGGAGGCTTCCTGGCCAGTATTGCCCCACTTCTCCTTTGAGCCTTTCTCTTCCCATCATGACCCTCTCCCAGGGAGCCACCGTGTTCATGATTCCTTATAGGGGCCCGTCGAGCATAAGGCAACCTGATGCTAAAGCACACCTCAGAGAAAGGGACTCATGCGTCACTCCCATTTAGCAAGCATGAAGGACTGCATGGCATGCATTTTATAGGTTCAGTTCACCACTCCCTCAATTCACCTGAATTTTTTCTATCTATCCTTGTTTTCCCTTTGCCTAATTTCCTCACTTTTCTATATTATTATTATGCATTTTATATACTTTTATAATCTGCCTTAAATATTTGGGGGGGCAAGGTGAGATACACATAAACACATGTACATTAATATGCATTAATAAATAAAAAGTATTATTCCTCCCAGTCAATATTTGAAGAGGATTAAATAGAGATGGCAATTCTAACAGCATAAAGATGAATCTGAAGTCGTGGAATCTGACTGTGAGACTTGGGGAGGCTTGAGGCCTCCAGACATCCCTTAGGCCCAGGAAAAGGCAGCCTTGGCATTCCTGCCATTCAACACCAATCAGAGCTGTTCTGTGACCTAAGTCTAGACCAGGATGGTAACTGAGGAAGTAGTGAGGAGTGGTCAGATTGTGGCTATGTTTTCAAGGTAAAACCTGAAAGATTTTCTGTTGGGTTCTATGTGGAAGATGACAGAAAAAAGTCAAGGATGACTCTAAGGATTTTTTGCCTGAGCAACAGACAGGATGAAGTATGAGTAAATGAGGTAGAAAAATGAGAGAGAAATTTAGGGAGATTAGGAGATTGATTTGGGACATACTAAGTTTGAGATATCGATTAGGCCTGCAATAAAAATTGTCAAGTATGCAAATAGACTTATGACTCCAATTTAGAAAGGAGAGCTAGATATATTAACTTGAGAGTCATCAGCAAGTAGATGCTGTTTAAGCCCGGATCCTGGATGAGAGCACTAAGGGTGTGCTTATAGACAGAATAGAAAACAGAGGCACATGGTCTAAGACCTAGGAAATCCAACATTAAGAAATCGAGAAAGTGAGGAGGAGCCAAAGAAAGCTGAAAATAAAGCAACCAGCGCAGCAGGAGAAAAATCAGAAAAAAAAATGGAGTCCTGGAATCCAGGTGAGCATTTCGAGGAGGATGGAGTGACCAATCCCGTCAAGTGGTGCTCATGCATCAAGCAAGATGGGGACCAAGAATTGACCATCGGGTTCAGCAACATGGAGGTCATCAGTGACTTTTACAAGGTCTGTTTGGGTGGAATGGTAGAGTTTAAAGCATAATTGGAATGGTCCCCTGGGAGAATGGAAAGAGACAAGCTGAAGGCTACTCTTTTGGATGATGATTGCTATAAAGAAAAGCAGAGAAATGGAGTGGCACTGAGCAGACAAGTGGGATCAGAGAGGTTGCTTTTGCACGTGGAAGAAATGACCACATATTTATACACTTATGGGGAAATCCTTTTGAGAGGAAAAAATGATGCGGAAAAAGGAGAGAGAAGAATATCTGGAATGATTTCTTGAGGACGTGAGAAGCACACAAGGAGACAGTACATGAAAGAAGCAGAGTACATGGGCTTTGAGGCTAGTAGGGCGATTGATGGGGTGGTGGAGGGGGAGGTATTTTGTCAAAGTTCTCTTCTATTGCTTTTATATTCTCAGTGGGAATCAGAAGCAAAATCATCAGCTGTTAGTGAGGATGAGAAGGAAGTGTTAGAAGTTTGGAGAGAAGACATGCGGGACAGAAGAGTGAATTGACCAGGGCTAGGCCACACAGTGACAAGATAGCATTAAGGATCAGCTTAAGATCAGTATGATTAAATTTGAAGTGAGACCATGTCCATAGTTATGTGTTTTTCTTCTAGACATGTTCAGCTTTGCAAGTTCAGGTGGGTTTTTGTTTTTTTACATAAGATGATAAAAAGAGGGCAAAGATGCTGAGGGCTTGTGTTGGGCAGTTATTTTAATGGTGGAGTTGGCATTTAAACTGAGTAGAAAGGAAAATGAGGACAGAGTCAGGAAAATGAGCCAGGAGCTAAAATGAGGGAGCTGAGGGACTGTGAAAACTGGATAGGATCAATAAAGTATATATCCCAGAGGGACTAAAGAATTGTTGAAGCAAAAACATTAGAGACAGTGGTTGGAAGGATAGAAAGTGGTTGAAAAGGGAAACATTTGAAATTGGGGTTACAGAGGGGTTCAGTTATTGTTAGTGACATAGTCTATGGTGTGTCCATTGGGAGAGAATGGTGGAGATTGTATCGAAGACAAGATCAGTGAAGGAGAGAAGGTTAAGAAACTTGGAGGTGAAGGTGCAGGGAAGATCATCTTTGGGGTCACTGAACTCACTAAAAAGTACAGCAAAACTAACATTGGAGAGTGGCAGTGAGAAGTGAGCTAAAATTTTCAAAGAATGAGAGGGAGTGACCAGGGTGGGTCAGCAACTACAACATGAGGGTCCTGATGATGTGTGAGACTCAGAGCTGGCATGTGTGAAGGGGTATTTCAAAGATACTGAAAGCCATCAATGTCTGAGTTTTTCTGATTCTTCCTAATAATCTGACTTGGGAGGTGAAGGCAGTATTGTTCACCATAAGTCTAAGGTAATTTGACATTTGCTTAATTTATGGCTCTGATATTGTTACTATTTACTCATATTTGAAAGACCCTGGAGATTCATTACCAGGGACACTCTGACCTTAGTTTTTTTTTAAGTATATCTTTACAGTAAATAACTATTCGGTATTCATTATTGAAAGGAACTACCTATTAATGTAAAGTAAGAAATATATGTAGTGAAAAAGCATTGCCCAACTATTTACAAGCTTGTGTCTACGGTGGAAAATAGTTTAGTCAATAAGTACACAGAAAACTCAGCTGAAAGCCCTTAAGACAATAACAAATTCAGGTGCCCATGCAATCCCAGTCTCCAGAGGCCAGTCTCCAGTTTTTGTTGATTTTTGTTTTCTTTAAAACTGCAGACTGTGTATGAGGTGCAGGCATTTTAGTGAACTTTGAAACAGGCTTGATTCAGGAGCAGCAAGTTCTATTTGAGCTTCAAGTTTTTTCAAGAGCCTGAACACTTGTAATAAGACACTGCATGAAAAATAAGAGGAAACAAGGAAGTTCATAGGGCTGACTTGCTTCATTCAAAACAGTTAACTAAGCTTGACAACTTGAATAAGCACTCTTTCAGAACTTTTTTGAACTGCCTCTATAAGCCAGAGGAGACAAGAAATTCATAGAAAGAAATAATGCACCAGCCTTAGATAATTTGTCAGGCTCTGCAGACCCCAGCTGTCAAATCCAAATGGAGCTGGGTTTACTGCTGCAGGCTTAGGATGTCAGCTCAGTCACGACCTACGTTCAACTGAGGCCTTAGAAATTAAGTAGTAAAACTGCCAGGAAATCAGAAAGCTACAGATTCTTTTCTTGAAATACTCTAAAAGTGATAGTTAAAGCTAACAATTCTGACTTTCTTCTCTACCAGAGAAGGGGCAGCCGGAAATTCCTTGCCCTGACAATTTTCCTTTTGGTGAACTAAGAGCAAATGTGTAAATGGGAGTAGAAAGGTGAAGTAACTTGAGAGTGAACTGATGGTACATCCGAAAGAACACAGCCCTGCCAAGGAGAGAAATGGGAAAAAATATTAATATTATGTGGCCAATCCTACCTGTGGGTTGCTGTGGCTTGCCTGTTCTGTAAATATACTGCCCATTATTGTCAAGACTTGAAGTCAAAAAACTCATGGGAAAGGAATAAACTCAGAGTGACCAAACTCACCCCGATCTGATAGGAGGTGGAACTGCCTTATGAGAGAAAAATGGTAGAATTTACGTTAATTCACTCATTCATTTATTCATCTTAAGCAAACATTTATGAAGCCAGACATTGGTTACAGAAGATACGAGGACAAGAGCATGGAGCCTGCCCTCAAATTTATCATAGTGCAGTGGGAGTTAGGCTTGCAAAAAAACAAACTGATAATGTATCTGACAGATGCCGTAATGGAGAGTACAGGGCAAGTGAAGCGTGAAGAAGGTCTCCTGGGGGATTTGGGATAGCTTGATGGGGGAACAAGGGTTGCCACTTGGCTTGACACTTGAAGAGAGAAGTCAAGTGGAGAGGGAGGGCAAGAGGTTTAAGACAGGAAGCAATGCAAGCAACGGCGACTCCAGAGGGAGACTCCACCGAGGGGAGGTACTTGGGGAAATGGGTCACATGTATAGAATATTATGAGTACAAGGTATTGGGGAACAGCAAGAAATGAGCCTGGAAAGAAAGCTAGGTTTGATTATAAGAACCCTTGTTTGCCTTGCTAAGCCATTTAGCTCTTGTCTTCTATGTCTCTGGAATTCCTTCAAATCCAAAGGTCCCCAGGTCTCAACAAACACTTCAGGGACAAGGAGGAGCAAAGGCTCCATCTCTCTCCACTCTCTTCCTTCCACCTGCCACAGCTTCCATCAAAGCAGCCCACTTTTTCTGCATATTATTATTATTATTTTAAAAAAATAGACTATGTTTTAATGCAGTTTTAAGTTCACTACAAAACTGAGCAAAAAGCACAAGGAGTTCCCATACACCCCTATCCCTACACATGCATAACCTCCCTCGTTATCAGCATCCTTCACCAGAGTGGCACATTTGTTACCTCTGATGAACCTACAGTGCCACAACATTATCAACCAAAGTCCATAGTTTACATTAGGGTTCACTATTGGTGTTGTACACTCTATGGGTTTTGACAAATATATAATGACTTGTATCTACCATTATAGTATCATACAGAATAGTTTCACTGCTCTAAAAAATCCTCTGTCTTGCCTATTCATCCCTCCCTCTCCTCTAACTCCTGGAAATCACTGTCTTTTTACTGTCTGCATAGTTTTGCCTTTTCCAGAATGTCATATAGTTGAATCATATAGTATGTAGCCTATTCACATTGGCTTCTTTCACTTAGTAATATACATTTAAGTTTCTTCCATGTCTTTTCATAGTTTGATAGTTCATTTCTTTTTAGTGCTTCATACTACATTTTGGAAAAAAAATTCATCCTATGCCAAAAACAGTTATCAAAACCTTGCTCAAGCTTGTGATAAGCCATTGAAAACCTTGGGTCAGGAATAAGACATGATCAAAGGTATTAGAAGCAACATGAAGGCTATAATAGAGGGAACAGGGTTGAGGCTGGAGGCAGGGAAATTAATTAGGAGTTGATGATGAGGCAGTGGTATGAAAGATGTAGAGGAAGGAGGTGATTAGGAGAAAGAATGAGTAGGGCTGGTGATCTCTGGATACAGAATAGGAGGTCTTCCTGAGTGCAGGAAGATGCCCAGACTCCTGGATTGGGCATGGGGGTGGATGAGCTGAAATCTCAGAGACAGGAGACACAGGAGGGAGCTGTGAGGGCAGACAGCACTGTTGGGGAGTGGTGACCAAAGAGCTTGTGACCTCCCAGCTTCAGATATCTAGAGAACAAGGGGAACTCTGTGGAGATCTCTAGGCTGGAAATACAGACCCAGGAACTTCTCACAGTGATGACCCTATGATTGTCATTGAGATCACCTGGAAACACAGAAGACTGAGGTGTTTGGACAGGTTTAGGACATCTGGCTCATGGTGTCTGCCTGAGTGTATGCTCCCTGAGAGCAGGGACTGCCTATTTTTCTACACTCCTATTGCACTTTAGCAGATCACAGTATCTGGCTAGTAGCAGGTATTCAAAATATTTTTGAGTGAATGACTGGAGAGATGATCAATTGCTAAGAAATGACAAAAGGTCCACTGAATAATAGCAAGGATGCAGCTGAAGTCAGAAATCATGAATTGCTGAGGCCCAGCCCAGTTCTTTGACTTCCTCCAGTGGTATATCAATGAAGAGACAGAATTGTGGGGTAGGGAGTGGAGATAGAGAGAGGCCCAGCATCAGGGATTGTCCTAAAAGAGCGTTGGAGACCGGGGAACCTACCACATACACAGGTGATATGGGGTCTAGGCTGGGTTTAGACCCAGAGCTGTTTCATCAGGGCTCTTGCTTCTACAGTTAGAAAGGAGCATCTGCCCACACTGACTTGCTCCAAAAGTCTCACATTAGGAGCAGTAGGCCGGTCTGATTCATTCCATGGGAGGTAACACACCACAATGTCCAGCTCACCTGTGTGTGCTTGAAAGGGGCTGACTTTACCTTCCAACATTCACTCTGGAATGGGCATGCTTCCCAGCAGGCAAGATGTCTGCAAGAAAAAAGGCACATCATGGTTAATTTGATGTGTCAACTTGACTGAGCCATGGAATGTCCAGATATTTAGTCACATTTTATTTTGGGTGCACCTACGAGGGTGTTTTGGAATGAGATTAACATTTGAACTTACAGACTGAGTAAAGCCGATTGCCCTCCCTAATGTGGGTAGCACTTTCCCAATCAGTTGAAGGCCTGAATAAAACAAAAATACTTGCCCTCCTGTGAATAAGAGGGAATTCCTGCCTGACCATTTCAAACTGGGACATTGATCTTTTCTTGCCTTCAGACTCAAACTGAAACATCAGCCTTCTTGGATCTTGAAGGCTGCCAGCTTTCGGAGTAGAACTATACCATTAACTCCTTTGAGTCTCTAACTTGCCAACTGCAGATCTTGGGATTTCTTGGCCTCCATAATCACATGAGCCAATTCCTTATAATTCCTCTATACACACACACACACACACACACACACACACACACACACACACACACCCTATTGGTTCTGTTTCTCTGGAGAACCCTGAGGAGAGATTTTGTTGATTTTTTTTTCAAAACATCATGCAAGTGTATGTGGCCAACCAGAGTTAAGTATTTGTAAGTGATATAGGTAGGAAGATATGGAAAACCTAAGTAAGGAGTAATGTGGTCACTTGCTCATTTTTCAGCTGAGCACATATTAAACCTAATGTAAAATACCGTCATCCAAATGGAGCTTTCCTGGGCTGTTCGCAGGTCAAGAGGACAATTTATGCAGCCCTGTCAGATAGGGTTTGATCTGGACCTAAGCAGTGAAGGAGAGAAAGAACACCCCCATACCTTTGGGTCCCTGTTTCACACATCCTCAAGACTTTAATTCCTAGGGAATGCAAACTGATTCCAAGGAAATGTTCTGTGTCCTTTTAGGCAGCTGCTTCATGCTTCGTCCTTGAAGAAATAAAGTCATAAAGTAAAATACTTCTTAACACCTTGGAGGACTTATATGAGTCTCTCAAAAGGTGTTTCTTCTCAACTCTGGCTGCACATTGAAGTTACCTGTTTAATTTAAAATTCAGATAATCTCATCTCAACCTAGACCTTTTCAATGAGGAGCTCCACATGCATGTGTTTTTCAAATGCTGCCCTGACGGTTCTGAAGGAAGTATCAGGGTTGGAATACATTGTCTTATCTGGATGGATTAAGATAGAAAAATGTGTGAACTGATATCTAGTGTACCCAGTGCCAGCAGCCATGATTCTTATCTACATGGCAGCAGCCGCCCGCAGATCTAGGCCTGGGAGCTGGCCTGAGGCATTTCCAACTGGACTGGAAAGCCTCCAAAGAGGAGAATCTGCCCTGCTTAGGGCTGGCCTCAGGGCAGGTGGGGTGAGCTGGCTTCCCTGCCATTCGACTCCTGCCATCTGGGTGCCAGTCTTGCCTTATGCCCCTCCCTAACCAAGAGAACTTTCTAGAGCAAAAGCAGTGAATCTTAAGAATAAACTGTGTGGGCTTCTTTTTAATGCATTCATATGTGCAGAATGTAGTCCTGGCTCATCTCCGTCTGCCTTAGTGATGCTCTCACTGCACTAAATATTTTGACACTAGGAGAACACGACATTAAATATTTAACATGGATGGTATTATTTTTATGACACCCTTCATGATTCCCATTCTTGTTGTTTAGGCCGATATAAACTAGCTAGCTCACCTATTATAACAACATAAGAGCAGCAATAATAAATATTATGAAGTGCCTCCTGGGACACTTGAGAGGTAGTTTTAAAATGCAAGCTTTCCCTGAAAGAGTTTACCAATTTTTCTGCATAACACAAACAGAGTGAACTATCGTAACTCCGAAATACCCATAGAGTTTAAATGGTGTATGAATATTAAACATACAAGAGTGTTTTAGGCATGTCACTCTTTCTGGAAAGTCTAACTTGAATAAATGTCATGATGCATACATATTAAAAATGAGCAGACCTTTGTATTTTTCCAAAATTGTCTAAAAATATTTCTTCCTAGTTTCCTACTTTTATGGATAAAATCCTTCTTAAGAATTGCTGACAAAAAGAAAGAAAGAAAGAATTGCTGACAAGTGGTTGCCTTCTGAATCAGCAGGGACTGCTGGCCACATGGCTTTGCCTCTGCTCCCAGGAGTCTATTAGGAGTGATGATATAGCTTAGGTAGGAGTGTGGCAACCTAATATTTCACACGCTGTCAGAGTTGAGGCTTAGGGGAGAACTCGAGGAGAGAAAATAGAAGGGTCTGTACACAGAGGGGTTTATTCAACAATCTGGGCATGCAAACAACCCATGTGCATGCATGCACGCACACACCTCATCTCTCTCCATGCAGCCACAAAGGGATAAGTAGCCCTCATTTGCCAACCTATGATTCAAAAATGAAACAAGTGGCTTCAAAACCATTAGTAATGGGGGACAAAAGGTCCTCTCTAGGCCCAGATCTGGGCAATTTGCTGAAATTCATCATTTATAAAGACGATCTCACTAAACATCATTACAGCCATGAGATGGAGAATTAGTCCTTGCAGCCACCAGCTCCATTGTGAGAAAACAGGGTCAGGGAGAGGCGATATGTCTTGTTCAAGGCCAGTGTTAGAGACAGCAGACTCACCCATTTTCTATCCCTCCCTGCTCCACTAGCAGCCTCGTCCCTTATGGCCCATCTACTTCCAGCCTCCAAGCACACACAGCCACTGCTGTCACCCACATCTCTTCATGTCCCAAACTTCCGCTTCCTCCTTGAAATGAGAATGGCTGCACCAAATGTGTAGGGCCCCTTGCGTCTCTCACATTCAGGCAGTAGTCAGGTGATGTCATGATTAGGTTCGGCATGACTCTGGGTTGGCAGCTTGGTGAAAATGTCTTTACTTTGGACTAGAAAATGTCAGAACCTGAATGACTCCTGACATCCATCTCCAGAGTTAGGGTAGACAATGACTTATGAACGCTCCACAGACAGAATGGGGACCGGAATCCATGTCTCTTGGCCCACGATCAGGTGTGCTTTCCCCATGAGAAATTTCAAAGTAAGGATGCAATTGAGTGCAGGCATTTTGGTTTTTGTGTGGATACCATCAATGAAGCTCCTAGTGCCTGCCTTTCCCTCCTTTGCACACTGCCCTAAAGGCTTCACGAGGTCCCCATAGTTCCTGTACTCTAAGCAGCAGCCTGACTAAGGCACATCTTGTGTATATACAAGTCTATTCATGTTGTTTACCTCGGGTTTGCCTGTGCATTCTACATTTATATAAAGATTATTTTTCTAAACTCTGTGCAGCATAAAAACCCAAATGAAATTTTTGTAATTTCAATCAATAATGCAATTAAGCTTATCTAACAGTAAGGCAAAAAATAGAGAATCATTTGAATCCTGTCTGCCAGTGGAGTGGGGCTGTGCTGTGTCTGTGCCTGCCTCTGGTATGCCCAGGTGAGGAGAGCACAGGGCTGCAGGCAGTCATCTCTGAAAGTGCAGTGTACGTGGCTGAATGACCCTCCAGGGGCCAATGCACCGAGGATGACTGTGCAGACATTCATAGGAATGCCTTAAGGGCCTCAGCTGAATGAAGAAGAAATAAAGTCTCAGTTCTTTTCAGGCGTATTGAGTATGAATGAATCAGAAACCTTCCACAGTAAGCCAACAGAAAACCCAGCTCAAAGCAAGCCAAGACGTCAGCTCTAGCAAAAACACAAATTTCTAGGCCCACATGAAAGAATTTCTAGGCTCACCTGGACAGTGGACCCATATGGGTTTATCTGGGGATCAAACTGTGAATTCTGTGAGCTGCAGGTTTGTTCTATTCTCAAGCTGTCCTGAAATAGGCAAGAGGACTGCAGAAGCTTCATGCCTCACATCCCATTGGCTCTGGTTGGTTTATGTATCCATCCCTGAGCCAATCATCAAAGACTTCAGTCTCTCAAGACCCACCCTGACACTGGGGAAGGGTACTTTAAATCCATCCAAACTGCATTCTGGGAGTAGGGAAGTGATTCATTCTCAAAAGAAAATTAAAGAACTCTTAGCTAAAGAGGGGAAATAGTGGCTGAGGTAATAAGCAGATGACCACCATGAATAGTTAAGAAGAAAACATATTCCTGGATCTGGGATGCCTTCCCCTACTTATTTGGCTTATCTGAGCCCTTTCTATGTCATTGGTAGCCATAGTTGAAAACTGAAATTCTCCCAGCTTTTTCTATGGCATGAGGTATGCTCAGAGTTTTGTGAGTCAATTCAATTTGCCTAATTGACGAAATTTTCCATTGCAGGGTAAATATACAGCTTTGCCTTCTTGATATACTCTCTCGTTTCTATGTTTTTAATAATCTCAAAGGATTAGTGAGACCTAAGGCTCATTTACAAATAAAAGCTTCATCCTAACACCTGGATGATGAAAATATGCAAAGAAGGACCTCCATGAGAGAGAAGCAGAAAATACCATCAATACTCATTTCATATCTGACAACTAATTACAATTAGAGGAAAAAGAGGCTACCAACACATAATTATAGGAAATGGGTGATGAGGTAATGAGCAATGGCTAAATTGGAGCTGACGGTCTAACCATGAGGATTTCTTTAGCTGAAAAGAAGGAAGCAGGACCTGATTTGGTTCTGTGCCTGGAATTAGCTTCATTTTTCTTCATAGTCTCTTACTTTGCCTCCCTTCCCATATCTCCACCTTATGCTTGACAATAGCCTTTCCTTTGGCCCTTGCTGAGCTGTTTCTTTTGGCAGCAATGTCTGTAACTGCTCTCTGAAGAATAGAGGACACAGGACTGGTCCTGAGACATGTTGCTACAGGTG